>NC_000023.11:62107393-62412542 GCF_000001405.40 Homo sapiens
AGCAAACTCAGAACATTCTTTGTGATGTTTGTATTCAACTCACAGAGTTGAACCTTCCTTTGATAGTTGAGGTTTGCAACACCCTTGTAGTAGAATCTGCAAGTGTATAATTTGACCACTTTGTAGCCTTCGTTTGAAACGTCTATACCTTCACCTCAAACCTAGACAGAAGCATTCTCAGAAAGTTTTCTGCGATGACTGCATTCAACTCACAGAGTTGAACAATCCTTTTGATGGAGCAGTTTTGAAACCCTCTTTCTTTGGAATCTGCAAGGGGATATGTGGACCTCTTTGAAGATTTCACTGGAAACGGGATCATCTTCACATAAGAACTAAACAGAAGCATTCTCGGAAACTACTTTGTGATGTTTGTATTCAACTCCCAGAGTTGAACTTTCCTTTTGAAAGAGCAGCTATGAAACACTCTTTTTCGAGAATCTGCAAGTGGACGTTTGGAGGGCTTTGAGGCCTGTGGTGGAAAAGGAAATATCTTCACATAAAAACTAGATAGAAAGCATTCTCAGAAACGACTTTGTGAGGATGGCATTCAACTCATGGAGTTGAACAATCCTATTGATAGAGCAGATTGGAATCACTCTTTTTGTAGAATCTGCAAATGGAGATTTGGACTGCTTTGAGGCCTACGGTCGTATAGGAAGGAACTTCAGATAAAAGGCAAACGGAAGCATTCTCAGAATATTCTTTGTGACGATGGAGTTTCACGCACAGAGCTGAACATGCCTTTTGATGGAGCAGTTTCCAAATACACTTTTGGTAGAATCTGCAGGTGGATATTTGGAGCTCTCTGAGGATTTCGTTGGAAACGGGAATAATTTCCCATAACTAAACACAAACACGCTGAGAAAGTTCTTCATGATGAATGCATTGAACTCGCAGAGATGAACCTGCCTTTGAGAGTTCAGATTCGAAACACTCTTTCTGTAGAATCTGCAAGTGGATATTTGGACCACTGGCTGGCCTTCGTTCGAAACGGGTATATGTTCACGTAAAAACTAAAGAGAAGCGTTCTCAGAAACTTCTGAGTGATGATTGCATTCAAGTCACACAGTTGAACCCTCCTTTTGATTGACCAGTTTTGAAACTGTCTTTTTGTAGAATCTGTAAGTGGATACGTGGACCTCTTTGAAGATTTCTTTGGAAACGGGAATATTTCCACAGAAAAACTAAACTGAAGCATTCTCAGAAACTGCTTTGTGATGTTTGTGTTCGAGCCGCAGAGTTTAACATTGCTTTTCATAGAGCAGTTTTGAAATATTCTTTTGGCAGAATCTGCAAGTGGACATTTGGAGCGCTTTCAGGCCTGTGGTGGAAAAGGCCTGAAAGCCTTTTCCTTTATCTTCACAGAAAGACGAGAGAGAAGCATTGTCAGAAACTTCTTTGTGATGATTGCATTCAACTCACAGAGTTGAAGATTCCTTTTGAAACAGCTGTTTCGAAACACTCTTTCTGTGGGATCCGCAAGGGGATATTTGGACCTCTTTGAAGCTTTCGTTGGAAACGGGATAATCTTCACCTAAAAGCTAAACGGAAGCACTCTCAGAAACTTCTTAGGGATGTTTGCATTCACCTCTCAGAGTTGAACTTTCCCTTTGATAGCGCAGCTTTGACACACTTTTTCTACAATGTGCAAGTGGCTATTTAGCGGACTTGGAGGACTGTGTTGGAAAAGGAAATATCTTCTCCTAAAAACGACATAGAAGCATTCTCAGAAACTGCTCTGTGATGATTGCATTCAACTCCCAGAGTTGAACATTCCTTTTGATAGAGCAGTTTGCAAACACTCTTTTTGTAGAATCTGCAAGTGGAGATTTGGACCGCTTTGAGGCCTGGGGTAGTAAAGGAAAGAGCTTCATATAAAAACCAGACGGTAGCACTCTCAGAAAATTCTTTGTGACGATGGAGTTTAACTCAGGGAGCTGAACATTCGTTATGATGGAGCAGTTTCCAAAAACACGTTTTGTAGAATCTGCAAGGGGATATTTGGACCTCTCTGAGGATTTCGTTGGAAACGGGATCAACTTCCCATAACTGAACGGAAGCAAACTCAGAACATTCTTTGTGATGTTTGTATTCAACTCACAGAGTTGAACCTTCCTTTGATAGTTCAGGTTTGCAACACCCTTGTAGTAGTATCTGCAAGTGTATATTTTGACCACTTTGTAGCCTTCGTTTGAAACGTCTATATCTTCACATCAAACCTAGACAGAAGCATTCTCAGAAAGTTTTCTGCGATGACTGCATTCAACTCACAGAGTTGAACAATCCTATTGATGGAGCAGTTTTGAAACCCTCTTTCTTTGGAATCTGCAAGGGGATATGTGGACCTCTTTGAAGATTTCACTGGAAACGGGATCATCTTCACATAAAAACTAAACAGAAGCATTCTCGGAAACTACTTTGTGATGTTTGTATTCAACTCCCAGAGTTGAACTTTCCTTTTGAAAGAGCAGCTATGAAACACTCTTTTTCGAGAATCTGCAAGTGGACGTTTGGAGGGCTTTGAGGCCTGTGGTGGAAAAGGAAATATCTTCACATAAAAACTAGATAGAAGCATTCTCAGAAACAACTTTGTGAGGATGGCATTCAACTCATGGAGTTGAACAATCCTATTGATAGAGCAGATTGGAATCACTCTTTTTGTAGAATCTGCAAATGGAGATTTGGACTGCTTTGAGGCCTACGGTCGTATAGGAAGGAACTTCATATAAAAGGCAAACGGAAGCATTCTCAGAATATTCTTTGTGATGATGGAGTTTCACTCACAGAGCTGAACATGCCTTTTGATGGAGCAGTTTCCAAATACACTTTTGGTAGAATCTGCAGGTGGATATTTGGAGCTCTCTGAGGATTTCGTTGGAAACGGGAATAATTTCCCATAACTAAACACAAACACTCTGAGAAAGTTCTTCATGATGAATGCATTTAACTCGCAGAGATGAACCTGCCTTTGAGAGTTCAGGTTCGAAACACTCTTTCTGTAGAATCTGCAAGTGGATATTTGGACCACTGGGTGGCCTTCTTTCGAAACGGGTATATGTTCACGTAAAAACTAAAGAGAAGCATTCTCAGAAACTTCTGAGTGATGATTGCATTCAAGTCACACAGTTGAACCCTCCTTTTGATGGAGCAGTTTTGAAACTGTCTTTTTGTAGTATCTGTAAGTGGATACGTGGACCTCTTTGAAGATTTCTTTGGAAACGGGAATATTTCCACAGAAAAACTAAACTGAAGCATTCTCAGAAACCGCTTTGTGATGTTTGTGTTCGAGCCACAGAGTTTAACATTGCTTTTCATAGAGCAGTTTTGAAATATTCTTTTCGCAGAATCTGCAAGTGGACATTTGGAGCGCTTTCAGGCCTGTGGCGGAAAAGGCCTGAAAGCCTTTTCCTTTATCTTCACAGAAAGACGAGAGAGAAGCATTGTCAGAAACTTCTTTGTGATGATTGCATTCAACTCACAGAGTTGAAGATTCCTTTTGAAACAGCAGTTTCGAAACACTCTTTCTGTGGGATCCGCAAGGGGATATTTGGACCTCTTTGAAGGTTTCGTTGGAAACGGGATAATCTTCACCTAAAAGCTAAACGGAAGCATTCTCAGAAACTTCTTTGGGATGTTTGCATTCACCTCACAGAGTTGAACTTTCCCTTTGATAGCGCAGCTTTGACACACTTTTTCTACAATGTGCAAGTGGATATTTAGCGGGCTTGGAGGACTGTGTTGGAAAAGGAAATATCTTCTAAAAACGACATAGAAGCATTCTCAGAAACTGCTCTGTGATGATTGCATTCAACTCCCAGAGTTGAACATTCCTTTTGATAGAGCAGTTTGCAAACACTCTTTTTGTAGAATCTGCAAGTGGAGATTTGGACCGCTTTGAGGCCTGTGGTAGTGAAGGAAAGAACTTCATATAAAAACCAGACGGTAGCACTCTCAGAAAATTCTTTGTGACGATGGAGTTTAACTCAGGGAGCTGAACATTCGTTATGATGGAGCAGTTTCCAAACACACGTATTGTAGAATCTGCGAGGGGATATTTGGACCTCTCTGAGGATTTCGTTGGAAACGGGATCAACTTCCCATAACTGAACGGAAGCAAACTCAGAACATTCTTTGTGATGTTTGTATTCAACTCACAGAGTTGAACCTTCCTTTGATAGTTCAGGTTTGCAACACCCTTGTAGTAGAATCTGCAAGTGTATATTTTGACCACTTTGTAGCCTTCGTTTGAAACGTCTATATCTTCACATCAAACCTAGACAGAAGCATTCTCAGAAAGTTTTCTGCGATGACTGCATTCAACTCACAGAGTTGAACAATCCTTCTGATGGAGCAGTTTTGAAACCCTCTTTCTTTGGAATCTGCAAGGGGATATGTGGACCTCTTTGAAAGATTTCACTGGAAACGGGATCATCTTCACATAAAAACTAAACAGAAGCATTCTCGGAAACTACTTTGTGATGTTTGTATTCAACTCCCAGAGTTGAACTTTCCTTTTGAAAGAGCAGCTATGAAACACTCTTTTTCGAGAATCTGCAAGTGGACGTTTGGAGGGCTTTGAGGCCTGTGGTGGAAAAGGAAATATCTTCACATAAAAACTAGATAGAAAGCATTCTCAGAAACGACTTTGTGAGGATGGCATTCAACTCATGGAGTTGAACAATCCTATTGATAGAGCAGATTGGAATCACTCTTTTTGTAGAATCTGCAAATGGAGATTTGGACTGCTTTGAGGCCTACGGTCGTATAGGAAGGAACTTCAGATAAAAGGCAAACGGAAGCATTCTCAGAATATTCTTTGTGATGATGGAGTTTCACTCACAGAGCTGAACATGCCTTTTGATGGAGCAGTTTCCAAATACACTTTTGGTAGAATCTGCAGGTGGATATTTGGAGCTCTCTGAGGATTTCGTTGGAAACGGGAATAATTTCCCATAACTAAACACAAACACGCTGAGAAAGTTCTTCATGATGAATGCATTTAACTCGCAGAGATGAACCTGCCTTTGAGAGTTCAGGTTCGAAACACTCTTTCTGTAGAATCTGCAAGTGGACATTTGGACCACTGGGTGGCCTTCGTTCGAAACGGGTATATGTTCACGTAAAAACTAAAGAGAAGCATTCTCAGAAACTTCTGTGTGATGATTGCATTCAAGTCACACAGTTGAACCCTCCTTTTGATTGAGCAGTTTTGAATCTGTCTTTTTGTAGAATCTGTAAGTGGATATGTGGACCTCTTTGAAGATTTCTTTGGAAATGGGAATATCTCCACAGAAAAACTAAACTGAAGCATTCTCAGAAACTGCTTTGTGATGTTTGTGTTCGAGCCGCAGAGTTTAACATTGCTTTTCATAGAGCAGTTTTGAAATATTCTTTTGGCAGAATCTGCAAGTGGACATTTGGAGCGCTTTCAGGCCTGTGGTGGAAATGGCCTGAAAGCCTTTTCCTTTATCTTCACAGAAAGACGAGAGAGAAGCATTGTCAGAAACTTCTTTGTGATGATTGCATTCAACTCACAGAGTTGAAGATTCCTTTTGAAACAGCAGTTTCGAAACACTCTTTCTGTGGGATCCGCAAGGGGATATTTGGACCTCTTTGAAGATTTCGTTGGAAACGGGATAATCTTCACTTAAAGCTAAACGGAAGCATTCTCAGAAACTTCTTTGGGATGTTTGCATTCACCTCACAGAGTTGAACTTTCCCTTTGATAGCGCAGCTTTGACACACTTTTTCTACAATGTGCAAGTGGATATTTAGCGGGCTTGGAGGACTGTGTTGGAAAAGGAAATATCTTCTCCTAAAAACGACATAGAAGCATTCTCAGAAACTGCTCTGTGATGATTGCATTCAACTCCCAGAGTTGAACATTCCTTTTGATAGAGCAGTTTGCAAACACTCTTTTTGTAGAATCTGCAAGTGGAGATTTGGACCGCTTTGAGGTCTGTGGTAGTGAAGGAAAGAGCTTCATATAAAAACCAGACGGTAGCACTCTCAGAAAATTCTTTGTGACGATGGAGTTTAACTCAGGGAGCTGAACATTCGTTATGATGGAGCAGTTTCCAAACACACGTTTTGTAGAATCTGCAAGGGGATATTTGGACCTCTCTGAGGATTTCGTTGGAAACGGGATCAACTTCCCATAACTGAACGGAAGCAAACTCAGAACATTCTTTGTGATGTTTGTATTCAACTCACAGAGTTGAACCTTCCTTTGATAGTTCAGGTTTGCAACACCCTTGTAGTAGAATCTGCAAGTGTATATTTTGACCACTTTGTAGCCTTCGTTTGAAACGTCTATATCTTCACATCAAACCTAGACAGAAGCATTCTTAGAAAGTTTTCTGCGATGACTGCATTCAACTCACAGAGTTGAACAATCCTTCTGATGGAGCAGTTTTGAAACCCTCTTTCTTTGGAATCTGCAAGGGAATATGTGGACCTCTTTGAAGATTTCACTGGAAACGGGATCATCTTCACATAAAAACTAAATATAAGCATTCTCGGAAACTACTTTGGGATGTTTGTATTCAACTCCCAGAGTTGAACTTTCCTTTTGAAAGAGCAGCTATGAAACACTCTTTTTCGAGAATCTGCAAGTGGACGTTTGGAGGGCTTTGAGGCCTGTGGTGGAAAAGGAAATATCTTCACATAAAAACTAGATAGAAGCATTCTCACAAACGACATTGTGAGGATGGAATTCAACTCATGGAGTTGAACAATCCTATTGATAGAGCAGATTGGAATCACTCTTTTTGTAGAATCTGCAAATGGAGATTTGGACTGCTTTGAGGCCTACGGTAGTATAGGAAGGAACTTCATATAAAAGGCAAACGGAAGCATTCTCAGAATATTCTTTGTGATGATGGAGTTTCACTCACAGAGCTGAACATGCCTTTTGATGGAGCAGTTTCCAAATACACTTTTGGTAGAATCTGCAGGTGGATATTTGGAGCTCTCTGAGGATTTCGTTGGAAACGGGAATAATTTCCCATAACTAAACACAAACACTCTGAGAAAGTTCTTCATGATGAATGCATTTAACTCGCAGAGATGAACCTGCCTTTGAGAGTTCAGGTTCGAAACACTCTTTCTGTAGAATCTGCAAGTGGATATTTGGACCACTGGGTGGCCTTCGTTCGAAACGGGTATATGTTCACATAAAAACTAAAAAGAAGCATTCTCAGAAACTTCTGAGTGATGATTGCATTCAAGTCACATGGTTGAACCCTCCTTTTGATGGAGCAGTTTTGAAACTGTCTTTTTGTAGAATCTGTAAGTGGATACGTGGACCTCTTTGAAGATTTCTTTGGAAACGGGAATATTTCCACAGAAAAACTAAACTGAAGCATTCTCAGAAACCGCTTTGTGATGTTTGTGTTCGAGCCACAGAGTTTAACATTGCTTTTCATAGAGCAGTTTTGAAATATTCTTTTGGCAGAATCTGCAAGTGGACATTTGGAGCGCTTTCAGGCCTGTGGTGGAAAAGGCCTGAAAGCCTTTTCCTTTATCTTCACAGAAAGACGAGAGAGAAGCATTGTCAGAAACTTCTTTGTGATGATTGCATTCAAGTCACAGAGTTGAAGATTCCTTTTGAAACAGCAGTTTCGAAACACTCTTTCTGTGGGATCCGCAAGGGGATATTTGGACCTCTTTGAAGATTTCGTTGGAAACGGGATAATCTTCACCTAAAAGCTAAACGGAAGCATTCTCAGAAACTTCTTTGGGATGTTTGCATTCACCTCACAGAGTTGAACTTTCCCTTTGATAGCGCAGCTTTGACACACTTTTTCTACAATGTGCAAGTGGCTATTTAGCGGGCTTGGAGGACTGTGTTGGAAAAGGAAATATCTTCTCCTAAAAACGACATAGAAGCATTCTCAGAAACTGCTCTGTGATGATTGCATTCAACTCCCAGAGTTGAACATTCCTTTTGATAGAGCAGTTTGCAAACACTCTTTTTGTAGAATCTGCAAGTGGAGATTTGGACCGCTTTGAGGCCTGTGGTAGTGAAGGAAAGAACTTCATATAAAAACCAGACGGTAGCACTCTCAGAAAATTCTTTGTGACGATGGAGTTTAACTCAGGGAGCTGAACATTCGTTATGATGGAGCAGTTTCCAAACACACGTTTTGTAGAATCTGTGAGGGGATATTTGGACCTCTCTGAGGATTTCGTTGGAAACGGGATCAACTTCCCATAACTGAACGGAAGCAAACTCAGAACATTCTTTGTGATGTTTGTATTCAACTCACAGAGTTGAACCTTCCTTTGATAGTTCAGGTTTGCAACACCCTTGTAGTAGAATCTGCAAGTGTATATTTTGACCACTTTGTAGCCTTCGTTTGAAACGTCTATATCTTCACATCAAACCTAGACAGAAGCATTCTTAGAAAGTTTTCTGCGATGACTGCATTCAACTCACAGAGTTGAACAATCCTTCTGATGGAGCAGTTTTGAAACCCTCTTTCTTTGGAATCTGCAAGGGAATATGTGGACCTCTTTGAAGATTTCACTGGAAACGGGATCATCTTCACATAAAAACTAAATATAAGCATTCTCGGAAACTACTTTGTGATGTTTGTATTCAACTCCCAGAGTTGAACTTTCCTTTTGAAAGAGCAGCTATGAAACACTCTTTTTCGAGAATCTGCAAGTGGACGTTTGGAGGGCTTTGAGGCCTGTGGTGGAAAAGGAAATATCTTCACACAAAAACCAGATAGAAGCATTCTCAGAAACTACTTTGTGAGGATGGCATTCAACTCATGGAGTTGAACAATCCTATTGATAGAGCAGATTGGAATCACTCTTTTCATAGAATCTGCAAATGGAGATTTGGACTGCTTTGAGGCCTACGGTAGTACAGGAAGGAACTTCATATAAAAGGCAAACGGAAGCATTCTCAGAATATTCTTTGTGATGATGGAGTTTCACTCACAGAGCTGAACATGCCTTTTGATGGAGCAGTTTCCAAATACACTTTTGGTAGAATCAGCAGGTGGATATTTGGAGCTCTCTGAGGATTTCGTTGGAAACGGGAATAATTTCCCATAACTAAACACAAACACTCTGAGAAAGTTCTTCATGATGAATGCATTTAACTCGCAGAGATGAACCTGCCTTTGAGAGTTCAGGTTCGAAACACTCTTTCTGTAGAATCTGCAAGTGGATATTTGGACCACTGGGTGGCCTTCGTTCGAAACGGGTATATGTTCACGTAAAAACTAAAGAGAAGCATTCTCAGAAACTTCTGAGTGATGATTGCATTCAAGTCACACAGTTGAACCCTCCTTTTGATGGAGCAGTTTTGAAACTGTCTTTTTGTAGAATCTGTAAGTGGATACGTGGACCTCTTTGAAGATTTCTTTGGAAACGGGAATATTTCCACAGAAAAACTAAACTGAAGCATTCTCAGAAACCGCTTTGTGATGTTTGTGTTCGAGCCACAGAGTTTAACATTGCTTTTCATAGAGCAGTTTTGAAATATTCTTTTGGCAGAATCTGCAAGTGGACATTTGGAGTGCTTTCAGGCCTGTGGTGGAAAAGGCCTGAAAGCCTTTTCCTTTATCTTCACAGAAAGACGAGAGAGAAGCATTGTCAGAAACTTCTTTGTGATGATTGCATTCAACTCACAGAGTTGAAGATTCCTTTTGAAACAGCAGTTTCGAAACACTCTTTCTGTGGGATCCGCAAGGGGATATTTGGACCTCTTTGAAGATTTCGTTGGAAACGGGATAATCTTCACCTAAAAGCTAAACGGAAGCATTCTCAGAAACTTCTTTGGGATGTTTGCATTCACCTCACAGAGTTGAACTTTCCCTTTGATAGCGCAGCTTTGACACACTTTTTCTACAATGTGCAAGTGGCTATTTAGCGGGCTAGAGGACTGTGTTGGAAAAGGAAATATCTTCTCCTAAAAACGACATAGAAGCATTCTCAGAAACTGCTCTGTGATGATTGCATTCAACTCCCAGGGTTGAACATTCCTTTTGATAGAGCAGTTTGCAAACACTCTTTTTGTAGAATCTGCAAGTGGAGATTTGGACCGCTTTGAGGCCTATGGTAGTAAAGGAAAGAACTTCATATAAAAACCAGACGGTAGCACTCTCAGAAAATTCTTTGTGACGATGGAGTTTAACTCAGGGAGCTGAACATTCGTTATGATGGAGCAGTTTCCAAACACACGTTTTGTAGAATCTGCAAGGGGATATTTGGACCTCTCTGAGGATTTCGTTGGAAACGGGATCAACTTCCCATAACTGAACGGAAGCAAACTCAGAACATTCTTTGTGATGTTTGTATTCAACTCACAGAGTTGAACCTTCCTTTGATAGTTCAGGTTTGCAACACCCTTGTAGTAGAATCTGCAAGTGTATATTTTGACCACTTTGTAGCCTTCGTTTGAAAGTTCTATATCTTCACATGAAACCTAGACAGAAGCATTCTCAGAAAGTTTTCTGCGATGACTGCATTCAACTCACAGAGTTGAACAATCCTTCTGATGGAGCAGTTTTGAAACCCTCTTTCTTTGGAATCTGCAAGGGGATATGTGGACCTCTTTGAAGATTTCACTGGAAACGGGATCATCTTCACATAAAAACTAAACAGAAGCATTCTCGGAAACTACTTTGTGATGTTTGTATTCAACTCCCAGAGTTGAACTTTCCTTTTGAAAGAGCAGCTATGAAACACTCTTTTTCGAGAATCTGCAAGTGGACGTTTGGAGGGCTTTGAGGCCTGTGGTGGAAAAGGAAATATCTTCACATAAAAACTAGATAGAAGCATTCTCAGAAACTACTTTGGAAGATGGCATTCAACTCATGGAGTTGAACAATCCTATTGATAGAGCAGATTGGAATCACTCTTTTTGTAGAATCTGCAAATGGAGATTTGGACTGCTTTGAGGCCTACGGTCGTATAGGAAGGAACTTCATATAACAGGCAAACGGAAGCATTCTCAGAATATTCTTTGTGATGATGGAGTTTCACTCACAGAGCTGAACATGCCTTTTGATGGAGCAGTTTCCAAATACACTTTTGGTAGAATCTGCAGGTGGATATTTGGAGCTCTCTGAGGATTTCGTTGGAAACGGGAATAATTTCCCATAACTAAACACAAACACTCTGAGAAAGTTCTTCATGATGAATGCATTTAACTCGCAGAGATGAACCTGCCTTTGAGAGTTCAGGTTCGAAACACTCTTTCTGTAGAATCTGCAAGTGGATATTTGGACCACTGGGTGGCCTTCGATCGAAACGGGTATATGTTCACGTAAAAACTAAAGAGAAGCATTCTCAGAAACTTCTGAGTGATGATTGCATTCAAGTCACACAGTTGAACCCTCCTTTTGATGGAGCAGTTTTGAAACTGTCTTTTTGTAGAATCTGTAAGTGGATACGTGGACCTCTTTGAAGATTTCTTTGGAAACGGGAATATTTCCACAGAAAAACTAAACTGAAACATTCTCAGAAACCGCTTTGTGATGTTTGTGTTCCAGCCACAGAGTTTAACATTGCTTTTCATAGAGCAGTTTTGAAATATTCTTTTGGCAGAATCTGCAAGTGGACATTTGGAGCGCTTTCAGGCCTGTGGTGGCAAAGGCCTGAAAGCCTTTTCCTTTATCTTCACAGAAAGACGAGAGAGAAGCATTGTCAGAAACTTCTTTGTGATGATTGCATTCAACTCACAGAGTTGAAGATTCCTTTTGAAACAGCAGTTTCGAAACACTCTTTCTGTGGGATCCGCAAGGGGATATTTGGACCTCTTTGAAGGTTTCGTTGGAAACGGGATAATCTTCACCTAAAAGCTAAACGGAAGCATTCTCAGAAACTTCTTTGGGATGTTTGCATTCACCTCACAGAGTTGAACTTTCCCTTTGATAGCGCAGCTTCGACACACTTTTTCTACAATGTGCAAGTGGCTATTTAGCGGGCTTGGAGGACTGTGTTGGAAAAGGAAATATCTTCTCCTAAAAACGACATAGAAGCATTCTCAGAAACTGCTCTGTGATGATTGCATTCAACTCCCAGAGTTGAACATTCCTTTTGATAGAGCAGTTTGCAAACACTCTTTTTGTAGAATCTGCAAGTGGAGATTTGGACCGCTTTGAGGCCTGTGGTAGTGAAGGAAAGAACTTCATATAAAAACCAGACGGTAGCACTCTCAGTAAAATTCTTTGTGACGATAGAGTTTAACTCAGAGAGCTGAACATTCGTTATGATGGAGCAGTTTCCAAACACACATTTTGTAGAATCTGCAAAGGGATATTTGGACCTCTCTGAGGATTTCGTTGGAAATGGGATCAACTTCCCATAACTGAACGGAAGCAAACTCAGAACATTCTTTGTGATGTTTGTATTCAACTCACAGAGTTGAACCTTCCTTTGATAGTTCAGGTTTGCAACACCCTTGTAGTAGAATCTGCAAGTGTATATTTTGACCACTTTGTAGCCTTCGTTTGAAACGTCTATATCTTCACATCAAACCTAGACAGAAGCATTCTCAGAAAGTTTTCTGCGATGACTGCATTCAACTCACAGAGTTGAGCAATCCTTTTGATGGAGCAGTTTTGAAACCCTCTTTCTTTGGAATCTGCAAGGGGATATGTGGACCTCTTTCAAGATTTCACTGGAAACGGGATCATCTTCACTTAAGAACTAAACAGAAGCATTCTCGGAAACTACTTTGTGATGTTTGTATTCAACTCCCAGAGTTGAACTTTCCTTTTGAAAGAGCAGCTATGAAACACTCTTTTTCGAGAATCTGCAAGCGGACGTTTGGAGGGCTTTGAGGCCTGCGGTGGAAAAGGAAATATCTTCCCATAAAAACTAGATAGAAGCATTCTCAGAAACGACTTTGTGAGGATGGCATTCAACTCATGGAGTTGAACAATCCTATTGATAGAGCAGATTGGAATCACTCTTTTTGTAGAATCTGCAAATGGAGATTTGGACTGCTTTGAGGCCTACGGTAGTATAGGAAGGAACTTCATATAAAAGGCAAACGGAAGCATTCTCAGAATATCTTTGTGATGATGGAGTTTCACTCACAGAGCTGAACATGCCTTTTGATGGAGCAGTTTCCAAATACACTTTTGGTAGAATCTACAGGTGGATATTTGGACCTCTCTGAGGATTTCATTGGAAAGGGCAATAATTTCCCTTAACTATACACAAACACGCTGAGAAAGTTCTTCATGTTGAATGCATTGAACTCGCAGAGATCAACCTGCCTTTGAGAGTTCAGGTTCGAAAAACTCTTTCTGTAGAATCTGCAAGTGGATATTTGGACCACTGGGTGGCCTTCGTTCGAAACGGGTATATGTTCACGTAAAAACTAAACAGAAGCGTGCTCAGAAACTTCTGAGTGATGATTGCATTCAAGTCACACGGTTGAACCCTCCTTTTGATTGAGCAGTTTTGAAACTGTCTTTTTGTAGAATCTGTAAGTGGATACGTGGACCTCTTTGAAGATTTCTTTGGAAACGGGAATATTTCCACAGAAAAACTAAACTGAAGCATTCTCAGAAACCGCTTTGTGATGTTTGTGTTCGAGCCACAGAGTTTAACATTGCTTTTCATAGAGCAGTTTTGAAATATTCTTTTGGCAGAATCTGCAAGTGGACATTTGGAGTGCTTTCAGGCCTGTGGTGGAAAAGGCCTGAAAGCCTTTTCCTTTATCTTCACAGAAAGACGAGAGAGAAGCATTGTCAGAAACTTCTTTGTGATGATTGCATTCAACTCACAGAGTTGAAGATTCCTTTTGAAACAGCAGTTTCGAAACACTCTTTCTGTGGGATCCGCAAGGGGATATTTGGACCTCTTTGAAGATTTCGTTGGAAACGGGATAATCTTCACTTAAAGCTAAACGGAAGCATTCTCAGAAACTTCTTTGGGATGTTTGCATTCACCTCACAGAGTTGAACTTTCCCTTTGATAGCGCAGCTTCGACACACTTTTTCTACAATGTGCAAGTGGCTATTTAGCGGGCTTGGAGGACTGTGTTGGAAAAGGAAATATCTTCTCCTAAAAACGACATAGAAGCATTCTCAGAAACTGCTCTGTGATGATTGCATTCAACTCCCAGAGTTGAACATTCCTTTTGATAGAGCAGTTTGCAAACACTCTTTTTGTAGAATCTGCAAGTGGAGATTTGGACCGCTTTGAGGCCAGTGGTAGTGAAGGAAAGAACTTCATATAAAAACCAGACGGTAGCACTCTCAGAAAATTCTTTGTGACGATGGAGTTTAACTCAGGGAGCTGAACATTCGTTATGATGGAGCAGTTTCCAAACACACGTTTTGTAGAATCTGCAAGGGGATATTTGGACCTCTCTGAGGATTTCGTTGGAAACGGGATCAACTTCCCATAACTGAACGGAAGCAAACTCAGAACATTCTTTGTGATGTTTGTATTCAATTCACAGAGTTGAACCTTCCTTTGATAGTTCAGGTTTGCAACACCCTTGTAGTAGAATCTGCAAGTGTATATTTTGACCACTTTGTAGCCTTCGTTTGAAACGTCTATATCTTCACATCAAACCTAGACAGAAGCATTCTCAGAAAGTTTTCTGCGATGACTGCATTCAACTCACAGAGTTGAACAATCCTTCTGATGGAGCAGTTTTGAAACCCTCTTTCTTTGGAATCTGCAAGGGGATATGTGGACCTCTTTGAAGATTTCACTGGAAACCGGATCATCTTCACATAAAAACTAAACAGAAGCATTCTCGGAAACTACTTTGTGATGTTTGTATTCAACTGCCAGAGGTGAACTTTCCTTTTGAAAGAGCAGCTATGAAACACTCTTTTTCGAGAATCTGCAAGTGGACGTTTGGAGGGCTTTGAGGCCTGTGGTGGAAAAGGAAATATCTTCACATAAAAACTAGATAGAAGCATTCTCAGAAACGACTTTGTGAGGATGGCATTCAACTCATGGAGTTGAACAATCCTATTGATAGAGCAGATTGGAATCACTCTTTTTGTAGAATCTGCAAATGGAGATTTGGACTGCTTTGAGGCCTACGGTAGTATAGGAAGGAACTTCATATAAAAGGCAAATGGAAGCATTCTCAGAATATTCTTTGTGATGATGGAGTTTCACTCACAGAGCTGAACATGCCTTTTCATGGAGCAGTTTCCAAATACACTTTTGGTAGAATCTGCAGGTGGATATTTGGACCTCTCTGAGGATTTCGTTGGAAACGGGAATAATTTCCCATACCTAAACACAAATACGCTGAGAAAGTTCTTCATGATGAATGCATTGAACTCGCAGAGATGAACCTGCCTTTGAGAGTTCAGGTTCGAAACACTCTTTCTGTAGAATCTGCAAGTGGATATTTGGACCACTGGGTGGCCTTCGTTCGAAACGGGTATATGTTCACGTAAAAACTAAAGAGAAGCGTTCTCAGAAACTTCTGAGTGATGATTGCATTCAAGTCACACAGTTGAACCCTCCTTTTGATTGAGCAGTTTTGAAACCGTCTTTTTGTAGAATCTGTAAGTGGATGCGTGGACCTCTTTGAAGATTTCTTTGGAAACGGGAATATTTCCACAGAAAAACTAAACTGAAGCATTCTCAGAAACTGCTTTGTGATGTTTGTGTTCGAGCCACAGAGTTTAACATTGCTTTTCATAGAGCAGTTTTGAAATATTCTTTTGGCAGAATCTGCAAGTGGACATTTGGAGCACTTTCAGGCCTGTGGTGGAAAAGGCCTGAAAGCCTTTTCCTTTATCTTCACAGAAAGACGAGAGAGAAGCATTGTCAGAAACTTCTTTGTGATGATTGCATTCAACTCACAGAGTTGAAGATTCCTTTTGAAACAGCAGTTTCGAAACACTCTTTCTGTGGGATCCGCAAGGGGATATTTGGACCTCTTTGAAGATTTCGTTGCCAAACGGGATAATCTTCACTTAAAAGCAAAACGGAAGCATTCTCAGAAACTTCTTTGGGATGTTTGCATTCACCTCACAGAGTTGAACTTTCCCTTTGATAGCGCAGCTTCGACACACTTTTTCTACAATGTGCAAGTGGATATTTAGCGGGCTTGGAGGACTGTGTTGGAAAAGGAAATATCTTCTCCTAAAAACGACATAGAAGCATTCTCAGAAACTGCTCTGTGATGATTGCATTCAACTCCCAGAGTTGAACATTCCTTTTGATAGAGCAGTTTGCAAACACTCTTTTTGTAGAATCTGCAAGTGGAGATTTGGACCGCTTTGAGGCCTGTGGTAGTGAAGGAAAGAACTTCATATAAAAACCAGACGGTAGCACTCTCAGAAAATTCTTTGTGACGATGGAGTTTAACTCAGGGAGCTGAACATTCGTTATGATGGAGCAGTTTCCAAACACACGTATTGTAGAATCTGCGAGGGGATATTTGGACCTCTCTGAGGATTTCGTTGGAAACGGGATCAACTTCCCATAACTGAACGGAAGCAAACTCAGAACATTCTTTGTGATGTTTGTATTCAACTCACAGAGTTGAACCTTCCTTTGATAGTTCAGGTTTGCAACACCCTTGTAGTAGAATCTGCAAGTGTATATTTTGACCACTTTGTAGCCTTCGTTTGAAACGTCTATATCTTCACATCAAACCTAGACAGAAGCATTCTCAGAAAGTTTTCTGCGATGACTGCATTCAACTCACAGAGTTGAACAATCCTTTTGATGGAGCAGTTTTGAAACCCTCTTTCTTTGGAATCTGCAAGGGGATATGTGGACCTCTTTGAAGATTTCACTGGAAACGGGATCATCTTCACATAAGAACTAAACAGAAGCATTCTCGGAAACTACTTTGTGATGTTTGTATTCACCTCCCAGAGTTGAACTTTCCTTTTGAAAGAGCAGCTATGAAACACTCTTTTTCTAGAATCTGCAAGTGGACGTTTGGAGGGCTTTGAGGCCTGTGGTGGAAAAGGAAATATCTTCACATAAAAACTAGATAGAAGCATTCTCAGAAACTACTTTGTGAGGATGGCATTCAACTCATGGAGTTGAACAATCCTATTGATAGAGCAGATTGGAATCACTCTTTTTGTAGAATCTGCAAATGGAGATTTGGACTGCTTTGAGGCCTATGGTAGAATAGGAAGGAACTTCATATAAAAGGCAAACGGAAGCATTCTCAGAATATTCTTTGTGATGATGGAGTTTCACTCACAGAGCTGAACATGCCTTTTGATGGAGCAGTTTCCAAATACACTTTTGGTAGAATCTGCAGGTGGATATTTGGACATCTCTGAGGATTTCGTTGGAAACGGGAATAATTTCCCATAACTGAACACAAACACGCTGAGAAAGTTCTTCATGTTGAATGCATTGAACTCGCAGAGATGAACCTGCCTTTGAGAGTTCAGGTTCGAAACACTCTTTCTGTAGAATCTGCAAGTGGATATTTGGACCACTGGGTGGCCTTCGTTCGAAACGGGTATATGTTCACGTAAAAACTAAAGAGAAGCATTCTCAGAATCTTCTGAGTGATGATTGCTTTCAAGTCACACAGTTGAACCCTCCTTTTGATTGAGCAGTTTTGAAACTGTCTTTTTGTAGAATCTGTAAGTGGATACGTGGACCTCTTTGAAGATTTCTTTGGAAACGGGAATATTTCCACAGAAAAACTAAACTGAAGTATTCTCAGAAACTGCTTTGTGATGTTTGTGTTCGAGCCACAGAGTTTAACATTGCTTTTCATAGAGCAGTTTTGTAATATTCTTTTCGCAGTATCTGCAAGCGGATATTTGGAGCGCTTTCAGGCCTGTGGTGGAAAAGGCCTGAAAGCCTTTTCCTTTATCTTCACAGAAAGACGAGAGAGAAGCATTGTCAGAAACTTCTTTGTGATGATTGCATTCAACTCACAGAGTTGAAGATTCCTTTTGAAACAGCAGTTTCGAAACACTCTTTCTGTGGGATCCGCAAGGGGATATTTGGACCTCTTTGAAGGTTTCGTTGGAAACGGGATAATCTTCACCTAAAAGCTAAACGGAAGCATTCTCAGAAACTTCTTTGGGATGTTTGCATTCACCTCACAGAGTTGAACTTTCCCTTTGATAGCGCAGCTTTGACACACTTTTTCTACAATGTGCAAGTGGCTATTTAGCGGGCTTGGAGGACTGTGTTGGAAAAGGAAATATCTTCTCCTAAAAACGACATAGAAGCATTCTCAGAAACTGCTCTGTGATGATTGCATTCAACTCCCAGAGTTGAACATTCCTTTTGATAGAGCAGTTTGCAAACACTCTTTTTGTAGAATCTGCAAGTGGAGATTTGGACCGCTTTGAGGCCTGTGGTAGTGAAGGAAAGAACTTCATATAAAAACCAGACGGTAGCACTCTCAGAAAATTCTTTGTGACGATGGAGTTTAACTCAGGGAGCTGAACATTCGTTATGATGGAGCAGTTTCCAAACACACGTTTTGTAGAATCTGCGAGGGGATATTTGGACCTCTCTGAGGATTTCGTTGGAAACGGGATCAACTTCCCATAACTGAACGGAAGCAAACTCAGAACATTCTTTGTGACGTCTGTATTCAACTCACAGAGTTGAACCTTCCTTTGATAGTTCAGGTTTGCAACACCCTTGTAGTAGAATCTGCAAGTGTATATTTTGACCACTTTGTAGCCTTCGTTTGAAACGTCTATATCTTCACATCAAACCTAGACAGAAGCATTCTCAGAAAGTTTTCTGCCATGACTGCATTCAACTCACAGAGTTGAACAATCCTTCTGATGGAGCAGTTTTGAAACCCTCTTTCTTTGGAATCTGCAAGGGGATATGTGGACCTCTTTGAAGATTTCACTGGAAACGGGATCATCTTCACATAAAAACTAAACAGAAGCATTCTCGGAAACTACTTTGTGATGTTTGTATTCAACTCCCAGAGTTGAACTTTCCTTTTGAAAGAGCAGCTATGAAACACTCTTTTTCGAGAATCTGCAAGTGGACGTTTGGAGGGCTTTGAGGCCTGTGGTGGAAAAGGAAATATCTTCACATAAAAACTAGATAGAAGCATTCTCAGAAACTACTTTGTGAGGATGGCATTCAACTCATGGAGTTGAACAATCCTATTGATAGAGCAGATTGGAATCACTCTTTTTATAGAATCTGCAAATGGAGATTTGGACTGCTTTGAGGACTACGGTAGTACAGGAAGGAACTTCATATAAAAGGCAAACGGAAGCATTCTCAGAATATTCTTTGTGATGATGGAGTTTCACTCACAGAGCTGAACATGCCTTTTGATGGAGCAGTTTCCAAATACACTTTTGGTAGAATCTGCAGGTGGATATTTGGACCTCTCTGAGGATTTCGTTGGAAACGGGAATAATTTCCCATAACTAAACACAAACACTCTGAGAAAGTTCTTCATGATGAATGCATTTAACTCGCAGAGATGAACCTGCCTTTGAGAGTTCAGGTTCGAAACACTCTTTCTGTAGAATCTGCAAGTGGATATTTGGACCACTGGGTGGCCTTCGTTCGAAACGGGTATATGTTCACGTAAAAACTAAAGAGAAGCATTCTCAGAAACTTCTGAGTGATGATTGCATTCAAGTCACACAGTTGAACCCTCCTTCTGATGGAGCAGTTTTGAAACTGTCTTTTTGTAGAATCTGTAAGTGGATGCGTGGACCTCTTTGAAGATTTCTTTGGAAACGGGAATATTTCCACAGAAAAACTAAACTGAAGCATTCTCAGAAACTGCTTTGTGATGTTTGTGTTCGAGCCACAGAGTTTAACATTGCTTTTCATAGAGCAGTTTTGAAATATTCTTTTCGCAGAATTTGCAAGTGGACATTTGGAGCGTTTTCAGGCCTGTGGTGGCAAAGGCCTGAAAGCCTTTTCCTTTATCTTCACAGAAAGACGAGAGAGAAGCATTGTCAGAAACTTCTTTGTGATGATTGCATTCAACTCACAGAGTTGAAGATTCCTTTTGAAACAGCAGTTTCGAAACACTCTTTCTGTGGGATCCGCAAGGGGATATTTGGACCTCTTTGAAGGTTTCGTTGGAAACGGGATAATCTTCACCTAAAAGCTAAACGGAAGCATTCTCAGAAACTTCTTTGGGATGTTTGCATTCACCTCACAGAGTTGAACTTTCCCTTTGATAGCGCAGCTTTGACACACTTTTTCTACAATGTGCAAGTGGCTATTTAGCGGGCTTGGAGGACTGTGTTGGAAAAGGAAATATCTTCTCCTAAAAACGACATAGAAGCATTCTCAGGAACTGCTCTGTGATGATTGCATTCAACTCCCATAGTTGAACATTCCTTTTGATAGAGCAGTTTGCAAACACTCTTTTTGTAGAATCTGCAAGTGGAGATTTGGACCGCTTTGAGGCCTGTGGTAGTAAAGGAAAGAACTTCATATAAAAACTAGACGGTAGCACTCTCAGAAAATTCTTTGTGACGATGGAGTTTAACTCAGAGAGCTGAACATTCGTTATGATGGAGCAGTTTCCAAACACACGTTTTGCAGAATCTGCAAGGGGATATTTGGACCTCTCTGAGGATTTCGTTGCAAACGGGATCAACTTCCCATAACTGAACGGAAGCAAACTCAGAACATTCTTTGTGATGTTTGTATTCAACTCACATAGTTGAACCTTCCTTTGATAGTTCAGGTTTGCAACACCCTTGTAGTAGAATCTGCAAGTGTATATTTTGACCACTTTGTAGCCTTCGTTTGAAACGTCTATATCTTCACATCAAACCTAGACAGAAGCATTCTCAGAAAGTTTTCTGCGATGACTGCATTCCACTCACAGAGTTGAACAATCCTTCTGATGGAGCAGTTTTGAAACCCTCTTTCTTTGGAATCTGCAAGGGGATATGTGGACCTCTTTGAAGATTTCACTGGAAACGGGATCATCTTCACATAAAAACTAAACAGAAGCATTCTCGGAAACTACTTTGTGATGTTTGTATTCAACTCCCAGAGTTGAACTTTCCTTTTGAAAGAGCAGCTATGAAACACTCTTTTTCGAAAATCTGCAAGTGGACGTTTGGAGGGCTTTGAGGCCTGTGGTGGAAAAGGAAATATCTTCACACAAAAACCAGATAGAAGCATTCTCAGAAACTACTTTGTGAGGATGGCATTCAACTCATGGAGTTGAACAATCCTATTGATAGAGCAGATTGGAATCACTCTTTTTATAGAATCTGCAAATGGAGATTTGGACTGCTTTGAGGCCTACGGTAGTACAGGAAGGAACTTCATATAAAAGGCAAACGGAAGCATTCTCAGAATATTCTTTGTGATGATGGAGTTTCACTCACAGAGCTGAACATGCCTTTTGATGGAGCAGTTTCCAAATACACTTTTGGTAGAATCAGCAGGTGGATATTTGGAGCTCTCTGAGGATTTCGTTGGAAACGGGAATAATTTCCCATAACTAAACACAAACACTCTGAGAAAGTTCTTCATGATGAATGCATTTAACTCGCAGAGATGAACCTGCCTTTGAGAGTTCAGGTTCGAAACACTCTTTCTGTAGAATCTGCAAGTGGATATTTGGACCACTGGGTGGCCTTCGTTCGAAACGGGTATATGTTCACGTAAAAACTAAAGAGAAGCATTCTCAGAAACTTGTGAGTGATGATTGCATTCAAGTCACACAGATGAACCCTCCTTTTGATGGAGCAGTTTTGAAACTGTCTTTTTGTAGAATCTGTAAGTGGATACGTGGACCTCTTTGAAGATTTCTTTGGAAACGGGAATATTTCCACAGAAAAACTAAACTGAAGCATTCTCAGAAACCGCTTTGTGATGTTTGTGTTCGAGCCACAGAGTTTAACATTGCTTTTCATAGAGCAGTTTTGAAATATTCTTTTCGCAGAATCTGCAAGTGGACATTTGGAGCGCTTTCAGGCCTGTGGTGGAAAAGGCCTGAAAGCCTTTTCCTTTATCTTCACAGAAAGACGAGAGAGAAGCATTGTCAGAAACTTCTTTGTGATGATTGCATTCAACTCACAGAGTTGAAGATTCCTTTTGAAACAGCAGTTTCGAAACACTCTTTCTGTGGGATCCGCAAGGGGATATTTGGACCTCTTTGAAGGTTTCGTTGGAAACGGGATAATCTTCACCTAAAAGCTAAACGGAAGCATTCTCAGAAACTTCTTTGGGATGTTTGCATTCACCTCACAGAGTTGAACTTTCCCTTTGATAGCGCAGCTTTGACACACTTTTTCTACAATGTGCAAGTGGCTATTTAGCGGGCTTGGAGGACTGTGTTGGAAAAGGAAATATCTTCTCCTAAAAACGACATAGAAGCATTCTCAGAAACTGCTCTGTGATGATTGCATTCAACTCCCAGAGTTGAACATTCCTTTTGATAGAGCAGTTTGCAAACACTCTTTTTGTAGAATCTGCAAGTGGAGATTTGGACCGCTTTGAGGCCTGTGGTAGTGAAGGAAAGAACTTCATATAAAAACCAGACGGTAGCACTCTCAGAAAATTCTTTGTGACGATGGAGTTTAACTCAGGGAGCTGAACATTCGTTATGACGGAGCAGTTTCCAAACACACGTTTTGTAGAATCTGCGAGGGGATATTTGGACCTCTCTGAGGATTTCGTTGGAAACGGGATCAACTTCCCATAACTGAACGGAAGCAAACTCAGAACATTCTTTGTGACGTTTGTATTCAACTCACAGAGTTGAACCTTCCTTTGATAGTTCAGGTTTGCAACACCCTTGTAGTAGAATCTGCAAGTGTATATTTTGACCACTTTGTAGCCTTCGTTTGAAACGTCTATATCTTCACATCAAACCTAGACAGAAGCATTCTCAGAAAGTTTTCTGCGATGACTGCATTCAACTCACAGAGTTGAACAATCCTTCTGATGGAGCAGTTTTGAAACCCTCTTT
Source organism: Homo sapiens (assembly GCF_000001405.40). Classification (NCBI taxonomy): domain Eukaryota; kingdom Metazoa; phylum Chordata; class Mammalia; order Primates; family Hominidae; genus Homo; species Homo sapiens. The sequence goes on from NC_000023.11 coordinate 62,130,276, forward strand.
CTTTGGAATCTGCAAGGGGATATGTGGACCTCTTTGAAGATTTCACTGGAAACGGGATCATCTTCACATAAAAACTAAACAGAAGCATTCTCAGAAACTACTTTGTGATGTTTGTATTCAACTCCCAGAGTTGAACTTTCCTTTTGAAAGAGCAGCTATGAAACACTCTTTTTCGAGAATCTGAAAGTGGACGTTTGGAGGGCTTTGAGGCCTGTGGTGGAAAAGGAAATATCTTCACATAAAAACTAGATAGAAGCATTCTCACAAACGAATTTGTGAGGATGGCATTCAAATCATGGAGTTCAACAATCCTATTGATAGAGCAGATTGGAATCACTCTTTTTGTAGAATCTGCAAATGGAGATTTGGACTGCTTTGAGGCCTACGGTAGTATAGGAAGGAACTTCATATAAAAGGCAAACGGAAGCATTCTCAGAATATTCTTTGTGATGATGGAGTTTCACTCACAGAGCTGAACATGCCTTTTGATGGAGCAGTTTCCAAATACACTTTTGGTAGAATCTGCAGGTGGATATTTGGACCTCTCTGAGGATTTCGTTGGAAACGGGAATAATTTCCCATAACTAAACACAAACACTCTGAGAAAGTTCTTCATGATGAATGCATTTAACTCGCAGAGATGAACCTGCCTTTGAGAGTTCATGTTCGAAACACTCTTTCTGGAGAATCTGCAAGTGGATATTTGGACCACTGGCTGGCCTTCGTTCGAAACGGGTATATGTTCACGTAAAAACTAAAGAGAAGCATTCTCAGAAACTTCTGAGTGATGATTGCATTCAAGTCACACAGTTGAACCCTCCTTTTGATGGAGCAGTTTTGAAACTGTCTTTTTGTAGAATCTGTAAGTGGATACGTGGACCTCTTTGAAGATTTCTTTGGAAACGGGAATATTTCCACAGAAAAACTAAACTGAAGCATTCTCAGAAACCGCTTTGTGATGTTTGTGTTCGAGCCGCAGAGTTTAACATTGCTTTTCATAGAGCAGTTTTGAAATATTCTTTTCGCAGAATCTGCAAGTGGACATTTGGAGCGCTTTCAGGCCTGTGGTGGCAAAGGCCTGAAAGCCTTTTCCTTTATCTTCACAGAAAGACGAGAGAGAAGCATTGTCAGAAACTTCTTTGTGATGATTGCATTCAACTCACAGAGTTGAAGATTCCTTTTGAAACAGCAGTTTCGAAACACTCTTTCTGTGGGATCCGCAAGGGGATATTTGGACCTCTTTGAAGGTTTCGTTGGAAACGGGATAATCTTCACCTAAAAGCTAAACGGAAGCATTCTCAGAAACTTCTTTGGGATGTTTGCATTCACCTCACAGAGTTGAACTTTCCCTTTGATAGCGCAGCTTCGACACACTTTTTCTACAATGTGCAAGTGGATATTTAGCGGGCTTGGAGGACTGTGTTGGAAAAGGAAATATCTTCTCCTAAAAACGACATAGAAGCATTCTCAGAAACTGCTCTGTGATGATTGCATTCAACTCCCAGAGTTGAACATTCCTTTTGATAGAGCAGTTTGCAAACACTCTTTTTGTAGAATCTGCAAGTGGAGATTTGGACCGCTTTGAGGCCTGTGGTAGTGAAGGAAAGAACTTCATATAAAAACCAGACGGTAGCACTCTCAGAAAATTCTTTGTGACGATGGAGTTTAACTCAGGGAGCTGAACATTCGTTATGATGGAGCAGTTTCCAAACACACGTTTTGTAGAATCTGTGAGGGGATATTTGGACCTCTCTGAGGATTTCGTTGGAAACGGGATCAACTTCCCATAACTGAACGGAAGCAAACTCAGAACATTCTTTGTGATGTTTGTATTCAATTCACAGAGTTGAACCTTCCTTTGATAGTTCAGGTTTGCAACACCCTTGTAGTAGAATCTGCAAGTGTATATTTTGACCACTTTGTAGCCTTCGTTTGAAACGTCTATATCTTCACATCAAACCTAGACAGAAGCATTCTCAGAAAGTTTTCTGCGATGACAGCATTCAACTCACAGAGTTGAACAATCCTTCTGATGGAGCAGTTTTGAAACCCTCTTTCTTTGGAATCTGCAAGGGGATATGTGGACCTCTTTGAAGATTTCACTGGAAACGGGATCATCTTCACATAAAAACTAAACAGAAGCATTCTCGGAAACTACTTTGTGATGTTTGTATTCAACTCCCAGAGTTGAACTTTCCTTTTGAAAGAGCAGCTATGAAACACTCTTTTTCGAGAATCTGCAAGTGGACGTTTGGAGGGCTTTGAGGCCTGTGGTGGAAAAGGAAATATCTTCACATAAAAACTAGATAGAAGCATTCTCAGAAACTACTTTGTGAGGATGGCATTCAACTCATGGAGTTGAACAATCCTATTGATAGAGCAGATTGGAATCACTCTTTTTGTAGAATCTGCAAATGGAGATTTGGACTGCTTTGAGGCCTACGGTCGTATAGGAAGGAACTTCATATAAAAGGTAAACGGAAGCATTCTCAGAATATTCGTTGTGATGATGGAGTTTCACTCACAGAGCTGAACATGCCTTTTGATGGAGCAGTTTCCAAATACACTTTTGGTAGAATCTGCAGGTGGATATTTGCAGCTCTCTGAGGATTTCGTTGGAAACGGGAATAATTTCCCATAACTAAACACAAACACTCTGAGAAAGTTCTTCATGATGAATGCATTTAACTCGCAGAGATGAACCTGCCTTTGAGAGTTCAGGTTCGAAACACTCTTTCTGTAGAATCTGCAAGTGGATATTTGGACCACTGGGTGGCCTTCGTTCGAAACGGGTATATGTTCACGTAAAAACTAAAGAGAAGCATTCTCAGAAACTTCTGAGTGATGATTGCATTCAAGTCACACAGTTGAACCCTCCTTTTGATGGAGCAGTTTTGAAACTGTCTTTTTGTAGAATCTGTAAGTGGATACGTGGACCTCTTTGAAGATTTCCTTTGGAAACGGGAATATTTCCACAGAAAAACTAAACTGAAGCATTCTCAGAAACCGCTTTGTGATGTTTGTGTTCGAGCCGCAGAGTTTAACATTGCTTTTCATAGAGCAGTTTTGAAATATTCTTTTCGCAGAATCTGCAAGTGGACATTTGGAGCGCTTTCAGGCCTGTGGTGGAAAAGGCCTGAAAGCCTTTTCCTTTATCTTCACAGAAAGACGAGAGAGAAGCATTGTCAGAAACTTCTTTGTGATGATTGCATTCAACTCACAGAGTTGAAGATTCCTTTTGAAACAGCAGTTTCGAAACACTCTTTCTGTGGGATCCGCAGGGGGATATTTGGACCTCTTTGAAGATTTCGTTGGAAACGGGATAATCTTCACCTAAAAGCTAAACGGAAGCATTCTCAGAAACTTCTTTGGGATGTTTGCATTCACCTCACAGAGTTGAACTTTCCCTTTGATAGCGCAGCTTCGACACACTTTTTCTACAATGTGCAAGTGGATATTTAGCGGGCTTCGAGGACTGTGTTGGAAAAGGAAGTATCTTCTCCTAAAAACGACATAGAAGCATTCTCAGAAACTGCTCTGTGATGATTGCATTCAACTCCCAGAGTTGAACATTCCTTTTGATAGAGCAGTTTGCAAACACTCTTTTTGTAGAATCTGCAAGTGGAGATTTGGACCGCCTTGAGGCCTGTGGTAGTAAAGGAAAGAACTTCATATAAAAACTAGACGGTAGCACTCTCAGAAAATTCTTTGTGACGATGGAGTTTAACTCAGGGAGCTGAACATTCGTTATGATGGAGCAGTTTCCAAACACACGTTTTGTAGAATCTGCAAGGGGATATTTGGACCTCTCTGAGGATTTCGCTGGAAACGGGATCAACTTCCCATAACTGAACGGAAGCAAACTCAGAACATTCTTTGTGATGTTTGTATTCAACTCACAGAGTTGAACCTTCCTTTGATAGTTCAGGTTTGCAACACCCTTGTAGTAGAATCTGCAAGTGTATATTTTGACCACTTTGTAGCCTTCGTTTGAAACGTCTATATCTTCACATCAAACCTAGACAGAAGCATTCTCAGAAAGTTTTCTGCGATGACTGCATTCAACTCACACAGTTGAACAATCCTTCTGATGGAGCAGTTTTGAAACCCTCTTTCTTTGGAATCTGCAAGGGGATATGTGGACCTCTTTGAAGATTTCACTGGAAACGGGATCATCTTCACATAAAAACTAAACAGAAGCATTCTCGGAAACTACTTTGTGATGTTTGTATTCAACTCCCAGAGTTGAACTTTCCTTTTGAAAGAGCAGCTATGAAACACTCTTTTTCGAGAATCTGCAAGTGGACGTTTGGAGGGCTTTGAGGCCTGTGGTGGAAAAGGAAATATCTTCACATAAAAACTAGATAGAAGCATTCTCAGAAACGACTTTGTGAGGATGGCATTCAACTCATGGAGTTGAACAATCCTATTGATAGAGCAGATTGGAATCACTCTTTTTGTAGAATCTGCAAAGGGAGATTTGGACTGCTTTGAGGCCTACGGTAGTATAGGAAGGAACTTCATATAAAAGGCAAACGGAAGCATTCTCAGAATATTCTTTGTGATGATGGAGTTTCACTCACAGAGCTGAACATGCCTTTTGATGGAGCAGTTTCCAAATACACTTTTGGTAGAATCTGCAGGTGGATATTTGGACCTCTCTGAGGATTTCGTTGGAAACGGGAATAATTTCCCATAACTAAACACAAACACGCTGAGAACGTTCTTCATGATGAATGCATTGAACTCGCAGAGATGAACCTGCCTTTGAGAGTTCAGGTTCGAAACACTCTTTCTGTAGAATCTGCAAGTGGATATTTGGACCACTGGCTGGCCTTCGTTCGAAACGGGTATATGTTCACGTAAAAACTAAAGAGAAGCATTCTCAGAAACTTCTGAGTGATGATTGCATTCAAGTCACACAGTTGAACCCTCCTTTTGATGGAGCAGTTTTGAAACTGTCTTTTTGTAGAATCTGTAAGTGGATGCGTGGACCTCTTTGAAGATTTCTTTGGAAACGGGAATATTTCCACAGAAAAACTAAACTGAAGCATTCTCAGAAACCGCTTTGTGATGTTTGTGTTCGAGCCGCAGAGTTTAACATTGCTTTTCATAGAGCAGTTTTGAAATATTCTTTTGGCAGAATCTGCAAGTGGACATTTGGAGCGCTTTCAGGCCTGTGGTGGCAAAGGCCTGAAAGCCTTTTCCTTTATCTTCACAGAAAGACGAGAGAGAAGCATTGTCAGAAACTTCTTTGTGATGATTGCATTCAACTCACAGAGTTGAAGATTCCTTTTGAAACAGCAGTTTCGAAACACTCTTTCTGTGGGATCCGCAAGGGGATATTTGGACCTCTTTGAAGGTTTCGTTGGAAACGGGATAATCTTCACCTAAAAGCTAAACGGAAGCATTCTCAGAAACTTCTTTGGGATGTTTGCATTCACCTCACAGAGTTGAACTTTCCCTTTGATAGCGCAGCTTTGACACACTTTTTCTACAATGTGCAAGTGGCTATTTAGCGGGCTTGGAGGACTGTGTTGGAAAAGGAAATATCTTCTCCTAAAAACGACATAGAAGCATTCTCAGAAACTGCTCTGTGATGATTGCATTCAACTCCCAGAGTTGAACATTCCTTTTGATAGAGCAGTTTGCAAACACTCTTTTTGTAGAATCTGCAAGTGGAGATTTGGACCGCTTTGAGGCCTGTGGTAGTGAAGGAAAGAGCTTCATATAAAAACCAGACGGTAGCACTCTCAGAAAATTCTTTGTGACGATGGAGTTTAACTCAGGGAGCTGAACATTCGTTATGATGGAGCAGTTTCCAAACACACGTTTTGTAGAATCTGCAAGGGGATATTTGGACCTCTCTGAGGATTTCGTTGGAAACGGGATCAACTTCCCATAACTGAACGGAAGCAAACTCAGAACATTCTTTGTGACGTTTGTATTCAACTCACAGAGTTGAACCTTCCTTTGATAGTTCAGGTTTGCAACACCCTTGTAGTAGAATCTGCAAGTGTATATTTTGACCACTTTGTAGCCTTCGTTTGAAACGTCTATATCTTCACATCAAACCTAGACAGAAGCATTCTCAGAAAGTTTTCTGCGATGACTGCATTCAACTCACAGAGTTGAACAATCCTATTGATGGAGCAGTTTTGAAACCCTCTTTCTTTGGAATCTGCAAGGGGATATGTGGACCTCTTTGAAGATTTCACTGGAAACGGGATCATCTTCACATAAAAACTAAACAGAAGCATTCTCGGAAACTACTTTGTGATGTTTGTATTCAACTCCCAGAGTTGAACTTTCCTTTTGAAAGAGCAGCTATGAAACACTCTTTTTCGAGAATCTACAAGTGGACGTTTGGAGGGCTTTGAGGCCTGTGGTGGAAAAGGAAATATCTTCACATAAAAACTAGATAGAAGCATTCTCAGAAACGACTTTGTGAGGATGGCATTCAACTCATGGAGTTGAACAATCCTATTGATAGAGCAGATTGGAATCACTCTTTTTGTAGAATCTGCAAATGGAGATTTGCACTGCTTTGAGGCCTACGGTCGTATAGGAAGGAACTTCATATAAAAGGCAAACGGAAGCATTCTCAGAATATTCTTTGTGATGATGGAGTTTCACTCACAGAGCTGAACATGCCTTTTGATGGAGCAGTTTCCAAATACACTTTTGGTAGAATCTGCAGGTGGATATTTGGAGCTCTCTGAGGATTTCGTTGGAAACGGGAATAATTTCCCATAACTAAACACAAACACGCTGAGAAAGTTCTTCATGATGAATGCATTTAACTCGCAGAGATGAACCTGCCTTTGAGAGTTCAGGTTCGAAACACTCTTTCTGTAGAATCTGCAAGTGGATATTTGGACCACTGGCTGGCTTTCGTTCGAAACGGGTATATGTTCACGTAAAAACTAAAGAGAAGCGTTCTCATAAACTTCTGAGTGATGATTGCATTCAAGTCACACAGTTGAACCCTCCTTTTGATTGAGCAGTTTTGAAACTGTCTTTTTGTAGAATCTGTAAGTGGATGCGTGGACCTCTTTGAAGATTTCTTTGGAAACGGGAATATTTCCACAGAAAAACTAAACTGAAGCATTCTCAGAAACCGCTTTGTGATGTTTGTGTTCGAGCCACAGAGTTTAACATTGCTTTTCATAGAGCAGTTTTGAAATATTCTTTTCGCAGAATCTGCAAGTGGACATTTGGAGCGCTTTCAGGCCTGTGGTGGAAAAGGCCTGAAAGCCTTTTCCTTTATCTTCACAGAAAGACGAGAGAGAAGCATTGTCAGAAACTTCTTTGTGATGATTGCATTCAACTCACAGAGTTGAAGATTCCTTTTGAAACAGCAGTTTCGAAACACTCTTTCTGTGGGATCCGCAAGGGGATATTTGGACCTCTTTGAAGGTTTCGTTGGAAACGGGATAATCTTCACCTAAAAGCTAAACGGAAGCATTCTCAGAAACTTCTTTGGGATGTTTGCATTCACCTCACAGAGTTGAACTTTCCCTTTGATAGCGCAGCTTTGACACACTTTTTCTACAATGTGCAAGTGGCTATTTAGCGGGCTTGGAGGACTGTGTTGGAAAAGGAAATATCTTCTCCTAAAAACGACATAGAAGCATTCTCAGAAACTGCTCTGTGATGATTGCATTCAACTCCCAGAGTTGAACATTCCTTTTGATAGAGCAGTTTGCAAACACTCTTTTTGTAGAATCTGCAAGTGGAGATTTGGACCGCTTTGAGGCCTGTGGTAGTGAAGGAAAGAACTTCATATAAAAACCAGACGGTAGCCCTCTCAGAAAATTGTTTGCGACGATTGAGTTTAACTGAGAGAGCTGAACATTCGTTTTGGTGGAGCAGGTTCCAAACACACTTTTTGTAGAATCTGCAAGGGGATATTTGGACCTCTCTGAAGATTTCGTTGGAAACGGGTTCAACTTCCCATAACTGAACCGAAGCAAACTCAGAACATTCTTTGTGATGTTTGTATTCAACTCACAGAGTTGAACCTTCCTTTGATAGTTCAGGTTTGCAACACCCTTGTAGTAGAATCTGCAAGTGTATATTTTGACCACTTTGTAGCCTTCGTTTGAAACGTCTATATCTTCACATCAAACCTAGACAGAAGCACTCTCAGAAAGTTTTCTGCGATGACTGCATTCAACTCACAGAGTTGAACAATCCTTCTGATGGAGCAGTTTTGAAACCCTCTTTCTTTGGAATCTGCAAGGGGATATGTGGACCTCTTTGAAGATTTCACTGGAAACGGGATCATCTTCACATAAAAACTAAACAGAAGCATTCTCGGAAACTACTTTGTGATGTTTGTATTCAACTCCCAGAGTTGAACTTTCCTTTTGAAAGAGCAGCTATGAAACACTCTTTTTCGAGAATCTGCAAGTGGACGTTTGGAGGGCTTTGAGGCCTGTGGTGGAAAAGGAAATATCTTCACATAAAAACTAGATAGAAGCATTCTCAGAAACGACTTTGTGAGGATGGCATTCAACTCATGGAGTTGAACAATCCTATTGATAGAGCAGATTGGAATCACTCTTTTTGTAGAATCTGCAAATGGAGATTTGGACTGCTTTGAGGCCTAAGGTAGTATAGGAAGGAACTTCATATAAAAGGCAAACGGAAGCATTCTCAGAATATTCTTTGTGATGATGGAGTTTCACTCACAGAGCTGAACATGCCTTTTGATGGAGCAGTTTCCAAATACACTTTTGGTAGAATCTGCAGGTGGATATTTGGAGCTCTCTGAGGATTTCGTTGGAAACGGGAATAATTTCCCATAACTAAACACAAACACTCTGAGAAAGTTCTTCATGATGAATGCATTTAACTCGCAGAGATGAACCTGCCTTTGAGAGTTCAGGTTCGAAACACTCTTTCTGTAGAATCTGCAAGTGGATATTTGGACCACTGGTTGGCCTTCGTTCGAAACGGGTATATGTTCACGTAAAAACTAAAGAGAAGCATTCTCAGAAACTTCTGAGTGATGATTACATTCAAGTCACACAGTTGAACCCTCCTTTTGATTGAGCAGTTTTGAAACTGTCTTTTTGTAAAATCTGTAAGTGGATACGTGGACCTCTTTGAATATTTCTTTGGAAACGGGAATATTTCCACAGAAAAACTAAACTGAAGCATTCTCAGAAACTGCTTTGTGATGTTTGTGTTCGAGCCACAGAGTTTAACATTGCTTTTCATAGAGCAGTTTTGAAATATTCTTTTGGCAGAATCTGCAAGTGGACATTTGGAGCGCTTTCAGGCCTGTGGTGGAAAAGGCCTGAAAGCCTTTTCCTTTATCTTCACAGAAAGACGAGAGAGAAGCATTGTCAGAAACTTCTTTGTGATGATTGCATTCAACTCACAGAGTTGAAGATTCCTTTTGAAACAGCAGTTTCGAAACACTCTTTCTGTGGGATCCGCAAGGGGATATTTGGACCTCTTTGAAGGTTTCGTTGGAAACGGGATAATCTTCACCTAAAAGCTAAACGGAAGCATTCTCAGAAACTTCTTTGGGATGTTTGCATTCACCTCACAGAGTTGAACTTTCCCTTTGATAGCGCAGCTTTGACACACTTTTTCTACAATGTGCAAGTGGCTATTTAGCGGGCTTGGAGGACTGTGTTGGAAAAGGAAATATCTTCTCCTAAAAACGACATAGAAGCATTCTCAGAAACTGCTCTGTGATGATTGCATTCAACTCCCAGAGTTGAACATTCCTTTTGATAGAGCAGTTTGCAAACACTCTTTTTGTAGAATCTGCAAGTGGAGATTTGGACCGCTTTGAGGCCTGTGGTAGTGAAGGAAAGAACTTCATATAAAAACCAGACGGTAGCACTCTCAGAAAATTCTTTGTGACGATGGAGTTTAACTCAGGGAGCTGAACATTCGTTATGATGGAGCAGTTTCCAAACACACGTTTTGTAGAATCTGCAAGGGGATATTTGGACCTCTCTGAGGATTTCGTTGGAAACGGGATCAACTTCCCATAACTGAACGGAAGCAAACTCAGAACATTCTTTGTGATGTTTGTATTCAACTCACAGAGTTGAACCTTCCTTTGATAGTTCAGGTTTGCAACACCCTTGTAGTAGAATCTGCAAGTGTATATTTTGACCACTTTGTAGCCTTCGTTTGAAACGTCTATATCTTCACCTCAAACCTAGACAGAAGCATTCTCAGAAAGTTTTCTGCGATGACTGCATTCAACTCACAGAGTTGAACAATCCTTTTGATGGAGCAGTTTTGAAACCCTCTTTCTTTGGAATCTGCAAGGGGATATGTGGACCTCTTTGAAGATTTCACTGGAAACGGGATCATCTTCACATAAGAACTAAACAGAAGCATTCTCGGAAACTACTTTGTGATGTTTGTATTCAACTCCCAGAGTTGAACTTTCCTTTTGAAAGAGCAGCTATGAAACACTCTTTTTCGAGAATCTGCAAGTGGACGTTTGGAGGGCTTTGAGGCCTGTGGTGGAAAAGGAAATATCTTCACATAAAAACTAGATAGAAGCATTCTCAGAAACTACTTTGTGAGGATGGCATTCAACTCATGGAGTTGAACAATCCTATTGATAGAGCAGATTGGAATCACTCTTTTTGTAGAATCTGCAAATGGAGATTTGGACTGCTTTGAGGCCTACGGTAGTACAGGAAGGAACTTCATATAAAAGGCAAACGGAAGCATTCTCAGAATATTCTTTGTGATGATGGAGTTTCACTCACAGAGCTGAACATGCCTTTTGATGGAGCAGTTTCCAACTACACTTTTGGTAGAAACTGCAGGTGGATATTTGGAGCTCTCTGAGGATTTCGTTGGAAACGGGAATAATTTCCCATAACTAAACACAAACACTCTGAGAAAGTTCTTCATGATGAATGCATTTAACTCGCAGAGATGAACCTGCCTTTGAGAGTTCAGGTTCGAAACACTCTTTCTGTATAATCTGCAAGTGGATATTTGGACCACTGGGTGGCCTTCGTTCGAAACGGGTATATGTTCACGTAAAAACTAAAGAGAAGCATTCTCAGAAACTTGTGAGTGATGATTGCATTCAAGTCACACAGTTGAACCCTCCTTTTGATGGAGCAGTTTTGAAACTGTCTTTTTGTAGAATCTGTAAGTGGATACGTGGACCTCTTTGAAGATTTCTTTGGAAACGGGAATATTTCCACAGAAAAACTAAACTGAAGCATTCTCAGAAACCGCTTTGTGATGTTTGTGTTCGAGCCACACAGTTTAACATTGCTTTTCATAGAGCAGTTTTGAAATATTCTTTTGGCAGAATCTGCAAGTGGACATTTGGAGCGCTTTCAGGCCTGTGGTGGAAAAGGCCTGAAAGCCTTTTCCTTTATCTTCACAGAAAGACGAGAGAGAAGCATTGTCAGAAACTTCTTTGTGATGATTGCATTCAACTCACAGAGTTGAAGATTCCTTTTGAAACAGCAGTTTCGAAACACTCTTTCTGTGGGATCCGCAAGGGGATATTTGGACCTCTTTGAAGGTTTCGTTGGAAACGGGATAATCTTCACCTAAAAGCTAAACGGAAGCATTCTCAGAAACTTCTTTGGGATGTTTGCATTCACCTCACAGAGTTGAACTTTCCCTTTGATAGCGCAGCTTCGACACACTTTTTCTACAATGTGCAAGTGGATATTTAGCGGGCTTGGAGGACTGTGTTGGAAAAGGAAATATCTTCTCCTAAAAACGACATAGAAGCATTCTCAGAAACTGCTCTGTGATGATTGCATTCAACTCCCAGAGTTGAACATTCCTTTTGATAGAGCAGTTTGCAAACACTCTTTTTGTAGAATCTGCAAGTGGAGATTTGGACCGCTTTGAGGCCTGTGGTAGTGAAGGAAAGAACTTCATATAAAAACCAGACGGTAGCACTCTCAGAAAATTCTTTGTGACGATGGAGTTTAACTCAGGGAGCTGAACATTCGTTATGATGGAGCAGTTTCCAAACACACGTTTTGTAGAATCTGCAAGGGGATATTTGGACCTCTCTGAGGATTTCGTTGGAAACGGGATCAACTTCCCATAACTGAACGGAAGCAAACTCAGAACATTCTTTGTGATGTTTGCATTCATCTCACAGAGTTGAACCTTCCTTTGATAGTTGAGGTTTGCAACACCCTTGTAGTAGAATCTGCAAGTGTATATTTTGACCACATTGTAGCCTTCGTTTGAAACGTCTATATCTTCACATCAAACCTAGACAGAAGCATCCTCAGAAAGTTTTCTGCGATGACTGCATTCAACTCACAGAGTTGAACAATCCTTTTGATGGAGCAGTTTTGAAACCCTCTTTCTTTGGAATCTGCAAGGGGATATGTGGACCTCTTTGAAGATTTCACTGGAAACGGGATCATCTTCACATAAGAACTAAACAGAAGCATTCTCGGAAACTACTTTGTGATGTTTGTATTCAACTCCCAGAGTTGAACTTTCCTTTTGAAAGAGCAGCTATGAAACACTCTTTTTCGAGAATCTGCAAGTGGACGTTTGGAGGGCTTTGAGGCCTGTGGTGGAAAAGGAAATATCTTCACATAAAAACTAGATAGAAGCATTCTCAGAAACTACTTTGTGAGGATGGCATTCAACTCATGGAGTTGAACAATCCTATTGATAGAGCAGATTGGAATCACTCTTTTTGTAGAATCTGCAAATGGAGATTTGGACTGCTTTGAGGCCTACGGTCATATAGGAAGGAAATTCATATAAAAGGCAAACGGAAGCATTCTCAGAATATTCTTTGTGATGATGGAGTTTCACTCACAGAGCTGAACATGCCTTTTGATGGAGCAGTTTCCAAATACACTTTTGGTAGAATCTGCAGGTGGATATTTGGAGCTCTCTGAGGATTTCGTTGGAAACGGGAATAATTTCCCATAACTAAACACAAACACTCTGAGAAAGTTCTTCATGATGAATGCATTTAACTCGCAGAGATGAACCTGCCTTTGAGAGTTCAGGTTCGAAACACTCTTTCTGTAGAATCTGCAAGTGGATATTTGGACCACTGGGTGGCCTTCGTTCGAAACGGGTATACGTTCACGTAAAAGCTAAAGAGAAGCATTCTCAGAAACTTGTGAGTGATGATTGCATTCAAGTCACACAGTGGAACCCTCCTTTTGATGGAGCAGTTTTGAAACTGTCTTTTTGTAGAATCTGTAAGTGGATACGTGGACCTCTTTGAAGATTTCTTTGGAAACGGGAATATTTCCACAGAAAAACTAAACTGAAGCATTCTCAGAAACCGCTTTGTGATGTTTGTGTTCGAGCCACAGAGTTTAACATTGCTTTTCATAGAGCAGTTTTGAAATATTCTTTTGGCAGAATCTGCAAGTGGACATTTGGAGCGCTTTCAGGCCTGTGGTGGAAAAGGCCTGAAAGCCTTTTCCTTTATCTTCACAGAAAGACGAGAGAGAAGCATTGTCAGAAACTTCTTTTTGATGATTGCATTCAACTCACAGAGTTGAAGATTCCTTTTGAAACAGCAGTTTCGAAACACTCTTTCTGTGGGATCCGCAAGGGGATATTTGGACCTCTTTGAAGGTTTCGTTGGAAACGGGATAATCTTCACCTAAAAGCTAAACGGAAGCACTCTCAGAAACTTCTTTGGGATGTTTGCATTCACCTCTCAGAGTTGAACTTTCCCTTTGATAGCGCAGCTTTGACACACTTTTTCTACAATGTGCAAGTGGCTATTTAGCGGGCTTGGAGGACTGTGTTGGAAAAGGAAATATCTTCTCCTAAAAACGACATAGAAGCATTCTCAGAAACTGCTCTGTGATGATTGCATTCAACTCCCAGAGTTGAACATTCCTTTTGATAGAGCAGTTTGCAAACACTCTTTTTGTAGAATCTGCAAGTGGAGATTTGGACCGCTTTGAGGCCTGTGGTAGTGAAGGAAAGAACTTCATATAAAAACCAGACGGTAGCACTCTCAGAAAATTCTTTGTGACGATGGAGTTTAACTCAGGGAGCTGAACATTCGTTATGATGGAGCAGTTTCCAAACACACGTTTTGTAGAATCTGCAAGGGGATATTTGGACCTCTCTGAGGATTTCGTTGGAAACGGGATCAACTTCCCATAACTGAACGGAAGCAAACTCAGAACATTCTTTGTGATGTTTGTATTCAACTCACAGAGTTGAACCTTCCTTTGATAGTTCAGGTTTGCAACACCCTTGTAGTAGAATCTGCAAGTGTATATTTTGACCACTTTGTAGCCTTCGTTTGAAACGTCTATATCTTCACCTCAAACCTAGACAGAAGCATTCTCAGAAAGTTTTCTGCGATGACTGCATTCAACTCACAGAGTTGAACAATCCTTTTGATGGAGCAGTTTTGAAACCCTCTTTCTTTGGAATCTGCAAGGGGATATGTGGACCTCTTTGAAGATTTCACTGGAAACGGGATCATCTTCACATAAGAACTAAACAGAAGCATTCTCGGAAACTACTTTGTGATGTTTGTATTCAACTCCCAGAGTTGAACTTTCCTTTTGAAAGAGCAGCTATGAAACACTCTTTTTCGAGAATCTGCAAGTGGACGTTTGGAGGGCTTTGAGGCCTGTGGTGGAAAAGGAAATATCTTCACATAAAAACTAGATAGAAGCATTCTCAGAAACTACTTTGTGAGGATGGCATTCAACTCACGGAGTTGAACAATCCTATTGATAGAGCAGATTGGAAACACTCTTTTTGTAGAATCTGTAAATGGAGATTTGGACTGCTTTGAGGCCTACGGTAGTATAGGAAGGAACTTCATATAAAAAGCAAACGGAAGCATTCTCAGAATATTCTTTGTGATGATGGAGTTTCACTCACAGAGCTGAACATGCCTTTTGATGGAGCAGTTTCCAAATACACTTTTGGTAGAATCTGCAGGTGGATATTTGGAGCTCTCTGAGGATTTCGTTGGAAACAGGAATAATTTCCCATAACTAAACACAAACACTCTGAGAAAGTTCTTCATGATGAATGCATTTAACTCGCAGAGATGAACCTGCCTTTGAGAGTTCAGGTTCGAAACACTCTTTCTGTAGAATCTGCAAGTGGATATTTGGACCACTGGGTGGCCTTCGTTCGAAACGGGTATATGTTCACGTAAAAACTAAAGAGAAGCATTCTCAGAAACTTCTGAGTGATGATTGCATTCAAGTCACACGGTTGAACCCTCCTTTTGATTGAGCAGTTTTGAAACTGTCTTTTTGTAGAATCTGTAAGTGGATACGTGGACCTGTTTGAAGATTTCTTTGGAAACGGGAATATTTCCACAGAAAAACTAAACTGAAGCATTCTCAGAAACTGCTTTGTGATGTTTGTGTTCGAGCCACAGAGTTTAACATTGCTTCTCATAGAGCAGTTTTGAAATATTCTTTTCGCAGAATCTGCAAGTGGACATTTGGAGCGCTTTCAGGCCTGTGGTGGAAAAGGCCTGAAAGCCTTTTCCTTTATCTTCACAGAAAGACGAGAGAGAAGCATTGTCAGAAACTTCTTTGTGATGATTGCATTCAACTCACAGAGTTGAAGATTCCTTTTGAAACAGCAGTTTCGAAACACTCTTTCTGTGGGATCCGCAAGGGGATATTTGGACCTCTTTGAAGATTTCGTTGGAAACGGGATAATCTTCACCTAAAATCTAAACGGAAGCATTCTCAGAAACTTCTTTGGGATGTTTGCATTCACCTCACAGAGTTGTACTTTCCCTTTGATAGCGCAGCTTTGACACACTTTTTCTACAATGTGCAAGTGGATTTTTAGCGGGCTTGGAGGAATGTGGTGGAAAAGGAAATATCTTCTCCTAAAAACCACATAGAAGCATTCTCAGAAACTGCTCTGTGATGATTGCATTCAACTCCCAGAGTTGAACATTCCTTTTGATAGAGCAGTTTGCAAACACTCTTTTTGTAGAATCTGCAAGTGGAGATTTGGACCGCTTTGAGGCCTGTGGTAGTAAAGGAAAGAACTTCATATAAAAACTAGACGGTAGCACTCTCAGAAAATTCTTTGTGACGATGGAGTTTAACTCAGAGAGCTGAACATTCGTTATGATGGAGCAGTTTCCAAACACACGTTTTGTAGAATCTGCAAGGGGATATTTGGACCTCTCTGAGGATTTCGTTGGAAAAGGGATCAACTTCCCATAAATGAACGGAAGCAAACTCAGAACATTCTTTGTGATGTTTGTATTCAACTCACAGAGTTGAACCTTCCTTTGATAGTTCAGGTTTGCATCACCCTTGTAGTAGAATCTGCAAGTGTATATTTTGACCACTTTGTAGCCTTCGTTTGAAACGTCTATATCTTCACATCAAACCTAGACAGAAGCATTCTCAGAAAGTTTTCTGCGATGACTGCATTCAACTCACAGAGTTGAACAATCCTTTTGATGGAGCAGTTTTGAAACCCTCTTTCTTTGGAATCTGCAAGGGGATATGTGGACCTCTTTGAAGATTTCACTGGAAACGGGATAATCTTCACATAAGAACTAAACAGAAGCATTCTCGGAAACTACTTTGTGATGTTTGTATTCAACTCCCAGAGTTGAACTTTCCTTTTGAAAGAGCAGCTATGAAACACTCTTTTTCGAGAGTCTGCAAGTGGACGTTTGGAGGGCTTTGAGGCCTGTGGTGGAAAAGGAAATATCTTCACATAAAAACTAGATAGAAGCATTCTCAGAAACTACTTTGTGAGGATGGCATTCAACTCATGGAGTTGAACAGTCCTATTGATAGAGCAGATTGGAATCACTCTTTTTGTAGAATCTGCAAATGGAGATTTGGACTGCTTTGAGGCCTACGGTAGTATAGGAAGGAACTTCATATAAAAGGCAAACGGAAGCATTCTCAGAATATTCTTTGTGATGATGGAGTTTCACTCACAGAGCTGAACATGCCTTTTGATGGAGCAGTTTCCAAATACACTTTTGGTAGAATCTGCAGGTGGATATTTGGAGCTCTCTGAGGATTTCGTTGGAAACGGGAATAATTTCCCATAACTAAACACAAACACTCTGAGAAAGTTCTTCATGATGAATGCATTGAACTCGCAGAGATGAACCTGTCTTTGAGTGTTCAGGTTCGAAACACCCTTTCTGTAGAATCTGCAAGTGGATATTTGGACCACTGGGTGGCCTTCGTTCGAAACGGGTATATGTTCACGTAAAAACTAAAGAGAAGCATTCTCAGAAACTTCTGAGTGATGATTGCATTCAAGTCACACGGTTGAACCCTCCTTTTGATTGAGCAGTTTTGAAACTGTCTTTTTGTAGAATCTGTAAGTGGATACGTGGACCTGTTTGAAGATTTCTTTGGAAACGGGAATATTTCCACAGAAAAACTAAACTGAAGCATTCTCAGAAACTGCTTTGTGATGTTTGTGTTCGAGCCGCAGAGTTTAACATTGCTTTTCATAGAGCAGTTTTGAAATATTCTTTTGGCAGAATCTGCAAGTGGACATTTGGAGCGCTTTCAGGCCTGTGGTGGAAATGGCCTGAAAGCCTTTTCCTTTATCTTCACAGAAAGACGAGAGAGAAGAATTGTCAGAAACTTCTTTGTGATGATTGCATTCAACTCACAGAGTTGAAGATTCCTTTTGAAACAGCAGTTTCGAAACACTCTTTCTGTGGGATCCGCAAGGGGATATTTGGACCTCTTTGAAGATTTCGTTGGAAACGGGATAATCTTCACTTAAAGCTAAACGGAAGCATTCTCAGAAACTTCTTTGGGATGTTTGCATTCACCTGACAGAGTTGAACTTTCCCTTTGATAGCGCAGCTTTGACACACTTTTTCTACAATGTGCAAGTGGCTATTTAGCGGGCTTGGAGGACTGTGTTGGAAAAGGAAATATCTTCTCCTAAAAACGACATAGAAGCATTCTCAGAAACTGCTCTGTGATGATTGCATTCAACTCCCAGAGTTGAACATTCCTTTTGATAGAGCAGTTTGCAAACACTCTTTTTGTAGAATCTGCAAGTGGAGATTTGGACCGCTTTGAGGCCTGTGGTAGTGAAGGAAAGAACTTCATATAAAAACCAGACGGTAGCACTCTCAGAAAATTCTTTGTGACGATGGAGTTTAACTCAGGGAGCTGAACATTCGTTATGATGGAGCAGTTTCCAAACACACGTTTTGTAGAATCTGCGAGGGGATATTTGGACCTCTCTGAGGATTTCGTTGGAAACGGGATCAACTTCCCATAACTGAACGGAAGCAAACTCAGAACATTCTTTGTGATGTTTGTATTCAACTCACAGAGTTGAACCATCCTTTGATAGTTCAGGTTTGTAACACCCTTGTAGTAGAATCTGCAAGTGTATATTTTGACCACTTTGTAGCCTTCGTTTGAAACGTCTATATCTTCACATCAAACCTAGACAGAAGCATTCTCAGAAAGTTTTCTGCGATGACTGCATTCAACTCACAGAGTTGAACAATCCTTCTGATGGAGCAGTTTTGAAACCCTCTTTCTTTGGAATCTGCAAGGGGATATGTGGACCTCTTTGAAGATTTCACTGGAAACGGGATCATCTTCACATAAAAACTAAACAGAAGCATTCTCGGAAACTATTTTGTGATGTTTGTATTCAACTCCCAGAGTTGAACTTTCCTTTTGAAAGAGCAGCTATGAAACACTCTTTTTCGAGAATCTGCAAGTGGACGTTTGGAGGGCTTTGAGGCCTGTGGTGGAAAAGGAAATATCTTCACACAAAAACCAGATAGAAGCATTCTCAGAAACTACTTTGTGAGGATGGCATTCAACTCATGGAGTTGAACAATCCTATTGATAGAGCAGATTGGAATCACTCTTTTTGTAGAATCTGCAAATGGAGATTTGGACTGCTTTGAGGCCTACGGTAGTACAGGAAGGAACTTCATATAAAAGGCAAACGGAAGCATTCTCAGAATATTCTTTGTGATGATGGAGTTTCACTCACAGAGCTGAACATGCCTTTTGATGGAGCAGTTTCCAAATACACTTTTGGTAGAATCTGCAGGTGGATATTTGGAGCTCTCTGAGGATTTCGTTGGAAACGGGAATAATTTCCCATAACTAAACACAAACACGCTGAGAAAGTTCTTCATGATGAATGCATTTAACTCGCAGAGATGAACCTGCCTTTGAGAGTTCAGGTTCAAAACACTCTTTCTGCAGAATCTGCAAGTGGATATTTGGACCACTGGCTGGCCTTCATTCGAAACGGGTATATGTTCACGGAAAAACTAAAGAGAAGCGTTCTCAGAAACTTCTGAGTGATGATTGCATTCAAGTCACACAGTTGAACCCTCCTTTTGATTGAGCAGTTTTGAAACTGTCTTTTTGTAGAATCTGTAAGTGTATGCGTCGACCTCTTTGAAGATTTCTTTGGAAACGGGAATATTTCCACAGAAAAACTAAACTGAAGCATTCTCAGAAACTGCTTTGTGATGTTTGTGTTCGAGCCGCAGAGTTTAACATTGCTTTTCATAGAGCAGTTTTGAAATATTCTTTTGGCAGAATCTGCAAGTGGACATTTGGAGCGCTTTCAGGCCTGTGGTGGAAAAGGCCTGAAAGCCTTTTCCTTTATCTTCACAGAAAGACGAGAGAGAAGCATTGTCAGAAACTTCTTTGTGATGATTGCATTCAACTCACAGAGTTGAAGATTCCTTTTGAAACAGCAGTTTCGAAACACTCTTTCTGTGGGATCCGCAAGGGGATATTTGGACCTCTTTGAAGGTTTCGTTGGAAACGGGATAATCTTCACCTAAAAGCTAAACGGAAGCATTCTCAGAAACTTCTTTGGGATGTTTGCATTCACCTCACAGAGTTGAACTTTCCCTTTGATAGCGCAGCTTTGACACACTTTTTCTACAATGTGCAAGTGGCTATTTAGCGGGCTTGGAGGATTGTGTTGGAAAAGGAAATATCTTCTCCTAAAAACGACATAGAAGCATTCTCAGAAACTGCTCTGTGATGATTGCATTCAACTCCCAGAGTTGAACATTCCTTTTGATAGAGCAGTTTGCAAACACTCTTTTTGTAGAATCTGCAAGTGGAGATTTGGACCGCTTTGAGGCCTGTGGTAGTGAAGGAAAGAACTTCATATAAAAACCAGACGGTAGCACTCTCAGAAAATTCTTTGTGACGATGGAGTTTAACTCAGGGAGCTGAACATTCGTTATGATGGAGCAGTTTCCAAACACACGTTTTGTAGAATCTGCAAGGGGATATTTGGACCTCTCTGAGGATTTCGTTGGAAACGGGATCAACTTCCCATAACTGAACGGAAGCAAACTCAGAACATTCTCTGTGATGTTTGTATTCAACTCACAGAGTTGAACCTTCCTTTGATAGTTCAGGTTTGCAACACTCTTGTAGTAGAATCTGCAAGTGTATATTTTGACCACTTTGTAGCCTTCGTTTGAAACGTCTATATCTTCACATCAAACCTAGACAGAAGCATTCTCAGAAAGTTTTCTGCGATGACTGCATTCAACTCACAGAGTTGAACAATCCTTCTGATGGAGCAGTTTTGAAACCCTCTTTCTTTGGAATCTGCAAGGGGATATGTGGACCTCTTTGAAGATTTCACTGGAAACGGGATCATCTTCACATAAAAACTAAACAGAAGCATTCAAGGAAACTACTTTGTGATGTTTGTATTCAACTGCCAGAGGTGAACTTTCCTTTTCAAAGAGCAGCTATGAAACACTCTTTTTCGAGAATCTGCAAGTGGACGTTTGGAGGGCTTTGAGGCCTGTGGTGGAAAAGGAAATATCTTCACATAAAAACTAGATAGAAGCATTCTCAGAAACTACTTTGTGAGGATGGCATTCAACTCATGGAGTTGAACAATCCTATTGATAGAGCAGATTGGAATCACTCTTTTTGTAGAATCTGCAAATGGAGATTTGGACTGCTTTGAGGCCTACGGTCGTATAGGAAGGAACTTCATATAAAAGGCAAACGGAAGCATTCTCAGAATATTCTTTGTGATGATGGAGTTTCACTCACAGAGCTGAACATGCCTTTTGATGGAGCAGTTTCCAAATACACTTTTGGTAGAATCTGCAGGTGGATATTTGGAGCTCTTTGAGGATTTCGTTGGAAACGGGAATAATTTCCCATAACTAAACACAAACACTCTGAGAAAGTTCTTCATGATGAATGCATTTAACTCGCAGAGATGAACCTGCCTTTGAGAGTTCAGGTTCGAAACACTCTTTCTGTATAATCTGCAAGTGGATATTTGGACCACTGGGTGGCCTTCGTTCGAAACGGGTATATGTTCACGTAAAAACTAAAGAGAAGCGTTCTCAGAAACTTCTGAGTGATGATTGCATTCAAGTCACACGGTTGAACCCTCCTTTTGATTGAGCAGTTTTGAAACTGTCTTTTTGTAGAATCTGTAAGTGGATGCGTGGACATCTTTGAACATGTCTTTCGAAACGGGAATATTTCCTCAGAAAAACTAAACTGAAGCATTCTCAGCAAACTGCTTTGTGATGTTTGTGTTCGAGCCACAGAGTTTAACATTGCTTTTCATAGAGCAGTTTTGAAATATTCTTTTGGCAGAATCTACAAGTGGACATTTGGAGCGCTTTCAGGCCTGTGGTGGAAAAGGCCTGAAAGCCTTTTCCTTTATCTTCACAGAAAGACGAGAGAGAAGCATTGTCAGAAACTTCTTTGTGATGATTGCATTCAACTCACAGAGTTGAAGATTCCTTTTGAAACAGCAGTTTCGAAACACTCTTTCTGTGGGATCCGCAAGGGGATATTTGGACCTCTTTGAAGGTTTCGTTGGAAACGGGATAATCTTCACCTAAAAGCTAAACGGAAGCATTCTCAGAAACTTCTTTGGGATGTTTGCATTCACCTCACAGAGTTGAACTTTCCCTTTGATAGCGCAGCTTCGACACACTTTTTCTACAATGTGCAAGTGGCTATTTAGCGGGCTTGGAGGACTGTGTTGGAAAAGGAAATATCTTCTCCTAAAAACGACATAGAAGCATTCTCAGAAACTGCTCTGTGATGATTGCATTCAACTCCCAGAGTTGAACATTCCTTTTGATAGAGCAGTTTGCAAACACTCTTTTTGTAGAATCTGCAAGTGGAGATTTGGACCGCTTTGAGGCCTGTGGTAGTGAAGGAAAGAACTTCATATAAAAACCAGACGGTAGCACTCTCAGAAAATTCTTTGTGACGATGGAGTTTAACTCAGGGAGCTGAACATTCGTTATGATGGAGCAGTTTCCAAACACACGTTTTGTAGAATCTGCGAGGGGATATTTGGACCTCTCTGAGGATTTCGTTGGAAACGGGATCAACTTCCCATAACTGAACGGAAGCAAACTCAGAACATTCTTTGTGATGTTTGTATTCAACTCACAGAGTTGAACCTTCCTTTGATAGTTCAGGTTTGCAACACCCTTGTAGTAGAATCTGCAAGTGTATATTTTGACCACTTTGTAGCCTTCGTTTGAAACATGCTATATCTTCACATCAAACCTAGACAGAAGCATTCTCAGAAAGTTTTCTGCGATGACTGCATTCAACTCACAGAGTTGAACAATCCTTTTGATGGAGCAGTTTTGAAACCCTCTTTCTTTGGAATCTGCAAGGGGATATGTGGACCTCTTTGAAGATTTCACTGGAAACGGGATCATCTTCACATAAGAACTAAACAGAAGCATTCTCGGAAACTACTTTGTGATGTTTGTATTCAACTCCCAGAGTTGAACTTTCCTTTTGAAAGAGCAGCTATGAAACACTCTTTTTCGAGAATCTGCAAGTGGACGTTTGGAGGGCTTTGAGGCCTGTGGTGGAAAAGGAAATATCTTCACATAAAAACTAGATAGAAGCATTCTCAGAAACGACTTTGTGAGGATGGCATTCAACTCATGGAGTTGAACAGTCCTATTGATAGAGCAGATTGGAATCACTCTTTTTGTAGAATCTGCAAATGGAGATTTGGACTGCTTTGAGGCCTACGGTAGTATAGGAAGGAACTTCATATAAAAGGCAAACGGAAGCATTCTCAGAATATTCTTTGTGATGATGGAGTTTCACTCACAGAGCTGAACATTCCTGTTGATGGAGCAGTTTCCAAATACACTTTTGGTAGAATCTGCAGGTGGATATTTGGAGCTCTCTGAGGATTTCGTTGGAAACGGGAATAATTTCCCATAACTAAACACAAACACGCTGAGAAAGTTCTTCATGATGAATGCATTTAACTCGCAGAGATGAACCTGCCTTTGAGAGTTCAGGTTCGAAACACTCTTTCTGTGGAATCTGCAAGTGGATATTTGGACCACTGGCTGGCCTTCATTCCAAACGGGTATATGTTCACGTAAAAACTAAAGAGAAGCGTTCTCAGAAACTTCTGAGTGATGATTGCATTCAAGTCACACAGTTGAACCCTCCTTTTGATTGAGCAGTTTTGAAACTGTCTTTTTGTAGAATCTGTAAGTGGATGCGTGGACCTCTTTTGAAGATTTCTTTGGAAACGGGAATATTTCCACAGAAAAACTAAACTGAAGTATTCTCAGAAACTGCTTTGTGATGTTTGTGTTCGAGCCACAGAGTTTAACATTGCTTTTCATAGAGCAGTTTTGTAATATTCTTTTCGCAGAATCTGCAAGCGGATATTTGGAGCGCTTTCAGGCCTGTGGTGGAAAAGGCCTGAAAGCCTTTTCCTTTATCTTCACAGAAAGACGAGAGAGAAGCATTGTCAGAAACTTCTTTGTGATGATTGCATTCAACTCACAGAGTTGAAGATTCCTTTTGAAACAGCAGTTTCGAAACACTCTTTCTGTGGGATCCGCAAGGGGATATTTGGACCTCTTTGAAGATTTCGTTGGAAACGGGATAATCTTCACCTAAAAGCTAAACGGAAGCATTCTCAGAAACTTCTTTGGGATGTTTGCATTCACCTCACAGAGTTGAACTTTCCCTTTGATAGCGCAGCTTTGACACACTTTTTCTACAATGTGCAAGTGGCTATTTAGCGGGCTTGGAGGACTGTGTTGGAAAAGGAAATATCTTCTCCTAAAAACGACATAGAAGCATTCTCAGCAAACTGCTCTGTGATGATTGCATTCAACTCCCAGGAGTTGAACATTCCTTTTGATAGAGCAGTTTGCAAACACTCTTTTTGTAGAATCTGCAAGTGGAGATTTGGACCGCTTTGAGGCCTGTGGTAGTAAAGGAAAGAACTTCATATAAAAACTAGACGGTAGCACTCTCAGAAAATTCTTTGTGACGATGGAGTTTAACTCAGGGAGCTGAACATTCGTTATGATGGAGCAGTTTCCAAACACACGTTTTGTAGAATCTGCAAGGGGATATTTGGACCTCTCTGAGGATTTCGTTGGAAACGGGATCAACTTCCCATAACTGAACGGAAGCAAACTCAGAACATTCTTTGTGATGTTTGTATTCAACTCACAGAGTTGAACCTTCCTTTGATAGTTCAGGTTTGCAACACCCTTGTAGTAGAATCTGCAAGTGTATATTTTGACCACTTTGTAGCCTTCGTTTGAAAGTTCTATATCTTCACATGAAACCTAGACAGAAGCATTCTCAGAAAGTTTTCTGCGATGACTGCATTCAACTCACAGAGTTGAACAATCCTTCTGATGGAGCAGTTTTGAAACCCTCTTTCTTTGGAATCTGCAAGGGGATATGTGGACCTCTTTGAAGATTTCACTGGAAACGGGATCATCTTCACATAAAAACTAAACAGAAGCATTCTCGGAAACTACTTTGTGATGTTTGTATTCAACTCCCAGAGTTGAACTTTCCTTTTGAAAGAGCAGCTATGAAACACTCTTTTTCGAGAATCTGCAAGTGGACGTTTGGAGGGCTTTGAGGCCTGTGGTGGAAAAGGAAATATCTTCACACAAAAACCAGATAGAAGCATTCTCAGAAACTACTTTGTGAGGATGGCATTCAACTCATGGAGTTGAACAATCCTATTGATAGAGCAGATTGGAATCACTCTTTTTATAGAATCTGCAAATGGAGATTTGGACTGCTTTGAGGCCTACGGTAGTACAGGAAGGAACTTCATATAAAAGGCAAACGGAAGCATTCTCAGAATATTCTTTGTGATGATGGAGTTTCACTCACAGAGCTGAACATGCCTTTTGATGGAGCAGTTTCCAAATACACTTTTGGTAGAATCTGCAGGTGGATATTTGGAGCTCTCTGAGGATTTCGTTGGAAACGGGGAATAATTTCCCATAACTAAACACAAACACTCTGAGAAAGTTCTTCATGATGAATGCATTTAACTCGCAGAGATGAACCTGCCTTTGAGAGTTCAGGTTCGAAACACTCTTTCTGTAGAATCTGCAAGTGGATATTTGGACCACTGGGTGGCCTTCGTTCGAAACGGGTATATGTTCACGTAAAAACTAAAGAGAAGCATTCTCAGAAACTTCTGAGTGATGATTGCATTCAAGTCACACAGTTGAACCCTCCTTTTGATGGAGCAGTTTTGAAACTGTCTTTTTGTAGAATCTGTAAGTGGATACGTGGACCTCTTTGAAGATTTCTTTGGAAACGGGAATATTTCCACAGAAAAACTAAACTGAAGTATTCTCAGAAACCGCTTTGTGATGTTTGTGATCGAGCCACAGAGTTTAACATTGCTTTTCATAGAGCAGTTTTGAAATATTCTTTTGGCAGAATCTGCAAGTGGACATTTGGAGCGCTTTCAGGCCTGTGGTGGAAAAGGCCTGAAAGCCTTTTCCTTTATCTTCACAGAAAGACGAGAGAGAAGCATTGTCAGAAACTTCTTTGTGATGATTGCATTCAACTCACAGAGTTGAAGATTCCTTTTGAAACAGCAGTTTCGAAACACTCTTTCTGTGGGATCCGCAAGGGGATATTTGGACCTCTTTGAAGGTTTCGTTGGAAACGGGATAATCTTCACCTAAAAGCTAAACGGAAGCATTCTCAGAAACTTCTTTGGGATGTTTGCATTCACCTCACAGAGTTGAACTTTCCCTTTGATAGCGCAGCTTTGACACACTTTTTCTACAATGTGCAAGTGGCTATTTAGCGGGCTTGGAGGACTGTGTTGGAAAAGGAAATATCTTCTCCTAAAAACGACATAGAAGGATTCTCAGAAACTGCTCTGTGATGATTGCATTCAACTCCCAGAGTTGAACATTCCTTTTGATAGAGCAGTTTGCAAACACTCTTTTTGTAGAATCTGCAAGTGGAGATTTGGACCGCTTTGAGGCCTGTGGTAGTGAAGGAAAGAACTTCATATAAAAACCAGACGGTAGCACTCTCAGAAAATTCTTTGTGACGATGGAGTTTAACTCAGGGAGCTGAACATTCGTTATGATGGAGCAGTTTCCAAACACACGTTTTGTAGAATCTGCAAGGGGATATTTGGACCTCTCTGAGGATTTCGTTGGAAACGGGATCAACTTCCCATAACTGAACGGAAGCAAACTCAGAACATTCTTTGTGATGTTTGTATTCAACTCACAGAGTTGAACCTTCCTTTGATAGTTCAGGTTTGCAACACCCTTGTAGTAGAATCTGCAAGTGTATATTTTGACCACTTTGTAGCCTTCATTTGAAACGTCTATACCTTCACATCAAACCTAGACAGAAGCATTCTCAGAAAGTTTTCTGCGATGACTGCATTCAACTCACAGAGTTGAACAATCCTTCTGATGGAGCAGTTTTGAAACCCTCTTTCTTTGGAATCTGCAAGGGGATATGTGGACCTCTTTGAAGATTTCACTGGAAACGGGATCATCTTCACATAAAAACTAAACAGAAGCATTCTCGGAAACTACTTTGTGATGTTTGTATTCAACTCCCAGAGTTGAACTTTCCTTTTGAAAGAGCAGCTATGAAACACTCTTTTTCGAGAATCTGCAAGTGGACGTTTGGAGGGCTTTGAGGCCTGTGGTGGAAAAGGAAATATCTTCACACAAAAACCAGATAGAAGCATTCTCAGAAACTACTTTGTGAGGATGGCATTCAACTCATGGAGTTGAACAATCCTATTGATAGAGCAGATTGGAATCACTCTTTTTATAGAATCTGCAAATGGAGATTTGGACTGCTTTGAGGCCTACGGTAGTACAGGAAGGAACTTCATATAAAAGGCAAACGGGAAGCATTCTCAGAATATTCTTTGTGATGATGGAGTTTCACTCACAGAGCTGAACATGCCTGTTGATGGAGCAGTTTCCAAATACACTTTTGGTAGAATCTGCAGGTGGACATTTGGACCTCTCTGAGGATTTCGTTGGGAACGGGAATAATTTCCCATAACTAAACACAAACACGCTGAGAAAGTTCTTCATGATGAATGCATTTAACTCGCAGAGATGAACCTGCCTTTGAGAGTTCAGGTTCAAAACACTCTTTCTGTAGAATCTGCAAGTGGATATTTGGACCACTGGCTGGCCTTCGTTCGAAACGGGTATATGTTCACGTAAAAACTAAAGAGAAGCATTCTCAGAAACTTCTGAGTGATGATTGCATTCAAGTCACACAGTTGAACCCTCCTTTTGATTGAGCAGTTTTGAAACTGTCTTTTTGTAGAATCTGTAAGTGGATACGTGGACCTCTTTGAAGATTTCTTTGGAAACGGGAATATTTCCACAGAAAAACTAAACTGAAGCATTCTCAGAAACTGCTTTGTGATGTTTGTGTTCGAGCCACAGAGTTTAACATTGCTTTTCATAGAGCAGTTTTGAAATATTCTTTTGGCAGAATCTGCAAGTGGACATTTGGAGCGCTTTCAGGCCTGTGGTGGAAAAGGCCTGAAAGCCTTTTCCTTTATCTTCACAGAAAGACGAGAGAGAAGCATTGTCAGAAACTTCTTTGTGATGATTGCATTCAACTCACAGAGTTGAAGATTCCTTTTGAAACAGCAGTTTCGAAACACTCTTTCTGTGGGATCCGCAAGGGGATATTTGGACCTCTTTGAAGATTTCGTTGGAAACGGGATAATCTTCACCTAAAAGCTAAACGGAAGCATTCTCAGAAACTTCTTTGGGATGTTTGCATTCACCTCACAGAGTTGAACTTTCCCTTTGATAGCGCAGCTTTGACACACTTTTTCTACAATGTGCAAGTGGATATTTAGCGGGCTTGGAGGACTGTGTTGGAAAAGGAAATATCTTCTCCTAAAAACGACATAGAAGCATTCTCAGAAACTGCTCTGTGATGATTGCATTCAACTCCCAGAGTTGAACATTCCTTTTGATAGAGCGGTTTGGAAACACTCTTTTTGTAGAATCTGCAAGTGGAGATTTGGACCGCTTTGAGGCCTGTGTTAGTAAAGGAAACAACTTCATATAAAAACTAGACGGTAGCACTCTCAGAAATCTCTCTGTGACGATGGAGTTTAACTCTGGGAGCTGAACATTCGTTATGATGGAGCAGTTTCCAAACACACGTTTTGTAGAATCTGCAAGGGGATATTTGGACCTCTCTGAGGATTTCGTTGGAAACGGGATCAACTTCCCATAACTGAACGGAAGCAAACTCAGAACATTCTCTGCGATGTTTGTATTCAACCCACAGAGTTGAACCTTCCTTTGATAGTTCAGGTTTGCAACACCCTTTTAGTACAATCTGCAAGTGTATATTTTGACCACTTTGTAGCCTTCGTTTGAAACGTCTATATCTTCACATCAAACCTAGACAGAAGCATTCTCAGAAAGTTTTCTGCGATGACTGCATTCAACTCACAGAGTTGTACAATCCTTTTGATGGAGCAGTTTTGAAACCCTCTTTCTTTGGAATCTGCAAGGGGATATGTGGACCTCTTTGAAGATTTCCCTGGAAACGGGATCATCTTCACATAAGAACTAAACAGAAGCATTCTCGGAAACTACTTTGTGATGTTTGTATTCAACTCCCAGAGTTGAACTTTCCTTTTGAAAGAGCAGCTATGAAACACTCTTTTTCGAGAATCTGCAAGTGGACGTTTGGAGGGCTTTGAGGCCTGTGGTGGAAAAGGAAATATCTTCACATAAAAACTAGATAGAAGCATTCTCAGAAACGACTTTGTGAGGATGGCATTCAACTCATGGAGTTGAACAATCCCATTGAGAGAGCAGATTGGAATCACTCTTTTTGTAGAATCTGCAAATGGAGATTTGGACTGCTTTGGGGCCTACGGTAGTATAGGAAGGAACTTCATATAAAAGGCAAACGGAAGCATTCTCAGAATATTCTTTGTGATGATGGAGTTTCACTCACAGAGCTGAACATGCCTTTTGATGGAGCAGTTTCCAAATACACTTTTGGTAGAATCTGCAGGTGGATATTTGGACCTCTCTGAGGATTTCGTTGGAAACGGGAATAATTTCCCATAACTAAACACAAACACTCTGAGAAAGTTCTTCATGATGAATGCATTTAACTCGCAGAGATGAACTTGCCTTTGAGAGTTCAGGTTCGAAACACTCTTTCTGTAGAATCTGCAAGTGGATATTTGGACCACTGGCTGGCCTTCGTTCGAAACGGGTATATGTTCACGTAAAAACTAAAGAGAAGCATTCTCAGAAACTTCTGAGTGATGATTGCATTCAAGTCACACAGTTGAACCCGCCTTTTGATTGAGCAGTTTTGAAACTGTCTTTTTGTAGAATCTGTAAGTGGATACGTGGACCTCTTGGAAGATTTCCTTGGAAACGGGAATATTTCCACAGAAAAACTAAACTGAAGCATTCTCAGAAACTGCTTTGTGATGTTGGTGTTCGAGCCGCAGAGTTTAACATTGCTTTTCATAGAGCACTTTTGAAATATTCTTTTGGCAGAATCTGCAAGTGGACATTTAGAGCGTTTTCAGGCCTGTGGTGGAAAAGGCCTGAAAGCCTTTTCCTTTATCTTCACAGAAAGACGAGAGAGAAGCATTGTCAGAAACTTCTTTGTGATGATTGCATTCAACTCACAGAGTTGAAGATTCCTTTTGAAACAGCAGTTTCGAAACACTCTTTCTGTGGGATCCGCAAGGGGATATTTGGACCTCTTAGAAGGTTTCGTTGGAAACGGGATTATCTTCACCTAAAAGCTAAACGGAAGCATTCTCAGAAACTTCTTTGGGATGTTTGCATTCACCTCACAGAGTTGAACTTTCCCTTTGATAGCGCAGCTTCGACACACTTTTTCTACAATGTGCAAGTGGCTATTTAGCGGGCTTGGAGGACTGTGTTGGAAAAGGAAATATCTTCTCCTAAAAACGACATAGAAGCATTCTCAGAAACTGCTCTGTGATGATTGCATTCAACTCCCAGAGTTGAACATTCCTTTTGATAGAGCAGTTTGCAAACACTCTTTTTGTAGAATCTGCAAGTGGAGATTTGGACCGCTTTGAGGCCTGTGGTAGTGAAGGAAAGAACTTCATATAAAAACCAGACGGTAGCACTCTCAGAAAATTCTTTGTGACGATGGAGTTTAACTCAGAGAGCTGAACATTCGTTATGATGGAGCAGTTTCCAAACACACGTTTTGTAGAATCTGCAAGGGGATATTTGGACCTCTCTGAGGATTTCGTTGGAAACGGTATCAATTTCCCATAACTGAACGGAAGCAAACTCAGAACATTCTTTGTGATGTTTGTATTCAACTCACAGAGTTGAACCTTCCTTTGATAGTTCAGGTTTGCAACACCCTTGTAGTAGAATCTGCAAGTGTATATTTTGACCACTTTGTAGCCTTCGTTTGAAACGTCTATATCTTCACATCAAACCTAGACAGAAGCATTCTCAGAAAGTTTTCTGCGATGACTGCATTCAACTCACAGAGTTGAACAATCCTTCTGATGGAGCAGTTTTGAAACCCTCTTTCTTTGGAATCTGCAAGGGGATATGTGGACCTCTTTGAAGATTTAACTGGAAACGGGATCATCTTCACATAAAAACTAAACAGAAGCATTCTCGGAAACTACTTTGTGATGTTTGTATTCAGCTCCCAGAGTTGAACTTCCCTTTTGAAAGAGCAGCTATGAAGCACTCTTTTTCGAGAATCTGCAAGTGGACGTTTGGAGGGCTTTGAGGCCTGTGGTGGAAAAGGAAATATCTTCACATAAAAACTAGATAGAAGCATTCTCAGAAACGACTTTGTGAGGATGGCATTCAACTCATGGAGTTGAACAGTCCTATTGATAGAGCAGATTGGAATCACTCTTTTTGTAGAATCTGCAAATGGAGATTTGGACTGCTTTGAGGCCTACGGTAGTATAGGAAGGAACTTCATATAAAAGGCAAACGGAAGCATTCTCAGAATATTCTTTGTGATGATGGAGTTTCACTCACAGAGCTGAACATGCCTTTTGATGGAGCAGTTTCCAAATACACTTTTGGTAGAATCTGCAGGTGGAAATTTAGAGCTCTCTGAGGATTTCGTTGGAAACGGGAATAATTTCCCATAACTAAACACAAACACTCTGAGAAAGTTCTTCATGATGAATGCATTTAACTCGCAGAGATGAACCTGCCTTTGAGAGTTCAGGTTCGAAACACTCTTTCTGTATAATCTGCAAGTGGATATTTGGACCACTGGGTGGCCTTCGTTCGAAACGGGTATATGTTCACGTAAAAACTAAAGAGAAGCATTCTCAGAAACTTCTGAGTGATGATTGCATTCAAGTCACACAGTTGAACCCTCCTTTTGATGGAGCAGTTTTGAAACTGTCTTTTTGTAGAATCTGTAAGTGGATACGTGGACCTCTTTGAAGATTTCTTTGGAAACGGGAATATTTCCACAGAAAAACTAAACTGAAGCATTCTCAGAAACCGCTTTGTGATGTTTGTGTTCGAGCCACAGAGTTTAACATTGCTTTTCACAAAGCAGTTTTGAAATATTCTTTTGGCAGAATCTGCAAGTGGACATTTGGAGCGCTTTCAGGCCTGTGGTGGCAAAGGCCTGAACGCCTTTTCCTTTATGTTCACAGAAAGACGAGAGAGAAGCATTGTCAGAAACTTCTTTGTGATGATTGCATTCAACTCACAGAGTTGAAGATTCCTTTTGAAACAGCAGTTTCGAAACACTCTTTCTGTGGGATCCGCAAGGGGATATTTGGACCTCTTTGAAGCTTTCGTTGGAAACGGGATAATCTTCACCTAAAAGCTAAACGGAAGCATTCTCAGAAACTTCTTTGGGATGTTTGCATTCACCTCACAGAGTTGAACTTTCCCTTTGATAGCGCAGCTTTGACACACTTTTTCTACAATGTGCAAGTGGCTATTTAGCGGGCTTGGAGGACTGTGTTGGAAAAGGAAATATCTTCTCCTAAAAACGACATAGAAGCATTCTCAGAAACTGCTCTGTGATGATTGCATTCAACTCCCAGAGTTGAACATTCCTTTTGATAGAGCAGTTTGCAAACACTCTTTTTGTAGAATCTGCAAGTGGAGATTTGGACCGCTTTGAGGCCTGTGGTAGTGAAGGAAAGAACTTCATATAAAAACCAGACGGTAGCACTCTCAGAAAATTCTTTGTGACGATGGAGTTTAACTCAGGGAGCTGAACATTCGTTATGATGGAGCAGTTTCCAAACACACGTTTTGTAGAATCTGCAAGGGGATATTTGGACCTCTCTGAGGATTTCGTTGGAAACGGGATCAACTTCCCATAACTGAACGGAAGCAAACTCAGAACATTCTTTGTGATGTTTGTATTCAACTCACAGAGTTGAACCTTCCTTTGATAGTTCAGGTTTGCAACAGCCTTGTAGTAGAATCTGCAAGTGTATATTTTGACCACTTTGTAACCTTCGTTTAAAACGTCTATATCTTCACATCAAACCTAGACAGAAGCATTCTCAGAAAGTTTTCTGCGATGACTGCATTCAACTCACAGAGTTGAACAATCCTTCTGATGGAGCAGTTTTGAAACCCTCTTTCTTTGGAATCTGCAAGGGGATATGTGGACCTCTTTGAAGATTTCACTGGAAACGGGATCATCTTCACATAAAAACTAAACAGAAGCATTCTCGGAAACTACTTTGTGATGTTTGTATTCAACTCCCAGAGTTGAACTTTCCTTTTGAAAGAGCAGCTATGAAACACTCTTTTTCGAGAATCTGCAAGTGGACGTTTGGAGGGCTTTGAGGCCTGTGGTGGAAAAGGAAATATCTTCACATAAAACTAGATAGAAGCATTCTCAGAAACTACTTTGTGAGGATGGCATTCAACTCATGGAGTTGAACAATCCTATTGATAGAGCAGATTGGAATCACTCTTTTTGTAGAATCTGCAAATGGAGATTTGGACTGCTTTGAGGCCTACGGTCGTATAGGAAAGAACTTCATATAAAAGGCAAACGGAAGCATTCTCAGAATATTCTTTGTAATGATGGAGTTTCACTCACAGAGCGGAACATGCCTTTTGATGGAGCAGTTTCCAAATCCACTTTTGGTAGAATCTGCAGGTGGATATTTGGAGCTCTCTGAGGATTTCGTTGGAAACGGGAATAATTTCCCATAACTAAACACAAACACTCTGAGAAAGTTCTTCATGATGAATGCATTTAACTCGCAGAGATGAACCTGCCTTTGAGAGTTCATGTTCGAAACACTCTTTCTGTAGAATCTGCAAGTGGATATTTGGACCACTGGGTGGCCTTCGTTCGAAAGGGGTATATGTTCACGTAAAAACTAAAGAGAAGCATTCTCAGAAACTTCTGAGTGATGATTGCATTCAAGTCACACAGTTGAACCCTCCTTTTGATGGAGCAGTTTTGAAACTGTCTTTTTGTAGAATCTGTAAGTGGATACGTGGACCTCTTTGAAGATTTCTTTGGAAACGGGAATATTTCCACAGAAAAACTAAACTGAAGCATTCTCAGAAACTGCTTTGTGATGTTTGTGTTCGAGCCACAGAGTTTAACATTGCTTTTCATAGAGCAGTTTTGAAATATTCTTTTGGCAGAATCTGCAAGTGGACATTTGGAGCGCTTTCAGGCCTGTGGTGGAAAAGGCCTGAAAGCCTTTTCCTTTATCTTCACAGAAAGACGAGAGAGAAAGCATTGTCAGAAACTTCTTTGTGATGATTGCATTCAACTCACAGTAGTTGAAGATTCCTTTTGAAACAGCAGTTTCGAAACACTCTTTCTGTGGGATCCGCAAGGGGATATTTGGACCTCTTTGAAGGTTTCGTTGGAAACGGGATAATCTTCACCTAAAAGCTAAACGGAAGCATTCTCAGAAACTTCTTTGGGATGTTTGCATTCACCTCACAGAGTTGAACTTTCCCTTTGATAGCGCAGCTTCGACACACTTTTTCTACAATGTGCAAGTGGATATTTAGCGGGCTTGGAGGACTGTGTTGGAAAAGGAAATATCTTCTCCTAAAAACGACATAGAAGCATTCTCAGAAACTGCTCTGTGATGATTGCATTCAACTCCCAGAGTTGAACATTCCTTTTGATAGAGCAGTTTGCAAACACTCTTTTTGTAGAATCTGCAAGTGGAGATTTGGACCGCTTTGAGGCCTGTGGTAGTAAAGGAAAGAACTTCATATAAAAACTAGACGGTAGCACTCTCAGAAAATTCTTTGTGACGATGGAGTTTAACTCAGAGAGCTGAACATTCGTTATGATGGAGCAGTTTCCAAACACACGTTTTGTAGAATCTGCAAGGGGATATTTGGACCTCTCTGAGGATTTCGTTGGAAAAGGGATCAACTTCCCATAAATGAACGGAAGCAAACTCAGAACATTCTTTGTGATGTTTGTATTCAACTCACAGAGTTGAACCTTCCTTTGATAGTTCAGGTTTGCATCACCCTTGTAGTAGAATCTGCAAGTGTATATTTTGACCACTTTGTAGCCTTCGTTTGAAACGTCTATATCTTCACATCAAACCTAGACAGAAGCATTCTCAGAAAGTTTTCTGCGATGACTGCATTCAACTCACAGAGTTGAACAATCCTTCTGATGGAGCAGTTTTGAAACCCTCTTTCTTTGGAATCTGCAAGGGGATATGTGGACCTCTTTGAAGATTTCACTGGAAACGGGATCATCTTCACATAAAAACTAAACAGAAGCATTCTCGGGAAACTATTTTGTGATGTTTGCATTCAACTCCCAGAGTTGAACTTTCCTTTTGAAAGAGCAGCTATGAAACACTCTTTTTCGAGAATCTGCAAGTGGACGTTTGGAGGGCTTTGAGGCCTGTGGTGGAAAAGGAAATATCTTCACACAAAAACCAGATAGAAGCATTCTCAGAAACTACTTTGTGAGGATGGCATTCAACTCATGGAGTTGAACAATCCTATTGATAGAGCAGATTGGAATCACTCTTTTTATAGAATCTGCAAATGGAGATTTGGACTGCTTTGAGGCCTACGGTAGTACAGGAAGGAACTTCATATAAAAGGCAAACGGAAGCATTCTCAGAATATTCTTTGTGATGATGGAGTTTCACTCACAGAGCTGAACATGCCTTTTGATGGAGCAGTTTCCAAATACACTTTTGGTAGAATCTGCAGGTGGATATTTGGAGCTCTCCTGAGGATTTCGTTGGAAACGGGAATAATTTCCCATAACTAAACACAAAACACGCTGAGAAAGTTCTTCATGATGAATGCATTTAACTCGCAGAGATGAACCTGCCTTTGAGAGTTCAGGTTCGAAACACTCTTTCTGTAGAATCTGCAAGTGGATATTTGGACCACTGGCTGGCCTTCGTTCGAAACGGGTATATGTTCACGTAAAAACTAAAGAGAAGCGTTCACAGAAACTTCTGAGTGATGATTGCATTCAAGTCACACAGTTGAACCCTCGTTTTGATTGAGCAGTTTTGAAACTGTCTTTTTGTAGAATCTGTAAGTGGATGCGTGGACCTCTTTGAAGATTTCTTTGGAAACGGGAATATTTCCACAGAAAAACTAAACTGAAGCATTCTCAGAAACTGCTTTGTGATGTTTGTGTTCGAGCCACAGAGTTTAACATTGCTTTTCATAGAGCAGTTTTGAAATATTCTTTTGGCAGAATCTGCAAGTGGACATTTGGAGCGCTTTCAGGCCTGTGGTGGAAAAGGCCTGAAAGCCTTTTCCTTTATCTTCACAGAAAGACGAGAGAGAAGCATTGTCAGAAACTTCTTTGTGATGATTGCATTCAACTCACAGAGTTGATTTTCCTTTTGAAACAGCAGTTTCGAAACACTCTTTCTGTGGGATCCGCAAGGGGATATTTGGACCTCTTTGAAGATTTCGTTGGAAACGGGATAATCTTCACCTAAAAGCTAAACGGAAGCATTCTCAGAAACTTCTTTGGGATGTTTGCATTCACCTCACAGAGTTGAACTTTCCCTTTGATAGCGCAGCTTTGACACACTTTTTCTACAACGTGCAAGTGGCTATTTAGCGGGCTTGGAGGACTGTGTTGGAAAAGGAAATATCTTCTCCTAAAAACGACATAGAAGCATTCTCAGAAACTGCTCTGTGATGATTGCATTCAACTCCCAGAGTTGAACATTCCTTTTGATAGAGCAGTTTGCAAACACTCTTTTTGTAGAATCTGCAAGTGGAGATTTGGACCGCTTTGAGGCCTGTGGTAGTGAAGGAAAGAACTTCATATAAAAACCAGACGGTAGCACTCTCAGAAAATTCTTTGTGACGATGGAGTTTAACTCAGGGAGCTGAACATTCGTTATGATGGAGCAGTTTCCAAACACACGTTTTGTAGAATCTGCAAGGGGATATTTGGACCTCTCTGAGGATTTCGTTGGAAACGGGATCAACTTCCCATAACTGAACGGAAG
This sequence comes from Homo sapiens, assembly GCF_000001405.40. Taxonomy (NCBI): domain Eukaryota; kingdom Metazoa; phylum Chordata; class Mammalia; order Primates; family Hominidae; genus Homo; species Homo sapiens. The sequence continues at coordinate 62,167,056 of NC_000023.11, forward strand.
CAAACTCAGAACATTCTTTGTGATGTTTGTATTCAACTCACAGAGTTGAACCTTCCTTTGATAGTTCAGGTTTGCAACACCCTTGTAGTAGAATCTGCAAGTGTATATTTTGACCACTTTGTAGCCTTCATTTGAAACGTCTATATCTTCACATCAAACCTAGACAGAAGCATTCTCAGAAAGTTTTCTGCGATGACTGCATTCAACTCACAGAGTTGAACAATCCTTCTGATGGAGCAGTTTTGAAACCCTCTTTCTTTGGAATCTGCAAGGGGATATGTGGACCTCTTTGAAGATTTCACTGGAAACGGGATCATCTTCACATAAAAACTAAACAGAAGCATTCTCGGAAACTACTTTGTGATGTTTGTATTCAACTCCCAGAGTTGAACTTTCCTTTGGAAAGAGCAGCTATGAAACACTCTTTTTCGAGAATCTGCAAGTGGACGTTTGGAGGGCTTTGAGGCCTGTGGTGGAAAAGGAAATATCTTCACACAAAAACCAGATAGAAGCATTCTCAGAAACTACTTTGTGAGGATGGCATTCAACTCATGGAGTTGAACAATCCTATTGATAGAGCAGATTGGAATCACTCTTTTTATAGAATCTGCAAATGGAGATTTGGACTGCTTTGAGGCCTACGGTAGTACAGGAAGGAACTTCATATAAAAGGCAAACGGAAGCATTCTCAGAATATTCTTTGTGATGATGGAGTTTCACTGACAGAGCTGAACATGCCTTTTGATGGAGCAGTTTCCAAATACACTTTTGGTAGAATCTGCAGGTGGATATTTGGAGCTCTTTGAGGATTTCGTTGGAAACGGGAATAATTTCCCATAACTAAACACAAACACGCTGAGAAAGTTCTTCATGATGAATGCATTTAACTCGCAGAGATGAACCTGCCTTTGAGAGTTCAGTTTCGAAACACTCTTTCTGTAGAATCTGCAAGTGGATATTTGGACCACTGGGTGGCCTTCGTTCGAAACGGGTATATGTTCACGTAAAAACTAAAGAGAAGCATTCTCAGAAACTTCTGAGTGATGATTGCATTCAAGTCACACAGTTGAACCCTCCTTTTGATGGAGCAGTTTTGAAACTGTCTTTTTGTAGAATCTGTAAGTGGATACGTGGACCTCTTTGAAGATTTCTTTGGAAACGGGAATATTTCCACAGAAAAACTAAACTGAAGCATTCTCAGAAACCGCTTTGTGATGTTTGTGTTCGAGCCGCAGAGTTTAACATTGCTTTTCATAGAGCAGTTTTGAAATATTCTTTTCGCAGAATCTGCAAGTGGACATTTGGAGCGCTTTCAGGCCTGTGGTGGAAAAGGCCTGAAAGCCTTTTCCTTTATCTTCACAGAAAGACGAGAGAGAAGCATTGTCAGAAACTTCTTTGTGATGATTGCATTCAACTCACAGAGTTGAAGATTCCTTTTGAAACAGCAGTTTTGAAACACTCTTTCTGTGGGATCCGCAAGGGGATATTTGGACCTCTTTGAAGGTTTCGTTGGAAACGGGATAATCTTCACCTAAAAGCTAAACGGAAGCATTCTCAGAAACTTCTTTGGGATGTTTGCATTCACCTCACAGAGTCGAACTTTCCCTTTGATAGCGCAGCTTCGACACACTTTTTCTAAAATGTGCAAGTGGATATTTAGCGGGCTTGCAGGACTGTGTTGGAAAAGGAAATATCTTCTCCTAAAAACCACATAGAAGCATTCTCAAGAACTGCTCTGTGATGATTGCATTCAACTCCCAGAGTTGAACATTCCTTTTGATAGAGCAGTTTGCAAACACTCTTTTTGTAGAATCTGCAAGTGGAGATTTGGACCGCTTTGAGGCCTGTGGTAGTAAAGGAAAGAACTTCATATAAAAACTAGACGGTAGCACTCTCAGAAAATTCTTTGTGACGATGGAGTTTAACTCAGAGAGCTGAACATTCGTTATGATGGAGCAGTTTCCAAACACACGTTTTGCAGAATCTGCAAGGGGATATTTGGACCTCTCTGAGGATTTCGTTGGAAACGGGATCAACTTCCCATAACTGAACGGAAGCAAACTCAGAACATTCTTTGTGATGTATGTTTGTATTCAACTCACAGAGTTGAACCTTCCTTTGAGAGTTCAGGTTTGCAACACCCTTGTAGTAGAATCTGCAAGAGTATATTTTGACCACTTTGTAGCCTTCGTTTGAAACGTCTATATCTTCACATCAAACCTAGACAGAAGCATTCTCAGAAAGTTTTCTGCGATGACTGCATTCAACTCACAGAGTTGAACAATCCTTTTGATGGAGCAGTTTTGAAACCCTCTTTCTTTGGAATCTGCAAGGGGATATGTGGACCTCTTTGAAGATTTCACTGGAAACGGGATCATCTTCACATAAGAACTAAACAGAAGCATTCTCGGAAACTACTTTGTGATGTTTGTATTCAACTCCCAGAGTTGAACTTTCCTTGTGAAAGAGCAGCTATGAAACACTCTTTTTCGAGAATCTGCAAGTGGACGTTTGGAGGGCTTTGAGGCCTGTGGTGGAAAAGGAAATATCTTCACATAAAAACTAGATAGAAGCATTCTCAGAAACGACTTTGTGAGGATGGCATTCAACTCATGGAGTTGAACAATCCTATTGATAGAGCAGATTGGAATCACTCTTTTTGTAGAATCTGCAAATGGAGATTTGGACTGCTTTGAGGCCTACGGTAGTATAGGAAGGAACTTCATATAAAAGGCAAACGGAAGCATTCTCAGAATATTCTTTGTGATGATGGAGTTTCACTCACAGAGCTGAACATGCCTTTTGATGGAGCAGTTTCCAAATACACTTTTGGTAGAATCTGCAGGTGGATATTTGGACCTCTCTGAGGATTTCGTTGGAAACGGCAATAATTTCCCATAACTAAACACAAACACGCTGAGAAAGTTCTTCATGTTGAATGCATTGAACTCGCAGAGATGAACCTGCCTTTGAGAGTTCAGGTTCGAAACACTCTTTCTGTAGAATCTGCAAGTGGATATTTGGACCACTGGGTGGCCTTCGTTCGAAACGGGTATATGTTCACGTAAAAACTAAAGAGAAGCATTCTCAGAAACTTCTGAGTGATGATTGCATTCAAGTCACACAGTTGAACCCGCCTTTTGATTGAGCAGCTTTGAAACTGTCTTTTTGTAGAATCTGGAAGTGGATACGTGGACCTCTTTGAAGATTTCTTTGGAAATGGGAATATTTCCACAGAAAAACTAAACTGAAGCATTCTCAGAAACTGCGTTGTGATGTTGGTGTTCGAGCCGCAGAGTTTAACATTGCTTTTCATAGAGCAGTTTTGAAATATTCTTTTGGCAGAATCTGCAAGTGGACATTTGGAGCGCTTTCAGGCCTGTGGTGGAAAAGGCCTGAAAGCCTTTTCCTTTATCTTCACAGAAAGACGAGAGAGAAGCATTGTCAGAAACTTCTTTGTGATGATTGCATTCAACTCACAGAGTTGAAGATTCCTTTTGAAACAGCAGTTTCGAAACACTCTTTCTGTGGGATCCGCAAGGGGATATTTGGACCTCTTTGAAGATTTCGTTGGAAACGGGATAATCTTCACCTAAAAGCTAAACGGAAGCATTCTCAGAAACTTCTTTGGGATGTTTGCATTCACCTCACAGAGTTGAACTTTCCCTTTGATAGCGCAGCTTCGACCCACTTTTTCTACAATGTGCAAGTGGATATTTAGCGGGCTTGGAGGACTGTGTTGGAAAAGGAAATATCTTCTCCTAAAAACAACATAGAAGCATTCTCAGAAACTGCTCTGTGATGATTGCATTCAACTCCCAGAGTTGAACATTCCTTTTGATAGAGCAGTTTGCAAACACTCTTTTTGTAGAATCTGCAAGTGGAGATTTGGACCGCTTTGAGGCCTGTGGTAGTGAAGGAAAGAACTTCATATAAAAACCAGACGGTAGCACTCTCAGAAAATTCTTTGTGACGATGGAGTTTAACTCAGAGAGCTGAACATTCGTTATGATGGAGCAGTTTCCAAACACACGTTTTGTAGAATCTGCAAGGGGATATTTGGACCTCTCTGAGGAATTCGTAGGAAACGGGATCAACTTCCCATAACTGAACGGAAGCAAACTCAGAACATTCTTTGTGATGTTTGTATTCAACTCACAGAGTTGAACCTTCCTTTGATAGTTCAGGTTTGCATCACCCTTGTAGTAGAATCTGCAAGTGTATATTTTGACCACTTTGTAGCCTTTGTTTGAAACGTCTATATCTTCACATGAAACCGAGACAGAAGCATTCTCAGAAAGTTTTCTGCGATGACTGCATTCAACTCACAGAGTTGAACAATCCTTTTGATGGAGCAGTTTTGAAACCCTCTTTCTTTGGAATCTGCAAGGGGATATGTGGACCTACTTTGAAGATTTCACTGGAAACGGGATCATCTTCACATAAGAACTAAACAGAAGCATTCTCGGAAACTACTTTGTGATGTTTGTATTCAACTCCCAGAGTTGAACTTTCCTTTTGAAAGAGCAGCTATGAAACACTCTTTTTCGAGAATCTGCAAGTGGACGTTTGGAGGGCTTTGAGGCCTGTGGTGGAAAAGGAAATATCTTCACATAAAAACTAGATAGAAGCATTCTCAGAAACTACTTTGTGAGGATGGCATTCAACTCATGGAGTTGAACAATCCTATTGATAGAGCAGATTGGAATCACTCTTTTTGTAGAATCTGCAAATGGAGATTTGGACTGCTTTGAGGCCTACGGTCATATAGGAAGGAAATTCATATAAAAGGCAAACGGAAGCATTCTCAGAATATTCTTTGTGATGATGGAGTTTCACTCACAGAGCTGAACATGCCTTTTGATGGAGCAGTTTCCAAATACACTTTTGGTAGAATCTGCAGGTGGATATTTGGAGCTCTCTGAGGATTTCGTTGGAAACGGGAATAATTTCCCATAACTAAACACAAACACTCTGAGAAAGTTCTTCATGATGAATGCATTTAACTCGCAGAGATGAACCTGCCTTTGAGAGTTCAGGTTCGAAACACTCTTTCTGTAGAATCTGCAAGTGGATATTTGGACCACTGGGTGGCCTTCGTTCGAAACGGGTATACGTTCACGTAAAAGCTAAAGAGAAGCATTCTCAGAAACTTGTGAGTGATGATTGCATTCAAGTCACACAGTGGAACCCTCCTTTTGATGGAGCAGTTTTGAAACTGTCTTTTTGTAGAATCTGTAAGTGGATACGTGGACCTCTTTGAAGATTTCTTTGGAAACGGGAATATTTCCACAGAAAAACTAAACTGAAGCATTCTCAGAAACCGCTTTGTGATGTTTGTGTTCGAGCCGCAGAGTTTAACATTGCTTTTCATAGAGCAGTTTTGAAATATTCTTTTGGCAGAATCTGCAAGTGGACATTTGGAGCGCTTTCAGGCCTGTGGTGGAAAAGGCCTGAAAGCCTTTTCCTTTATCTTCACAGAAAGACGAGAGAGAAGCATTGTCAGAAACTTCTTTGTGATGATTGCATTCAACTCACAGAGTTGAAGATTCCTTTTGAAACAGCAGTTTCGAAACACTCTTTCTGTGGGATCCGCAAGGGGATATTTGGACCTACTTTGAAGGTTTCGTTGGAAACGGGATAATCTTCACCTAAAAGCTAAACGGAAGCATTCTCAGAAACTTCTTTGGGATGTTTGCATTCACCTCACAGAGTTGAACTTTCCCTTTGATAGCGCAGCTTTGACACACTTTTTCTACAATGTGCAAGTGGCTATTTAGCGGGCTTGGAGGACTGTGTTGGAAAAGGAAATATCTTCTCCTAAAAACGACATAGAAGCATTCTCAGAAACTGCTCTGTGATGATTGCATTCAACTCCCAGAGTTGAACATTCCTTTTGATAGAGCAGTTTGCAAACACTCTTTTTGTAGAATCTGCAAGTGGAGATTTGGACCGCTTTGAGGCCTGTGGTAGTGAAGGAAAGAACTTCATATAAAAACCAGACGGTAGCACTCTCAGAAAATTCTTTGTGACGATGGAGTTTAACTCAGGGAGCTGAACATTCGTTATGATGGAGCAGTTTCCAAACACACGTTTTGTAGAATCTGCAAGGGGATATTTGGACCTCTCTGAGGATTTCGCTGGAAACGGGATCAACTTCCCATAACTGAACGGAAGCAAACTCAGAACATTCTTTGTGATGTTTGTATTCAACTCACAGAGTTGAACCTTCCTTTGATAGTTCAGGTTTGCAACACCCTTGTAGTAGAATCTGCAAGTGTATATTTTGACCACTTTGTAGCCTTCGTTTGAAACGTCTATATCTTCACATCAAACCTAGACAGAAGCATTCTCAGAAAGTTTTCTACGATGACTGCATTCAACTCACAGAGTTGAACAATCCTTCTGATGGAGCAGTTTTGAAACCCTCTTTCTTTGGAATCTGCAAGGGGATATGTGGACCTCTTTGAAGATTTCACTGGAAACGGGATCATCTTCACATAAAAACTAAACAGAAGCATTCTCGGAAACTACTTTGTGATGTTTGTATTCAACTCCCAGAGTTGAACTTTCCTTTTGAAAGAGCAGCTATGAAACACTCCTTTTCGAGAATCTGCAAGTGGACGTTTGGAGGGCTTTGAGGCCTGTGGTGGAAAAGGAAATATCTTCACATAAAAACTAGATAGAAGCATTCTCAGAAACGACTTTGTGAGGATGGCATTCAACTCATGGAGTTGAACAATCCTATTGATAGAGCAGATTGGAATCACTCTTTTTGTAGAATCTGCAAATGGAGATTTGGACTGCTTTGAGGCCTACGGTCGTGTATGAAGGAACTTCAGATAAAAGGCAAACGGAAGCATTCTCAGAATATTCTTTGTGATGATGGAGTTTCACTCACAGAGCTGAACATGCCTTTTGATGGAGCAGTTTCCAAATACACTTTTGGTAGAATCTGCAGGTGGATATTTGGAGCTCTCTGAGGATTTCTTTGGAAACGGGAATAATTTCCCATAACTAAACACAAACACTCTGAGAAAGTTCTTCATGATGAATGCATTTAACTCGCAGAGATGAACCTGCCTTTGAGAGTTCAGGTTCGAAACACTCTTTCTGTAGAATCTGCAAGTGGATATTTGGACCACTGGGTGGCCTTCGTTCGAAACGGGTATATGTTCACGTAAAAACTAAAGAGAAGCATTCTCAGAAACTTCTGAGTGATGATTGCATTCAAGTCACACAGTTGAACCCTCCTTTTGATGGAGCAGTTTTGAAACTGTCTTTTTGTAGAATCTGTAAGTGGATGCGTGGACCTCTTTGAAGATTTCTTTGGAAACGGGAATATTTCCACAGAAAAACTAAACTGAAGCATTCTCAGAAACTGCTTTGTGATGTTTGTGTTCGAGCCACAGAGTTTAACATTGCTTTTCATAGAGCAGTTTTGAAATATTCTTTTCGCAGAATCTGCAAGTGGACATTTGGAGCGCTTTCAGGCCTGTGGTGGCAAAGGCCTGAAAGCCTTTTCCTTTATCTTCACAGAAAGACGAGAGAGAAGCATTGTCAGAAACTTCTTTGTGATGATTGCATTCAACTCACAGAGTTGAAGATTCCTTTTGAAACAGCAGTTTCGAAACACTCTTTCTGTGGGATCCGCAAGGGGATATTTGGACCTCTTTGAAGGTTTCGTTGGAAACGGGATAATCTTCACCTAAAAGCTAAACGGAAGCATTCTCAGAAACTTCTTTGGGATGTTTGCATTCACCTCACAGAGTTGAACTTTCCCTTTGATAGCGCAGCTTTGACACACTTTTTCTACAATGTGCAAGTGGCTATTTAGCGGACTTGGAGGACTGTGTTGGAAAAGGAAATATCTTCTCCTAAAAACGACATAGAAGCATTCTCAGAAACTGCTCTGTGATGATTGCATTCAACTCCCAGAGTTGAACATTCCTTTTGATAGAGCAGTTTGCAAACACTCTTTTTGTAGAATCTGCAAGTGGAGATTTGGACCGCTTTGAGGCCTGGGGTAGTGAAGGAAAGAGCTTCATATAAAAACCAGACGGTAGCACTCTCAGAAAATTCTTTGTGACGATGGAGTTTAACTCAGGGAGCTGAACATTCGTTATGATGGAGCAGTTTCCAAACACACGTTTTGTAGAATCTGCAAGGGGATATTTGGACCTCTCTGAGGATTTCGTTGGAAACGGGATCAACTTCCCATAACTGAACGGAAGCAAACTCAGAACATTCTTTGTGATGTTTGTATTCAACTCACAGAGTTGAAACTTCCTTTGATAGTTGAGGTTTGCAACACCCTTGTAGTAGAATCTGCAAGTGTATATTTTGACCACTTTGTAGCCTTCGTTTGAAACGTCTATATCTTCACCTCAAACCTAGACAGAAGCATTCTCAGAAAGTTTTCTGCGATGACTGCATTCAACTCACAGAGTTGAACAATCCTTTTGATGGAGCAGTTTTGAAACCCTCTTTCTTTGGAATCTGCAAGGGGATATGTGGACCTCTTTGAAGATTTCACTGGAAACGGGATCATCTTCACATAAGAACTAAACAGAAGCATTCTCGGAAACTACTTTGTGATGTTTGTATTCAACTCCCAGAGTTGAACTTTCCTTTTGAAAGAGCGGCTATGAAACAATCTTTTTCGAGAATCTGCAAGTGGACGTTTGGAGGGCTTTGAGGCCTGTGGTGGAAAAGGAAATATCTTCACATAAAAACTAGATAGAAGCATTCTCAGAAACGACTTTGTGAGGATGGCATTCAACTCATGGAGTTGAACAATCCTATTGATAGAGCAGATTGGAATCACTCTTTTGGTAGAATCTGCAAATGGAGATTTGAACTGCTTTGAGGCCTACGGTCGTATAGGAAGGAACTTCATATAAAAGGCAAACGGAAGCATTCTCAGAATATTCTTTGTGATGATGGAGTTTCACTCACAGAGCTGAACATGCCTTTTGATGGAGCAGTTTCCAAATACACTTTTGGTAGAATCTGCAGGTGGATATTTGGACCTCTCTGAGGATTTCGTTGGAAATGGGAATAATTTCCCAAACCTAAACACAAACACTCTGAGAAAGTTCTTCATGATGAATGCATTGAACTCGCAGAGATGAACCTGCCTTTGAGAGTTCAGGTTCGAAACACTCTTTCTGTAGAATCTGCAAGTGGATATTTGGACCACTGGGTGGCCTTCGTTCGAAACGCGTATATGTTCACGTAAAAACTAAAGAGAAGCATTCTCAGAACTTCTGAGTGATGATTGCATTCAAGTCACACAGTTGAACCCTCCTTTTGATGGAGCAGTTTTGAAACTGTCTTTTTGTAGAATCTGTAAGTGGATACGTGGACCTCTTTGAAGATTTCTTTGGAAACGGGAATATTTCCACAGAAAAACTAAACTGAAACATTCTCAGAAACCGCTTTGTGATGTTTGTGTTCCAGCCACAGAGTTTAACATTGCTTTTCATAGAGCAGTTTTGAAATATTCTTTTGGCAGAATCTGCAAGTGGACATTTGGAGCGCTTTCAGGCCTGTGGTGGAAAAGGCCTGAAAGCCTTTTCCTTTATCTTCACAGAAAGACGAGAGAGAAGCATTGTCAGAAACTTCTTTGTGATGATTGCATTCAACTCACAGAGTTGAAGATTCCTTTTGAAACAGCAGTTTCGAAACACTCTTTCTGTGGGATCCGCAAGGGGATATTTGGACCTCTTTGAAGGTTTCGTTGGAAACGGGATAATCTTCACCTAAAAGCTAAACGGAAGCATTCTCAGAAACTTCTTTGGGATGTTTGCATTCACCTCACAGAGTTGAACTTTCCCTTTGATAGCGCAGCTTTGACACACTTTTTCTACAATGTGCAAGTGGCTATTTAGCGGGCTTGGAGGACTGTGTTGGAAAAGGAAATATCTTCTCCTAAAAACGACATAGAAGCATTCTCAGAAACTGCTCTGTGATGATTGCATTCAACTCCCAGAGTTGAACATTCCTTTTGATAGAGCAGTTTGCAAACACTCTTTTTGTAGAATCTGCAAGTGGAGATTTGGACCGCTTTGAGGCCTGTGGTAGTGAAGGAAAGAACTTCATATAAAAACCAGACGGTAGCACTCTCAGAAAATTCTTTGTGACGATGGAGTTTAACTCAGGGAGCTGAACATTCGTTATGATGGAGCAGTTTCCAAACACACGTTTTGTAGAATCTGCAAGGGGATATTTGGACCTCTCTGAGGATTTCGTTGGAAACGGGATCAACTTCCCATAACTGAACGGAAGCAAACTCAGAACATTCTTTGTGATGTTTGTATTCAACTCACAGAGTTGAACCTTCCTTTGATAGTTCAGGTTTGCAACACCCTTGTAGTAGAATCTGCAAGTGTATATTTTGACCACTTTGTAGCCTTCGTTTGAACGTCTATATCTTCACATCAAACCTAGACAGAAGCATTCTCAGAAAGTTTTCTGCGATGACTGCATTCAACTCACAGAGTTGAACAATCCTTCTGATGGAGCAGTTTTGAAACCCTCTTTCTTTGGAATCTGCAAGGGGATATGTGGACCTCTTTGAAGATTTCACTGGAAACGGGATCATCTTCACATAAAAACTAAACAGAAGCATTCTCGGAAACTACTTTGTGATGTTTGTATTCAACTCCCAGAGTTGAACTTTCCTTTGGAAAGAGCAGCTATGAAACACTCTTTTTCGAGAATCTGCAAGTGGACGTTTGGAGGGCTTTGAGGCCTGTGGTGGAAAAGGAAATATCTTCACACAAAAACCAGATAGAAGCATTCTCAGAAACTACTTTGTGAGGATGGCATTCAACTCATGGAGTTGAACAATCCTATTGATAGAGCAGATTGGAATCACTCTTTTTATAGTATCTGCAAATGGAGATTTGGACTGCTTTGAGGCCTACGGTAGTACAGGAAGGAACTTCATATAAAAGGCAAACGGAAGCATTCTCAGAATATTCTTTGTGATGATGGAGTTTCACTCACAGAGCTGAACATGCCTTTTGATGGAGCAGTTTCCAAATACACTTTTGGTAGAATCTGCAGGTGGATATTTGGAGCTCTCTGAGGATTTCGTTGGAAACGGGAATAATTTCCCATAACTAAACACAAACACTCTGAGAAAGTTCTTCATGATGAATGCATTTAACTCGCAGAGATGAACCTGTCTTTGAGAGTTCAGGTTCGAAACACTCTTTCTGTAGAATCTGCAAGTGGATATTTGGACCACTGGCTGGCCTTCGTTCGAAACGGGTATAAGTTCACGTAAAAACTAAAGAGAAGCATTCTCAGAAACTTCTGAGTGATGATTGCATTCAAGTCACACAGTTGAACCCTCCTTTTGATGGAGCAGTTTTGAAACTGTCTTTTTGTAGAATCTGTAAGTGGATACGTGGACCTCTTTGAAGATTTCTTTGGAAACGGGAATATTTCCACAGAAAAACTAAACTGAAACATTCTCAGAAACCGCTTTGTGATGTTTGTGTTCCAGCCACAGAGTTTAACATTGCTTTTCATAGAGCAGTTTTGAAATATTCTTTTCGCAGAATCTGCAAGTGGACATTTGGAGCGCTTTCAGGCCTGTGGTGGAAAAGGCCTGAAAGCCTTTTCCTTTATCTTCACAGAAAGACGAGAGAGAAGCATTGTCAGAAACTTCTTTGTGATGATTGCATTCAACTCACAGAGTTGAAGATTCCTTTTGAAACAGCAGTTTCGAAACACTCTTTCTGTGGGATCCGCAAGGGGATATTTGGACCTCTTTGAAGGTTTCGTTGGAAACGGGATAATCTTCACCTAAAAGCTAAACGGAAGCATTCTCAGAAACTTCTTTGGGATGTTTGCATTCACCTCACAGAGTTGAACTTTCCCTTTGATAGCGCAGCTTTGACACACTTTTTCTACAATGTGCAAGTGGCTATTTAGCGGGCTTGGAGGACTGTGTTGGAAAAGGAAATATCTTCTCCTAAAAACGACATAGAAGCATTCTCAGAAACTGCTGTGTGATGATTGCATTCAACTCCCAGGGTTGAACATTCCTTTTGATAGAGCAGTTTGCAAACACTCTTTTTGTAGAATCTGCAAGTGGAGATTTGGACCGCTTTGAGGCCTATGGTAGTAAAGGAAAGAACTTCATATAAAAACCAGACGGTAGCACTCTCAGAAAATTCTTTGTGACGATGGAGTTTAACTCAGGGAGCTGAACATTCGTTATGATGGAGCAGTTTCCAAACACACGTTTTGTAGAATCTGCAAGGGGATATTTGGACCTCTCTGAGGATTTCGTTGGAAACGGGATCAACTTCCCATAACTGAACGGAAGCAAACTCAGAACATTCTTTGTGATGTTTGTATTCAACTCACAGAGTTGAACCTTCCTTTGATAGTTCAGGTTTGCAACACCCTTGTAGTAGAATCTGCAAGTGTATATTTTGACCACTTTGTAGCCTTCGTTTGAAACGTCTATATCTTCACATCAAACCTAGACAGAAGCATTCTCAGAAAGTTTTCTGCGTTGACTGCATTCAACTCACAGAGTTGAACAATCCTTCTGATGGAGCAGTTTTGAAACCCTCTTTCTTTGGAATCTGCAAGGGGATATGTGGACCTCTTTGAAGATTTCACTGGAAACGGGATCATCTTCACATAAAAACTAAACAGAAGCATTCTCGGAAACTACTTTGTGATGTTTGTATTCAACTCCCAGAGTTGAACTTTCCTTTTGAAAGAGCAGCTATGAAACACTCTTTTTCGAGAATCTGCAAGTGGACGTTTGGAAGGCTTTGAGGCCTGTGGTGGAAAAGGAAATATCTTCACATAAAAACTAGATAGAAGCATTCTCAGAAACGACTTTGTGAGGATGGCATTCAACTCATGGAGTTGAACAATCCTATTGATAGAGCAGATTGGAATCACTCTTTTTGTAGAATCTGCAAATGGAGATTTGGACTGCTTTGAGGCCTACGGTAGTACAGGAAGGAACTTCATATAAAAGGCAAACGGAAGCATTCTCAGAATATTCTTTGTGATGATGGAGTTTCACTCACAGAGCTGAACATGCCTTTTGATGGAGCAGTTTCCAAATACACTTTTGGTAGAATCTGCAGGTGGATATTTGGAGCTCTCTGAGGATTTCGTTGGAAACGGGAATAATTTCCCATAACTAAACACAAACACGCTGAGAAAGTTCTTCATGATGAATGCATTTAACTCGCAGAGATGAACCTGCCTTTGAGAGTTCAGGTTCGAAACACTCTTTCTGTAGAATCTGCAAGTGGATATTTGGACCACTGGGTGGCCTTCGTTCGAAACGGGTATATGTTCACGTAAAAACTAAAGAGAAGCATTCTCAGAAACTTCTGAGTGATGATTGCATTCAAGTCACACAGTTGAACCCTCGTTTTGATTGAGCAGTTTTGAAACTGTGTTTTTGTAGAATCTGTAAGTGGATGCGTGGACCTCTTTGAAGATTTCTTTGGAAACGGGAATATTTCCACAGAAAAACTAAACTGAAGCATTCTCAGAAACCGCTTTGTGATGTTTGTGTTCGAGCCGCAGAGTTTAACATTGCTTTTCATAGAGCAGTTTTGAAATATTCTTTTGGCAGAATCTGCAAGTGGACATTTGGAGCGCTTTCAGGCCTGTGGTGGCAAAGGCCTGAAAGCCTTTTCCTTTATCTTCACAGAAAGACGAGAGAGAAGCATTGTCAGAAACTTCTTTGTGATGATTGCATTCAACTCACAGAGTTGAAGATTCCTTTTGAAACAGCAGTTTCGAAACACTCTTTCTGTGGGATCCGCAAGGGGATATTTGGACCTCTTTGAAGGTTTCGTTGGAAACGGGATAATCTTCACCTAAAAGCTAAACGGAAGCATTCTCAGAAACTTCTTTGGGATGTTTGCATTCACCTCACAGAGTTGAACTTTCCCTTTGATAGCGCAGCTTTGACACACTTTTTCTACAATGTGCAAGTGGCTATTTAGCGGGCTTGGAGGACTGTGTTGGAAAAGGAAATATCTTCTCCTAAAAACGACATAGAAGCATTCTCAGAAACTGCTCTGTGATGATTGCATTCAACTCCCAGAGTTGAACATTCCTTTTGATAGAGCAGTTTGCAAACACTCTTTTTGTAGAATCTGGAAGTGGAGATTTGGACCGCTTTGAGGCCTGTGGTAGTGAAGGAAAGAGCTTCATATAAAAACCAGACGGTAGCACTCTCAGAAAATTCTTTGTGACGATGGAGTTTAACTCAGGGAGCTGAACATTCGTTATGATGGAGCAGTTTCCAAACACACGTTTTGTAGAATCTGCAAGGGGATATTTGGACCTCTCTGAGGATTTCGTTGGAAACGGGATCAACTTCCCATAACTGAACGGAAGCAAACTCAGAACATTCTTTGCGATGTTTGTATTCAACTCACAGAGTTGAACCTTCCTTTGATAGTTCAGGTTTGCAACACCCTTGTAGTACAATCTGCAAGTGTATATTTTGACCACTTTGTAGTCTTCGTTTGAAACGTCTATATCTTCACATCAAACCTAGACAGAAGCATTCTCAGAAAGTTTTCTGCGATGACTGCATTCAACTCACAGAGTTGAACAATCCTTCTGATGGAGCAGTTTTGAAACCCTCTTTCTTTGGAATCTGCAAGGGGATATGTGGACCTCTTTGAAGATTTCACTGGAAACGGGATCATCTTCACATAAAAACTAAACAGAAGCATTCAAGGAAACTACTTTGTGATGTTTGTATTCAACTGCCAGAGGTGAACTTTCCTTTTCAAAGAGCAGCTATGAAACACTCTTTTTCGAGAATCTGCAAGTGGACGTTTGGAGGGCTTTGAGGCCTGTGGTGGAAAAGGAAATATCTTCACATAAAAACTAGATAGAAGCATTCTCAGAAACTACTTTGTGAGGATGGCATTCAACTCATGGAGTTGAACAATCCTATTGATAGAGCAGATTGGAATCACTCTTTTTGTAGAATCTGCAAATGGAGATTTGGACTGCTTTGAGGCCTACGGTCGTATAGGAAGGAACTTCATATAAAAGGCAAACGGAAGCATTCTCAGAATATTCTTTGTGATGATGGAGTTTCACTCACAGAGCTGAACATGCCTTTTGATGGAGCAGTTTCCAAATACACTTTTGGTAGAATCTGCAGGTGGATATTTGGAGCTCTTTGAGGATTTCGTTGGAAACGGGAATAATTTCCCAAAACTAAACACAAACACGCTGAGAAAGTTCTTCATGATGAATGCATTTAACTCGCAGAGATGAACCTGCCTTTGAGAGTTCAGGTTCGAAACACTCTTTCTGTATAATCTGCAAGTGGATATTTGGACCACTGGGTGGCCTTCGTTCGAAACGGGTATATGTTCACGTAAAAACTAAAGAGAAAGCATTCTCAGAAACTTCTGAGTGATGATTGCATTCAAGTCACACAGTTGAACCCTCCTTTTGATGGAGCAGTTTTGAAACTGTCTTTTTGTAGAATCTGTAAGTGGATACGTGGACCTCTTTGAAGATTTCTTTGGAAACGGGAATATTTCCACAGAAAAACTAAACTGAAGCATTCTCAGAAACCGCTTTGTGATGTTTGTGTTCGAGCCACAGAGTTTAACATTGCTTTTCATAGAGCAGTTTTGAAATATTCTTTTGGCAGAATCTGCAAGTGGACATTTGGAGCGCTTTCAGGCCTGTGGTGGAAAAGGCCTGAAAGCCTTTTCCTTTACCTTCACAGAAAGACGAGAGAGAAGCATTGTCAGAAACTTCTTTGCGATGATTGCATTCAACTCACAGAGTTGAAGATTCCTTTTGAAACAGCAGTTTCGAAACACTCTTTCTGTGGGATCCGCAAGGGGATATTTGGACCTCTTTGAAGGTTTCGTTGGAAACGGGATAATCTTCACCTAAAAGCTCAACGGAAGCATTCTCAGAAACTTCTTTGGGATGTTTGCATTCACCTCACAGAGTTGAACTTTCCCTTTGATAGCGCAGCTTTGACACACTTTTTCTACAATGTGCAAGTGGCTATTTAGCGGGCTTGGAGGACTGTGTTGGAAAAGGAAATATCTTCTCCTAAAAACGACATAGAAGCATTCTCAGAAACTGCTCTGTGATGATTGCATTCAACTCCCAGAGTTGAACATTCCTTTTGATAGAGCAGTTTGCAAACACTCTTTTTGTAGAATCTGCAAGTGGAGATTTGGACCGCTTTGAGGCCTGTGGTAGTGAAGGAAAGAACTTCATATAAAAACCAGACGGTAGCACTCTCAGAAAATTCTTTGTGACGATGGAGTTTAACTCAGGGAGCTGAACATTCGTTATGATGGAGCAGTTTCCAAACACACGTTTTGTAGAATCTGCAAGGGGATATTTGGACCTCTCTGAGGATTTCGTTGGAAACGGGATCAACTTCCCATAACTGAACGGAAGCAAACTCAGAACATTCTTTGTGATGTTTGTATTCAACTCACAGAGTTGAACCTTCCTTTGATAGTTGAGGTTTGCAACACCCTTGTAGTAGAATCTGCAAGTGTATATTTTGACCACTTTGTAGCCTTCGTTTGAAACGTCTATATCTTCACCTCAAACCTAGACAGAAGCATTCTCAGAAAGTTTTCTGCGATGACTGCATTCAACTCACAGAGTTGAACAATCCTTTTGATGGAGCAGTTTTGAAACCCTCTTTCTTTGGAATCTGCAAGGGGATATGTGGACCTCTTTGAAGATTTCACTGGAAACGGGATCATCTTCACATAAGAACTAAACAGAAGCATTCTCGGAAACTACTTTGTGATGTTTGTATTCAACTCCCAGAGTTGAACTTTCCTTTTGAAAGAGCAGCTATGAAACACTCTTTTTCGAGAATCTGCAAGTGGACGTTTGGAGGGCTTTGAGGCCTGTGGTGGAAAAGGAAATATCTTCACATAAAAACAAGATAGAAGCATTCTCAGAAACGACTTTGTGAGGATGGCATTCAACTCATGGAGTTGAACAATCCTATTGATAGAGCAGATTGGAATCACTCTTTTTGTAGAATCTGCAAATGGAGATTTGGACTGCTTTGAGGCCTACGGTCGTATGGGAAGGAACTTCATATAAAAGGCAAACGGAAGCATTCTCAGAATATTCTTTGTGATGATGGAGTTTCACTCACAGAGCTGAACATGCCTGTTGTTGGAGCAGTTTCCAAATACACTTTTGGTAGAATCTGCAGGTGGACATTTGGACCTCTCTGAGGATTTCGTTGGGAAAAGGAGTAATTTCCCATAACTAAACACAAACACTCTGAGAAAGTTCTTCATGATGAATGCATTTAACTCGCAGAGATGAACCTGCCTTTGAGAGTTCAGGTTCGAAACACTCTTTCTGTAGAATCTGCAAGTGGATATTTGGACCACTGGGTGGCCTTCGTTCGAAACGGGTATATGTTCACGTAAAAACTAAAGAGAAGCATTCTCAGAAACTTCTGAGTGATGATTGCATTCAAGTCACACGGGTTGAACCCTCCTTTTGATTGAGCAGTTTTGAAACTGTCTTTTTGTAGAATCTGTAAGTGGATACGTGGACCTCTTTGAAGATTTCTTTGGAAACGGGAATATTTCCACAGAAAAACTAAACTGAAGCATTCTCAGAAACCGCTTTGTGATGTTTGTGTTCGAGCCACAGAGTTTAACATTGCTTTTCATAGAGCAGTTTTGAAATATTCTTTTCGCAGAATCTGCAAGTGGACATTTGGAGCGCTTTCAGGCCTGTGGTGGAAAAGGCCTGAAAGCCTTTTCCTTTATCTTCACAGAAAGACGAGAGAGAAGCATTGTCAGAAACTTCTTTGTGATGATTGCATTCAACTCACAGAGTTGAAGATTCCTTTTGAAACAGCAGTTTCGAAACACTCTTTCTGTGGGATCCGCAAGGGGATATTTGGACCTCTTTGAAGGTTTCGTTGGAAACGGGATAATCTTCACCTAAAAGCTAAACGGAAGCATTCTCAGAAACTTCTTTGGGATGTTTGCATTCACCTCACAGAGTTGAACTTTCCCTTTGATAGCGCAGCTTTGACACACTTTTTCTACAATGTGCAAGGGGCTATTTAGCGGGCTTGGAGGACTGTGTTGGAAAAGGAAATATCTTCTCCTAAAAACGACATAGAAGCATTCTCAGAAACTGCTCTGTGATGATTGCATTCAACTCCCAGAGTTGAACATTCCTTTTGATAGAGCAGTTTGCAAACACTCTTTTTGTAGAATCTGCAAGTGGAGATTTGGACCGCTTTGAGGCCTGTGGTAGTGAAGGAAAGAACTTCATATAAAAACCAGACGGTAGCACTCTCAGAAAATTCTTTGTGACGATGGAGTTTAACTCAGGGAGCTGAACATTCGTTATGATGGAGCAGTTTCCAAACACACGTTTTGTAGAATCTGCGAGGGGATATTTGGACCTCTCTGAGGATTTCGTTGGAAACGGGATCAACTTCCCATAACTGAACGGAAGCAAACTCAGAACATTCTTTGTGATGTTTGTATTCAACTCACAGAGTTGAACCTTCCTTTGATAGTTCAGGTTTGCAACACCCTTGTAGTAGAATCTGCAAGTGTATATTTTGACCACTTTGTAGCCTTCGTTTGAAACGTCTATATCTTCACATCAAACCTAGACAGAAGCATTCTCAGAAAGTTTTCTGCGATGACAGCATTCAACTCACAGAGTTGAACAATCCTTCTGATGGAGCAGTTTTGAAACCCTCTTTCTTTGGAATCTGCAAGGGGATATGTGGACCTCTTTGAAGATTTCACTGGAAACGGGATCATCTTCACATAAAAACTAAACAGAAGCATTCTCGGAAACTACTTTGTGATGTTTGTATTCAACTCCCAGAGTTGAACTTTCCTTTTGAAAGAGCAGCTATGAAACACTCTTTTTCGAGAATCTGCAAGTGGACGTTTGGAGGGCTTTGAGGCCTGTGGTGGAAAAGGAAATATCTTCACATAAAAACTAGATAGAAGCATTCTCAGAAACGACTTTGTGAGGATGGCATTCAACTCATGGAGTTGAACAATCCTATTGATAGAGCAGATTGGAATCACTCTTTTTGTAGAATCTGCAAATGGAGATTTGGACTGCTTTGAGGCCTACGGTAGTATAGGAAGGAACTTCATATAAAAGGCAAACGGAAGCATTCTCAGAATATTCTTTGTGATGATGGAGTTTCACTCACAGAGCTGAACATGCCTTTTGATGGAGCAGTTTCCAAATACACTTTTGGTAGAATCTGCAGGTGGATATTTGGAGCTCTCTGAGGATTTCGTTGGAAACGGGAATAATTTCCCATAACTAAACACAAACACGCTGAGAAAGTTCTTCATGATGAATGCATTTAACTCGCAGAGATGAACCTGCCTTTGAGAGTTCAGGTTTGAAACACTCTTTCTGTAGAATCTGCAAGTGGATATTTGGACCACTGGCTGGCTTTCGTTCGAAACGGGTATATGTTCACGTAAAAACTAAAGAGAAGCGTTCTCAGAAACTTCTGAGTGATGATTGCATTCAAGTCACACAGTTGAACCCTCCTTTTGATTGAGCAGTTTTGAAACTGTCTTTTTGTAGAATCTGTAAGTGGATGCGTGGACCTCTTTGAAGATTTCTTTGGAAACGGGAATATTTCCACAGAAAAACTAAACTGAAGCATTCTCAGAAACTGCTTTGTGATCTTTGTGTTCGAGCCACAGAGTTTAACATTGCTTTTCATAGAGCAGTTTTGAAATATTCTTTTGGCAGAATCTGCAAGTGGACATTTGGAGCCCTTTCAGGCCTGTGGTGGAAAAGGCCTGAAAGCCTTTTCCTTAATCTTCACAGAAAGACGAGAGAGAAGCATTGTCAGAAACTTCTTTGTGATGATTGCATTCAACTCACAGAGTTGAAGATTCCTTTTGAAACAGCAGTTTCGAAACACTCTTTCTGTGGGGTCCACAAGGGGATATTTGGACCTCTTTGAAGGTTTCGTTGGAAACGGGATAATCTTCACCTAAAAGCTAAACGGAAGCATTCTCAGAAACTTCTTTGGGATGTTTGCATTCACCTCACAGAGTTGAACTTTCCCTTTGATAGCGCAGCTTTGACACACTTTTTCTACAATGTGCAAGTGGCTATTTAGCGGGCTTGGAGGACTGTGTTGGAAAAGGAAATATCTTCTCCTAAAAACGACATAGAAGCATTCTCAGAAACTGCTCTGTGATGATTGCATTCAACTCCCAGAGTTGAACATTCCTTTTGATAGAGCAGTTTGCAAACACTCTTTTTGTAGAATCTGCAAGTGGAGATTTGGACCGCTTTGAGGCCTGTGGTAGTGAAGGAAAGAGCTTCATATAAAAACCAGACGGTAGCACTCTCAGAAAATTCTTTGTGACGATGGAGTTTAACTCAGGGAGCTGAACATTCGTTATGATGGAGCAGTTTCCAAACACACGTTTTGTAGAATCTGCAAGGGGATATTTGGACCTCTCTGAGGATTTCGTTGGAAACGGGATCAACTTCCCATAACTGAACGGAAGCAAACTCAGAACATTCTTTGCGATGTTTGTATTCAACTCACAGAGTTGAACCTTCCTTTGATAGTTAAGGTTTGCAACACCCTTGTAGTAGAATCTGCAAGTGTATATTTTGACCACTTTGTAGCCTTCGTTTGAAACGTCTATATCTTCACATCAAACCTAGACAGAAGCATTCTCAGAAAGTTTTCTGCGATGACTGCATTCAACTCACGGAGTTGAACAATCCTTTTGATGGAGCAGTTTTGAAACCCTCTTTCTTTGGAATCTGCAAGGGGATATGTGGACCTCTTTGAAGATTTCACTGGAAACGGGATCATCTTCACATAAGAACTAAACAGAAGCATTCTCGGAAACTACTTTGTGATGTTTGTATTCAACTCCCAGAGTTGAACTTTCCTTTTGAAAGAGCAGCTATGAAACACTCTTTTTCGAGAATCTGCAAGTGGACGTTTGGAGGGCTTTGAGGCCTGTGGTGGAAAAGGAAATATCTTCACATAAAAACTAGAATAGAAGCATTCTCAGAAACGACTTTGTGAGGATGGCATTCAACTCATGGAGTTGAACAATCCTATTGATAGAGCAGATTGGAATCACTCTTTTTGTAGAATCTGCAAATGGAGATTTGCACTGCTTTGAGGCCTACGGTCGTATAGGAAGGAACTTCATATAAAAGGCAAACGGAAGCATTCTCAGAATATTCTTTGTGATGATGGAGCTTCACTGACAGAGCTGAACATGCCTTTTGATGGAGCAGTTTCCAAATACACTTTTGGTAGAATCTGCAGGTGGATATTTGGAGCTCTCTGAGGATTTCGTTGGAAACGGGAATAATTTCCCATAACTAAACACAAACACTCTGAGAAAGTTCTTCATGATGAATGCATTTAACTCGCAGAGATGAACCTGCCTTTGAGAGTTCAGGTTCGAAACACTCTTTCTGTATAATCTGCAAGTGGATATTTGGACCACTGGGTGGCTTCGTTCGAAACGGGTATATGTTCACGTAAAAACTAAAGAGAAAGCATTCTCAGAAACTTCTGAGTGATGATTGCATTCAAGTCACACAGTTGAACCCTCCTTTTGATGGAGCAGTTTTGAAACTGTCTTTTTGTAGAATCTGTAAGTGGATACGTGGACCTCTTTGAAGATTTCTTTGGAAACGGGAATATTTCCACAGAAAAACTAAACTGAAACATTCTCAGAAACCGCTTTGTGATGTTTGTGTTCCAGCCACAGAGTTTAACATTGCTTTTCATAGAGCAGTTTTGAAATATTCTTTTGGCAGAATCTGCAAGTGGACATTTGGAGCGCTTTCAGGCCTGTGGTGGAAAAGGCCTGAAAGCCTTTTCCTTTATCTTCACAGAAAGACGAGAGAGAAGCATTGTCAGAAACTTCTTTGTGATGATTGCATTCAACTCACAGAGTTGAAGATTCCTTTTGAAACAGCAGTTTCGAAACACTCTTTCTGTGGGATCCGCAAGGGGATATTTGCACCTCTTTGAAGGTTTCGTTGGAAACGGGATAATCTTCACCTAAAAGCTAAACGGAAGCATTCACAGAAACTTCTTTGGGATGTTTGCATTCACCTCACAGAGTTGAACTTTCCCTTTGATAGCGCAGCTTCGACACACTTTTTCTACAATCTGCAAGTGGATATTTAGCGGGCTTGGAGCACTGTGTTGGAAAAGGAAATATCTTCTCCTAAAAACGACATAGAAGCATTCTCAGAAACTGCTCTGTGATGATTGCATTCAACTCCCAGAGTTGAACATTCCTTTTGATAGAGCAGTTTGCAAACACTCTTTTTGTAGAATCTGCAAGTGGAGATTTGGACCGCTTTGAGGCCTGTGGTAGTGAAGGAAAGAGCTTCATATAAAAACCAGACGGTAGCACTCTCAGAAAATTCTTTGTGACGATGGAGTTTAACTCAGAGAGCTGAACATCCGTTATGATGGAGCAGTTTCCAAACACACGTTTTGTAGAATCTGCAAGGGGATATTTGGACCTCTCTGAGGATTTCGTTGGAAACGGGATCAACTTCCCATAACTGAACGGAAGCAAACTCAGAACATTCTTTGTGATGTTTGTATTCAACTCACAGAGTTGAACCTTCCTTTGATAGTTCAGGTTTGCAACACCCTTGTAGTAGAATCTGCAAGTGTATATTTTGACCACTTTGTAGCCTTCGTTTGAAACGTCTATATCTTCACATCAAACCTAGACAGAAGCATTCTCAGAAAGTTTGCTGTGATGACTGCATTCAACTCACAGAGTTGAACAATCCTTTTGATGGAGCAGTTTTGAAACCATCTTTCTTTGGAATCTGCAAGGGGATATGTGGACCTCTTTGAAGAATTCACTGGAAACGGGATCATCTTCACATAAAAACTAAACAGAAGATTCTCGGAAACTACTTTGTGATGTTTGTATTCAACTCCCAGAGTTGAACTTTCCTTTTGAAAGAGCAGCTATGAAACACTCTTTTTCGAGAATCTGCAAGTGGACATTTGGAGGGCTTTGAGGCCTGTGGTGGAAAAGGAAATATCTTCACATAAAAACTAGATAGAAGCATTCTCAGAAACGACTTTGTGAGGATGGCATTCAACTCATGGAGCTGAACAATCCTATTGATAGAGCAGATTGGAATCACTCTTTTTGTAGAATCTGCAAATGGAGATTTGGACTGCTTTGAGGCCTACGGTAGTATAGGAAGGAACTTCATATAAAAGGCAAACGGAAGCATTCTCAGAATATTCTTTGTGATGATGGAGTTTCACTCACAGAGCTGAACATGCCTTTTGATGGAGCAGTTTCCAAATACACTTTTGGTAGAATCTGCAGGTGGATATTTGGAGCTCTCTGAGGATTTCGTTGGAAAAGGGAATAATTTCCCATAACTAAACACAAACACTCTGAGAAAGTTCTTCATGATGAATGCATTTAACTCGCAGAGATGAACCTGCCTTTGAGAGTTCAGGTTCGAAACACTCTTTCTGTAGAATCTGCAAGTGGATATTTGGACCACTGGCTGGCCTTCGTTCGAAACGGGTATATGTTCACGTAAAAACTAAAGAGAAGCATTCTCAGAAACTTGTGAGTGATGATTGCATTCAAGTCACACAGTTGAACCCTCCTTTTGATGGAGCAGTTTTGAAACTGTCTTTTTGTAGATTCTGTAAGTGGATACGTGGACCTCTTTGAAGATTTCTTTGGAAACGGGAATATTTCCACAGAAAAACTAAACTGAAGCATTCTCAGAAACCGCTTTGTGATGTTTGTGTTCGAGCCACAGAGTTTAACATTGCTTTTCATAGAGCAGTTTTGAAATATTCTTTTCGCAGAATCTGCAAGTGGACATTTGGAGCGCTTTCAGGCCTGTGGTGGAAAAGGCCTGAAAGCCTTTTCCTTTATCTTCACAGAAAGACGAGAGAGAAGCATTGTCAGAAACTTCTTTGTGATGATTGCATTCAACTCACAGAGTTGAAGATTCCTTTTGAAACAGCAGTTTCGAAACACTCTTTCTGTGGGATCCGCAGGGGGATATTTGGACCTCTTTGAAGATTTCGTTGGAAACGGGATAATCTTCACCTAAAAGCTAAACGGAAGTATTCTCAGAAACTTCTTTGGGATGTTTGCATTCACCTCACAGAGTTGAACTTTCCCTTTGATAGCGCAGCTTCGACACACTTTTTCTACAATGTGCAAGTGGATATTTAGCGGGCTTGGAGGACTGTGTTGGAAAAGGAAATATCTTCTCCTAAAAACGACATAGAAGCATTCTCAGAAACTGCTCTGTGATGATTGCATTCAACTCCCAGAGTTGAACATTCCTTTTGATAGAGCAGTTTGCAAACACTCTTTTTGTAGAATCTGCAAGTGGAGATTTGGACCGCTTTGAGGCCTGTGGTAGTGAAGGAAAGAACTTCATATAAAAACCAGACGGTAGCACTCTCAGAAAATTCTTTGTGACGATGGAGTTTAACTCAGGGAGCTGAACATTCGTTATGATGGAGCAGTTTCCAAACACACGTTTTGTAGAATCTGCGAGGGGATATTTGGACCTCTCTGAGGATTTCTTTGGAAACGGGATCAACTTCCCATAACTGAACGGAAGCAAACTCAGAACATTCTTTGTGATGTTTGTATTCAATTCACAGAGTTGAACCTTCCTTTGATAGTTCAGGTTTGCAACACCCTTGTAGTAGAATCTGCAAGTGTATATTTTGACCACTTTGTAGCCTTCGTTTGAAACGTCTATATCTTCACATCAAACCTAGACAGAAGCATTCTCAGAAAGTTTTCTGCGATGACTGCATTCAACTCACAGAGTTGAACAATCCTTTTGATGGAGCAGTTTTGAAACCCTCTTTCTTTGGAATCTGCAAGGGGATATGTGGACCTCTTTGAAGATTTCACTGGAAACGGGATCATCTTCACATAAGAACTAAACAGAAGCATTCTCGGAAACTACTTTGTGATGTTTGTATTCAACTCCCAGAGTTGAACTTTCCTTTTGAAAGAGCAGCTATGAAACACTCTTTTTTGAGAATCTGCAAGCGGACGTTTGGAGGGCTTTGAGGCCTGTGGTGGAAAAGGAAATATCTTCACATTAAAACTAGATAGAAGCATTCTCAGAAACGACTTTGTGAGGATGGCATTCAACTCATGGAGTTGAACAATCCTATTGATAGAGCAGATTGGAATCAGTCTTTTTGTAGAATCTGCAAATGGAGATTTGGACTGCTTTGTGGCCTATGGTAGTATAGGAAGGAACTTCATATAAAAGGCAAACGGAAGCATTCTCAGCAATATTCTTTGTGATGATGGAGTTTCACTCACAGAGCTGAACATGCCTTTTGATGGAGCAGTTTCCAAATACACTTTTGGTAGAATCTGCAGGTGGATATTTGGAGCTCTCTGAGGATTTCGTTGGAAACGGGAATAATTTCCCATAACTAAACACAAACACGCTGAGAAAGTTCTTCATGATGAATGCATTGAACTCGCAGAGATGAACCTGCCTTTGAGAGTTCAGGTTCGAAACACTCTTTCTGTAGAATCTGCAAGTGGATATTTGGACCACTGGCTGGCCTTCGTTCGAAACGGGTATATGTTCACGTAAAAACTAAAGAGAAGCGTTCTCAGAAACTTCTGAGTGATGATTGCATTCAAGTCACACAGTTGAACCCTCCTTTTGATTGAGCAGTTTTGAAACTGTCTTTTTGTAGAATCTGTAAGTGGATGCGTGGACCTCTTTGAAGATTTCTTTGGAAACGGGAATATTTCCACAGAAAAACTAAACTGAAGCATTCTCAGAAACTGCTTTGTGATGTTTGTGTTCGAGCCACAGAGTTTAACATTGCTTTTCATAGAGCAGTTTTGAAATATTCTTTTGGCAGAATCTGCAAGTGGACATTTGGAGCGCTTTCAGGCCTGCGATGGAAAAGGCCTGAAAGCCTTTTCCTTTATCTTCACAGAAAGACGAGAGAGAAGCATTGTCAGAAACTTCTTTGTGATGATTGCATTCAACTCACAGAGTTGAAGATTCCTTTTGAAACAGCAGTTTCGAAACACTCTTTCTGTGGGATCCGCAAGGGGATATTTGGACCTCTTTGAAGATTTCGTTGGAAACGGGATAATCTTCACCTGAAAGCTAAACGGAAGCATTCTCAGAAACTTCTTTGGGATGTTTGCATTCACCTCACAGAGTTGAACTTTCCCTTTGATAGCGCAGCTTCGACACACTTTTTCTATAATGTGCAAGTGGATATTTAGCGGGCTTGGAGGACTGTGTTGGAAAAGGAAATATCTTCTCCTAAAAACGACATAGAAGCATTCTCAGAAACTGCTCTGTGATGATTGCATTCAACTCCCAGAGTTGAACATTCCTTTTGATAGAGCAGTTTGCAAACACTCTTTTTGTAGAATCTGCAAGTGGAGATTTGGACCGCTTTGAGGCCTGTGGTAGTGAAGGAAAGAACTTCATATAAAAACCAGACGGTAGCACTCTCAGAAAATTCTTTGTGACGATGGAGTTTAACTCAGAGAGCTGAACATTCGTTATGATGGAGCAGTTTCCAAACACACGTTTTGTAGAATCTGCAAGGGGATATTTGGTCCTCTCTGAGGATTTCGTTGGGAACGGGATCAACTTCCCATAACTGAACGGAAGCAAACTCAGAACATTCTTTGTGATGTTTGTATTCAACTCACAGAGTTGAACCTTCCTTTGATAGTTCAGGTTTGCAACACCCTTGTAGTAGAATCTGCAAGTGTATATTTTGACCACTTTGTAGCCTTCGTTTGAAACGTCTATATCTTCACCTCAAACCTAGACAGAAGCATTCTCAGAAAGTTTTCTGCGATGACTGCATTCAACTCACAGAGTTGAACAATCCTTCTGATGGAGCAGTTTTGAAACCCTCTTTCTTTGGAATCTGCAAGGGGATATGTGGACCTCTTTGAAGATTTCACTGGAAACGGGATCATCTTCACATAAAAACTAAACAGAAGCATTCTCGGAAACTACTTTGTGATGTTTGTATTCAACTCCCAGAGTTGAACTTTCCTTTTGAAAGAGCAGCTATGAAACACTCTTTTTCGAGAATCTGCAAGTGGACGTTTGGAGGGCTTTGAGGCCTGTGGTGGAAAAGGAAATATCTTCACACAAACACCAGATAGAAGCATTCTCATAAACTGCTTTGTGAGGATGGCATTCAACTCATGGAGTTCAACAATCCTATTGATAGAGCAGATTGGAATCACTCTTTTTGTAGAATCTGCAAATGGAGATTTGGACTGCTTTGAGGCCTACGGTAGTACAGGAAGGAACTTCATATAAAAGGCAAACGGAAGCATTCTCAGAATGTTCTTTGTGATGATGGAGTTTCACTCACAGAGCTGAACATGCCTGTTGATGGAGCAGTTTCCAAATACACTTTTGGTAGAATCTGCAGGTGGATATTTGGAGCTCTCTGAGGATTTCATTGGAAACGGGAATAATTTCCCATAACTAAACACAAACACTCTGAGAAAGTTCTTCATGATGAATGCATTTAACTCGCAGAGATGAACCTGCCTTTGAGAGTTCAGGTTCGAAACACTCTTTCTGTAGAATCTGCAAGTGGATATTTGGACCACTGGCTGGCCTTCGTTCGAAACGGGTATATGTTCACGTAAAAACTAAAGAGAAGCGTTCTCAGAAACTTCTGAGTGATGATTGCTTTCAAGTCACACAGTTGAACCCTCCTTTTGATTGAGCAGTTTTGAAACTGTCTTTTTGTAGAATCTGTAAGTGGATGCGTGGACCTCTTTGAAGATTTCTTTGGAAACGGGAATATTTCCACAGAAAAACTAAACTGAAGCATTCTCAGAAACTGCTTTGTGATGTTTGTGTTCGAGCCGCAGAGTTTAACATTGCTTTTCATAGAGCAGTTTTGAAATATTCTTTTGGCAGAATCTGCAAGTGGACATTTGGAGCGCTTTCAGGCCTGTGATGGAAAAGACCTGAAAGCCTTTTCCTATATCTTCACAGAAAGACGAGAGAGAAGCATTGTCAGAAACTTCTTTGTGATGATTGCATTCAACTCACAGAGTTGAAGATTCCTTTTGAAACAGCAGTTTCGAAACACTCTTTCTGTGGGATCCGCAAGGGGATATTTGGACCTCTTTGAAGGTTTCGTTGGAAACGGGATAATCTTCACCTAAAAGCTAAACGGAAGCATTCTCAGAAACTTCTTTGGGATGTTTGCATTCACCTCACAGAGTTGAACTTTCCCTTTGATAGCGCAGCTTTGACACACTTTTTCTACAATGTGCAAGTGGCTATTTAGCGGGCTTGGAGGACTGTGTTGGAAAAGGAAATATCTTCTCCTAAAAACGACATAGAAGCATTCTCAGAAACTGCTCTGTGATGATTGCATTCAACTCCCAGAGTTGAACATTCCTTTTGATAGAGCAATTTGCAAACACTCTTTTTGTAGAATCTGCAAGTGGAGATTTGGACCGCTTTGAGGCCTGTGGTAGTAAAGGAAAGAACTTCATATAAAAAGTAGACGGTAGCACTCTCAGAAAATTCTTTGTGACGATGGAGTTTAACTCAGGGAGCTGAACATTCGTTATGATGGAGCAGTTTCCAAACACACGTTTTGTAGAATCTGCAAGGGGATATGTGGACCTCTCTGAGGATTTCGTTGGAAACGGGATCAACTTCCCATAACTGAACGGAAGCAAACTCAGAACATTTTTTGTGATGTTTGTATTCAACTCACAGAGTTGAACCTTCCTTTGATAGTTCAGGTTTGCAACACCCTTGTAGTAGAATCTGCAAGTGTATATTTTGACCACTTTGTAGCCTTCGTTTGAAACGTCTATATCTTCACATCAAACCTAGACAGAAGCATTCTCAGAAAGTTTTCTGCGATGACTGCATTCAACTCACAGAGTTGAACAATCCTTCTGATGGAGCAGTTTTGAAACCCTCTTTCTTTGGAATCTGCAAGGGGATATGTGGACCTCTTTGAAGATTTCACTGGAAACGGGATCATCTTCACATAAAAACTAAACAGAAGCATTCTCGGAAACTACTTTGTGATGTTTGTATTCAACTCCCAGAGTTGAACTTTCCTTTTGAAAGAGCAGCTATGAAACACTCTTTTTCGAGAATCTGCAAGTGGACGTTTGGAGGGCTTTGAGGCCTGTGGTGGAAAAGGAAATATCTTCACATAAAAACTAGATAGAAGCATTCTCAGAAACTACTTTGTGAGGATGGCATTCAACTCATGGAGTTGAACAATCCTATTGATAGAGCAGATTGGAATCACTCTTTTTGTAGAATCTGCAAATGGAGATTTGGACTGCTTTGAGGCCTACGGTAGTATAGGAAGGAACTTCATATAAAAGGCAAACGGAAGCATTCTCAGAATATTCTTTGTGATGACGGAGTTTCACTCACAGAGCTGAACATGCCTTTTCATGGAGCAGTTTCCAAATACACTTTTGGTACAATCTGCAGGTGGATATTTGGAGCTCTCTGAGGATTTCGTTGGAAACGGGAATAATTTCCCATAACTAAACACAAACACTCTGAGAAAGTTCTTCATGATGAATGCATTTAACTCGCAGAGATGAACCTGCCTTTGAGAGTTCAGGTTCGAAACACTCTTTCTGTAGAATCTGCAAGTGGATATTTGGACCACTGGCTGGCCTTCGTTCGAAACGGGTATATGTTCACGTAAAAACTAAAGAGAAGCATTCTCAGAAACTTCTGAGTGATGATTGCATTCAAGTCACACAGTTGAACCTTCCTTTTGATGGAGCAGTTTTGAAACTGTCTTTTTGTAGAATCTGTAAGTGGATACTTGGACCTCTTTGAAGATTTCTTTGGAAACGGGAATATTTCCACAGAAAAACTAAACTGAAGCATTCTCAGAAACCGCTTTGTGATGTTTGTGTTCGAGCCACAGAGTTTAACATTGCTTTTCATAGAGCAGTTTTGAAATATTCTTTTGGCAGAATCTGCAAGTGGACATTTGGAGCGCTTTCAGGCCTGTGGTGGAAAAGGCCTGAAAGCCTTTTCCTTTATCTTCACAGAAAGACGAGAGAGAAGCATTGTCAGAAACTTCTTTGTGATGATTGCATTCAACTCACAGAGTTGAAGATTCCTTTTGAAACAGCAGTTTCAAAACACTCTTTCTGTGGGATCCGCAAGGGGATATTTGGACCTCTTTGAAGGTTTCGTTGGAAACGGGATAATCTTCACCTAAAAGCTAAACGGAAGCATTCTCAGAAACTTCTTTGGGATGTTTGCATTCACCTCACAGAGTTGAACTTTCCCTTTGATAGCGCAGCTTCGACACACTTTTTCTAAAGTGTGCAAGTGGACCTTTAGCGGGCTTGGAGGACTGTGTTGGAAAAGGAAATATCTTCTCCTAAAAACGACATAGAAGCATTCTCAGAAACTGCTCTGTGATGATTGCATTCAACTCCCAGAGTTGAACATTCCTTTTGATAGAGCAGTTTGCAAACACTGTTTTTGTAGAATCTGCAAGTGGAGATTTGGACCGCTTTGAGGCCTGTGGTAGTAAAGGAAAGAACTTCATATAAAAACCAGACGGTAGCACTCTCAGTAAAATTCTTTGTGACGATAGAGTTTAACTCAGAGAGCTGAACATTCGTTATGATGGAGCAGTTTCCAAACACACATTTTGTAGAATCTGCAAAGGGATATTTGGACCTCTCTGAGGATTTCGTTGGAAATGGGATCAACTTCCCATAACTGAACGGAAGCAAACTCAGAACATTCTTTGTGATGTTTGTATTCAACTCACAGAGTTGAACCTTCCTTTGATAGTTCAGGTTTGCAACACCCTTGTAGTAGAATCTGCAAGTGTATATTTTGACCACTTTGTAGCCTTCGTTTGAAACATCTATATCTTCACATCAAACCTAGACAGAAGCATTCTCAGAAAGTTTTCTGCGATGACTGCATTCAACTCACAGAGTTGAACAATCCTTCTGATGGAGCAGTTTTGAAACCCTCTTTCTTTGGAATCTGCAAGGGGATATGTGGACCTCTTTGAAGATTTCACTGGAAACGGGATCATCTTCACATAAAAACTAAACAGAAAGCATTCTCGGAAACTACTTTGTGATGTTTGTATTCAACTCCCAGAGTTGAACTTTCCTTTTGAAAGAGCAGCTATGAAACACTCTTTTTCGAGAATCTGAAAGTGGACGTTTGGAGGGCTTTGAGGCCTGTGGTGGAAAAGGAAATATCTTCACATAAAAACTAGATAGAAGCATTCTCAGAAACTACTTTGTGAGGATGGCATTCAACTCATGGAGTTGAACAATCCTATTGATAGAGCAGATTGGAATCACTCTTTTTGTAGAATCTGCAAATGGAGATTTGGACTGCTTTGAGGCCTACGGTAGTACAGGAAGGAACTTCATATAAAAGGCAAACGGAAGCATTCTCAGAATATTCTTTGTGATGATGGAGTTTCACTCACAGAGCTGAACATGCCTTTTGATGGAGCAGTTTCCAAATACACTTTTGGTAGAATCTGCAGGTGGACATTTGGACCACTCTGAGGATTTCGTTGGAAACGGGAATAATTTCCCATAACTAAACACAAACACTCTGAGAAAGTTCTTCATGATGAATGCATTTAACTCGCAGAGATGAACCTGCCTTTGAGAGTTCAGGTTCGAAACACTCTTTCTGTAGAATCTGCAAGTGGATATTTGGACCACTGGGTGGCCTTCGTTCGAAACGGGTATATGTTCACGTAAAAACTAAAGAGAAGCATTCTCAGAAACTTCTGAGTGATGATTGCATTCAAGTCACACAGTTGAACCCTCCTTTTGATGGAGCAGTTTTGAAACTGTCTTTTTGTAGAATCTGTAAGTGGATACGTGGACCTCTTTGAAGATTTCTTTGGAAACGGGAATATTTCCACAGAAAAACTAAACTGAAGCATTCTCAGAAACCGCTTTGTGATGTTTGTGTTCGAGCCACAGAGTTTAACATTGCTTTTCATAGAGCAGTTTTGAAATATTCTTTTGGCAGAATCTGCAAGTGGACATTTGGAGCGCTTTCAGGCCTGTGGGTGGAAAAGGCCTGAAAGCCTTTTCCTTTACCTTCACAGAAAGACGAGAGAGAAGCATTGTCAGAAACTTCTTTGTGATGATTGCATTCAACTCACAGAGTTGAAGATTCCTTTTGAAACAGCAGTTTCGAAACACTCTTTCTGTGGGATCCGCAAGGGGATATTTGGACCTCTTTGAAGGTTTCGTTGGAAACGGGATAATCTTCACCTAAAAGCTAAACGGAAGCATTCTCAGAAACTTCTTTGGGATGTTTGCATTCACCTCACAGAGTTGAACTTTCCCTTTGATAGCGCAGCTTTGACACACTTTTTCTACAATGTGCAAGTGGCTATTTAGCGGGCTTGGAGGACTGTGTTGGAAAAGGAAATATCTTCTCCTAAAAACGACATAGAAGCATTCTCAGAAACTGCTCTGTGATGATTGCATTCAACTCCCAGAGTTGAACATTCCTTTTGATAGAGCAGTTTGCAAACACTCTTTTTGTAGAATCTGCAAGTGGAGATTTGGACCGCTTTGAGGCCTGTGGTAGTGAAGGAAAGAACTTCATATAAAAACCAGACGGTAGCACTCTCAGAAAATTCTTTGTGACGATGGAGTTTAACTCAGGGAGCTGAACATTCGTTATGATGGAGCAGTTTCCAAACACACGTTTTGTAGAATCTGCAAGGGGATATTTGGACCTCTCTGAGGATTTCGTTGGAAACGGGATCAACTTCCCATAACTGAACGGAAGCAAACTCAGAACATTCTTTATGATGTTTGAATTCAACTCACAGAGTTGAACCTTCCTTTGATAGTTCAGGTTTGCAACACCCTTGTAGTAGAATCTGCAAGTGTATATTTTGACCACTTTGTAGCATTCGTTTGAAACGTCTATATCTTCACATCAAACCTAGACAGAACCATTCTCAGAAAGTTTTCTGCGATGACTGCATTCAACTCACAGAGGTGAACAATCCTTTTGATGGAGCAGTTTTGAAACCCTCTTTCTTTGGAATCTGCAAGGGGATATGTGGACCTCTTTGAAGATTTCACTGGAAACGGGATCATCTTCACATAAGAACTAAACAGAAGCATTCTCGGAAACTACTTTGTGATGTTTGTATTCAACTCCCAGAGTTGAACTTTCCTTTTGAAAGAGCAGCTATGAAACACTCTTTTTCGAGAATCTGCAAGTGGACGTTTGGAGGGCTTTGAGGCCTGTGGTGGAAAAGGAAATATCTTCACATAAAAACTAGATAGAAGCATTCTCAGAAACTACTTTGTGAGGATGGCATTCAACTCATGGAGTTGAACAATCCTATTGATAGAGCAGATTGGAATCACTCTTTTTGTAGAATCTGCAAATGGAGATTTGGACTGCTTTGAGGCCTACGGTAGTATAGGAAGGAACTTCATATAAAAGGCAAACGGAAGCATTCTCAGAATATTCTTTGTGATGATGGAGTTTCACTCACAGAGCTGAACATGCCTTTTGATGGAGCAGTTTCCAACTACACTTTTGGTAGAAACTGCAGGTGGATATTTGGAGCTCTCTGAGGATTTCGTTGGAAACGGGAATAATTTCCCATAACTAAACACAAACACTCTGAGAAAGTTCTTCATGATGAATGCATTTAACTCGCAGAGATGAACCTGCCTTTGAGAGTTCAGGTTCGAAACACTCTTTCTGTAGAATCTGCAAGTGGATATTTGGACCACTGGGTGGCCTTCGTTCAAAACGGGTATATGTTCACGTAAAAACTAAAGAGAAGCATTCTCAGAAACTTCTGAGTGATGATTGCATTCAAGTCACACAGTTGAACCCTCCTTTTGATGGAGCAGTTTTGAAACTGTCTTTTTGTAGAATCTGTAAGTGGATACGTGGACCTCTTTGAAGATTTCTTTGGAAACGGGAATATTTCCACAGAAAAACTAAACTGAAGCATTCTCAGAAACTGCTTTGTGATGTTTGTGTTCGAGCCACAGAGTTTAACATTGCTTTTCATAGAGCAGTTTTGAAATATTCTTTTGGCAGAATCTACAAGTGGACATTTGGAGCGCTTTCAGGCCTGTGGTGGAAAAGGCCTGAAAGCCTTTTCCTTTATCTTCACAGAAAGACGAGAGAGAAGCATTGTCAGAAACTTCTTTGTGATGATTGCATTCAACTCACAGAGTTGAAGATTCCTTTTGAAACAGCAGTTTCGAAACACTCTTTCTGTGGGATCCGCAAGGGGATATTTGGACCTCTTTGAAGGTTTCGTTGGAAACGGGATAATCTTCACCTAAAAGCTAAACGGAAGCATTCTCAGAAACTTCTTTGGGATGTTTGCATTCACCTCTCAGAGTTGAACTTTCCCTTCGATAGCGCAGCTTTGACACACTTTTTCTACAATGTGCAAGTGGCTATTTAGCGGACTTGGAGGACTGTGTTGGAAAAGGAAATATCTTCTCCTAAAAACGACATAGAAGCATTCTCAGAAACTGCTCTGTGATGATTGCATTCAACTCCCAGAGTTGAACATTCCTTTTGATAGAGCAGTTTGCAAACACTCTTTTTGTAGAATCTGCAAGTGGAGATTTGGACCGCTTTGAGGCCTGTGGTAGTGAAGGAAAGAACTTCATATAAAAACCAGACGGTAGCACTCTCAGAAAATTCTTTGTGACGATGGAGTTTAACTCAGGGAGCTGAACATTCGTTATGATGGAGCAGTTTCCAAACACACGTTTTGTAGAATCTGCAAGGGGATATTTGGACCTCTCTGAGGATTTCGTTGGAAACGGGATCAACTTCCCATAACTGAACGGAAGCAAACTCAGAACATTCTTTGTGATGTTTGTATTCAACTGACGGAGTTGAACCTTCCTTTGATAGTTCAGGTTTGCAACACCCTTGTAGTAGAATCTGCAAGTGTATATTTTGACCACTTTGTAGCCTTCGTTTGAAACGTCTATATCTTCACATCAAACCTAGACAGAAGCATTCTCAGAAAGTTTTCTGCGATGACTGCATTCAACTCACAGAGTTGAACAATCCTTCTGATGGAGCAGTTTTGAAACCCTCTTTCTTTGGAATCTGCAAGGGGATATGTGGACCTCTTTGAAGATTTCACTGGAAACGGGATCATCTTCACATAAAAACTAAACAGAAGCATTCTCGGAAACTACTTTGTGATGTTTGTATTCAACTCCCAGAGTTGAACTTTCCTTTTGAAAGAGCAGCTATGAAACACTCTTTTTCGAGAATCTACAAGTGGACGTTTGGAGGGCTTTGAGGCCTGTGGTGGAAAAGGAAATATCTTCACATAAAAACTAGATAGAAGCATTCTCAGAAACTACTTCGTGAGGATGGCATTCAACTCATGGAGTTGAACAATCCTATTGATAGAGCAGATTGGAATCACTCTTTTTGTAGAATCTGCAAATGGAGATTTGGACTGCTTTGAGGCCTACGGTAGTATAGGAAGGAACTTCATATAAAAGGCAAACGGAAGCATTCTCAGAATATTCTTTGTGATGATGGAGTTTCACTCACAGAGCTGAACATGCCTTTTGATGGAGCAGTTTCCAAATACACTTTTGGTAGAATCTGCAGGTGGATATTTGGAGCTCTCTGAGGATTTCGTTGGAAACGGGAATAATTTCCCATAACTAAACACAAACACTCTGAGAAAGTTCTTCATGATGAATGCATTTAACTCGCAGAGATGAACCTGCCTTTGAGAGTTCAGGTTCGAAACACTCTTTCTGTATAATCTGCAAGTGGATATTTGGACCACTGGGTGGCCCTTCGTTCGAAACGGGTATATGTTCACGTAAAAACTAAAGAGAAGCATTCTCAGAAACTTCTGAGTGATGATTGCATTCAAGTCACACAGTTGAACCCTCCTTTTGATGGAGCAGTTTTGAAACTGTCTTTTTGTAGAATCTGTAAGTGGATACGTGGACCTCTTTGAAGATTTCTTTGGAAACGGGAATATTTCCACAGAAAAACTAAACTGAAGCATTCTCAGAAACTGCTTTGTGATGTTTGTGTTCGAGCCACAGAGTTTAACATTGCTTTTCATAGAGCAGTTTTGAAATATTCTTTTCGCAGAATCTGCAAGTGGACATTTGGAGCGCTTTCAGGCCTGTGGTGGAAAAGGCCTGAAAGCCTTTTCCTTTATCTTCACAGAAAGACGAGAGAGAAGCATTGTCAGAAACTTCTTTGTGATGATTGCATTCAACTCACAGAGTTGAAGATTCCTTTTGAAACAGCAGTTTCGAAACACTCTTTCTGTGGGATCCGCAAGGGGATATTTGGACCTCTTTGAAGGTTTCGTTGGAAACGGGATAATCCTCACCTAAAAGCTAAACGGAAGCATTCTCAGAAACTTCTTTGGGATGTTTGCATTCACCTCACAGAGTTGAACTTTCCCTTTGATAGCGCAGCTTTGACACACTTTTTCTACAATGTGCAAGTGGCTATTTAGCGGGCTTGGAGGACTGTGTTGGAAAAGGAAATATCTTCTCCTAAAAACGACATAGAAGCATTCTCAGAAACTGCTCTGTGATGATTGCATTCAACTCCCAGAGTTGAACATTCCTTTTGATAGAGCAGTTTGCAAACACTCTTTTTGTAGAATCTGCAAGTGGAGATTTGGACCGCTTTGAGGCCTGTGGTAGTGAAGGAAAGAACTTCATATAAAAACCAGACGGTAGCACTCTCAGAAAATTCTTTGTGACGATGGAGTTTAACTCAGGGAGCTGAACATTCGTTATGATGGAGCAGTTTCCAAACACACGTTTTGTAGAATCTGCGAGGGGATATTTGGACCTCTCTGAGGATTTCGTTGGAAACGGGATCAACTTCCCATAACTGAACGGAAGCAAACTCAGAACATTCTTTGTTATGTTTGTATTCAACTCACAGAGTTGAACCTTCCTTTGATAGTTCAGGTTTGCAAAACCCTTGTAGTAGAATCTGCAAGTGTATATTTTGACCACTTTGTAGCCTTCGTTTGAAACGTCTATATCTTCACATCAAACCTAGACAGAAGCATTCTCAGAAAGTTTTCTGCGATGACTGCATTCAACTCACAGAGTTGAACAATCCTTCTGATGGAGCAGTTTTGAAACCCTCTTTCTTTGGAATCTGCAAGGGGATATGTGGACCTCTTTGAAGATTTCACTGGAAACGGGATCATCTTCACATAAAAACTAAACAGAAGCATTCTCGGAAACTGTTTTGTGATGTTTGTATTCAACTCCCAGAGTTGAACTTTCCTTTTGAAAGAGCAGCTATGAAACACTCTTTTTCGAGAATCTGCAAGTGGACGTTTGGAGGGCTTTGAGGCCTGTGGTGGAAAAGGAAATATCTTCACATAAAAACTAGATAGAAGCATTCTCAGAAACTACTTTGTGAGGATGGCATTCAACTCATGGAGTTGAACAATCCTATTGATAGAGCAGATTGGAATCACTCTTTTTGTAGAATCTGCAAATGGAGATTTGGACTGCTTTGAGGCCTACGGTCGTATAGGAAGGAACTTCAGATAAAAGGCAAACGGAAGCATTCTCAGAATATTCTTTGTGATGATGGAGTTTCACTCACAGAGCTGAACATGCCTTTTGATGGAGCAGTTTCCAAATACACTTTTGGTAGAATCTGCAGGTGGATATTTGGAGCTCTTTGAGGATTTCGTTGGAAACGGGAATAATTTCCCATAACTAAACACAAACACGCTGAGAAAGTTCTTCATGATGAATGCATTTAACTCGCAGAGATGAACCTGCCTTTGAGAGTTCAGGTTCGAAACACTCTTTCTGTAGAATCTGCAAGTGGATATTTGGACCACTGGGTGGCCTTCGTTCGAAACGGGTATATGTTCACGTAAAAACTAAAGAGAAGCATTCTCAGAAACTTCTGAGTGATGATTGCATTCAAGTCACACGGTTGAACCCTCCTTTTGATGGAGCAGTTTTGAAACTGTCTTTTTGTAGAATCTGTAAGTGGATACGTGGACCTCTTTGAAGATTTCTTTGGAAACGGGAATATTTCCACAGAAAAACTAAACTGAAGCATTCTCAGAAACCGCTTTGTGATGTTTGTGTTCCAGCCACAGAGTTTAACATTGCTTTTCATAGAGTAGTTTTGAAATATTCTTTTCGCAGAATCTGCAAGTGGACATTTGGAGCGCTTTCAGGCCTGTGGTGGAAAAGGCCTGAAAGCCTTTTCCTTTATCTTCACAGAAAGACGAGAGAGAAGCATTGTCAGAAACTTCTTTGTGATGATTGCATTCAACTCACAGAGTTGAAGATTCCTTTTGAAACAGCAGTTTCGAAACACTCTTTCTGTGGGATCCGCAAGGGGATATTTGGACCTCTTTGAAGGTTTCGTTGGAAACGGGATAATCTTCACCTAAAAGCTAAACGGAAGCATTCTCAGAAACTTCTTTGGGATGTTTGCATTCACCTCACAGAGTTGAACTTTCCCTTTGATAGCGCAGCTTTGACACACTTTTTCTACAATGTGCAAGTGGCTATTTAGCGGGCTTGGAGGACTGTGTTGGAAAAGGAAATATCTTCTCCTAAAAACGACATAGAAGCATTCTCAGAAACTGCTCTGTGATGATTGCATTCAACTCCCAGAGTTGAACATTCCTTTTGATAGAGCAGTTTGCAAACACTCTTTTTGTAGAATCTGCAAGTGGAGATTTGGACCGCTTTGAGGCCTGTGGTAGTGAAGGAAAGAACTTCATATAAAAACCAGACGGTAGCACTCTCAGAAAATTCTTTGTGACGATGGAGTTTAACTCAGGGAGCTGAACATTCGTTATGATGGAGCAGTTTCCAAACACACGTTTTGTAGAATCTGCAAGGGGATATTTGGACCTCTCTGAGGATTTCGTTGGAAACGGGATCAACTTCCCATAACTGAACGGAAGCAAACTCAGAACATTCTTTGTGATGTTTGTATTCAACTCACAGAGTTGAACCTTCCTTTGATAGTTCAGGTTTGCAACACCCTTGTAGTAGAATCTGCAAGTGTATATTTTGATCACTTTGTAGCCTTCGTTTGAAACGTCTATATCTTCACATCAAACCTAGACAGAAGCATTCTCAGAAAGTTTTCTGCGATGACTGCATTCAACTCACAGAGTTGAACAATCCTTCTGATGGAGCAGTTTTGAAACCCTCTTTCTTTGGAATCTGCAAGGGGATATGTGGACCTCTTTGAAGATTTCACTGGAAACGGGATCATCTTCACATAAAAACTAAACAGAAGCATTCTCGGAAACTACTTTGTGATGTTTGTATTCAACTGCCAGAGTTGAACTTTCCTTTTGAAAGAGCAGCTATGAAACACTCTTTTTCGAGAATCTGCAAGTGGACGTTTGGAGGGCTTTGAGGCCTGTGGTGGAAAAGGAAATATCTTCACACAAAAACCAGATAGAAGCATTCTCAGAAACTGCTTTGTGAGGATGGCATTCAACTCATGGAGTTGAACAATCCTATTGATAGAGCAGATTGGAATCACTCTTTTTGTAGAATCTGCAAATGGAGATTTGGACTGCTTTGAGGCCTACGGTAGTACAGGAAGGAACTTCATATAAAAGGCAAACGGAAGCATTCTCAGAATATTCTTTGTGATGATGGAGTTTCACTCACAGAGCTGAACATGCCTTTTGATGGAGCAGTTTCCAAATACACTTTTGGTAGAATCTGCAGGTGGATATTTGGAGCTCTCTGAGGATTTCGTTGGAAACGGGAATAATTTCCCATAACTAAACACAAACACGCTGAGAAAGTTCTTCATGATGAATGCATTTAACTCGCAGAGACGAACCTGCCTTTGAGAGTTCAGGTTCGAAACACTCTTTCTGCAGAATCTGCAAGTGGATATTTGGACCACTGGCTGGCCTTCATTCGAAACGTTTATATGTTCACGGAAAAACTAAAGAGAAGCGTTCTCAGAAACTTCTGAGTGATGATTGCATTCAAGTCACACAGTTGAACCCTCCTTTTGATTGAGCAGTTTTGAAACTGTCTTTTTGTAGAATCTGTAAGTGTATGCGTCGACCTCTTTGAAGATTTCTTTGGAAACGGGAATATTTCCACAGAAAAACTAAACTGAAGCATTCTCAGAAACTGCTTTGTGATGTTTGTGTTCGAGCCACAGAGTTTAACATTGCTTTTCATAGAGCAGTTTT
Source organism: Homo sapiens (assembly GCF_000001405.40). NCBI lineage: Eukaryota > Metazoa > Chordata > Mammalia > Primates > Hominidae > Homo > Homo sapiens. The sequence continues at coordinate 62,207,416 of NC_000023.11, forward strand.
GAAATATTCTTTTCGCAGAATCTGCAAGTGGACATTTGGAGCGCTTTCAGGCCTGTGGTGGCAAAGGCCTGAAAGCCTTTTCCTTTATCTTCACAGAAAGACGAGAGAGAAGCATTGTCAGAAACTTCTTTGTGATGATTGCATTCAACTCACAGAGTTGAAGATTCCTTTTGAAACAGCAGTTTCGAAACACTCTTTCTGTGGGATCCGCAAGGGGATATTTGGACCTCTTTGAAGGTTTCGTTGGAAACGGGATAATCTTCACCTAAAAGCTAAACGGAAGCATTCTCAGAAACTTCTTTGGGATGTTTTGCATTCACCTCACAGAGTTGAACTTTCCCTTTGATAGCGCAGCTTTGACACACTTTTTCTACAATGTGCAAGTGGCTATTTAGCGGGCTTGGAGGACTGTGTTGGAAAAGGAAATATCTTCTCCTAAAAACGACATAGAAGCATTCTCAGAAACTGCTCTGTGATGATTGCATTCAACTCCCAGAGTTGAACATTCCTTTTGATAGAGCAGTTTGCAAACACTCTTTTTGTAGAATCTGGAAGTGGAGATTTGGACCGCTTTGAGGCCTGGGGTAGTGAAGGAAAGAGCTTCATATAAAAACCAGACGGTAGCACTCTCAGAAAATTCTTTGTGACGATGGAGTTTAACTCAGGGAGCTGAACATTCGTTATGATGGAGCAGTTTCCAAACACACGTTTTGTAGAATCTGCAAGGGGATATTTGGACCTCTCTGAGGATTTCGTTGGAAACGGGATCAACTTCCCATAACTGAACGGAAGCATTCTCAGAAAGTTTTCTGCGATGACTGCATTCAACTCACAGAGTTGAACAATCCTTCTGATGGAGCAGTTTTGAAACCCTCTTTCTTTGGAATCTGCAAGGGGATATGTGGACCTCTTTGAAGATTTCACTGGAAACGGGATCATCTTCACATAAAAACTAAACAGAAGCATTCTCGGAAACTACTTTGTGATGTTTGTATTCAACTCCCAGAGTTGAACTTTCCTTTTGAAAGAGCAGCTATGAAACACTCCTTTTCGAGAATCTGCAAGTGGACGTTTGGAGGGCTTTGAGGCCTGTGGTGGAAAAGGAAATATCTTCACATAAAAACTAGATAGAAGCATTCTCAGAAACGACTTTGTGAGGATGGCATTCAACTCATGGAGTTGAACAATCCTATTGATAGAGCAGATTGGAATCACTCTTTTTGTAGAATCTGCAAATGGAGATTTGGACTGCTTTGAGGCCTACGGTCGTATAGGAAGGAACTTCAGATAAAAGGCAAACGGAAGCATTCTCAGAATATTCTTTGTGATGATGGAGTTTCACTCACAGAGCTGAACATGCCTTTTGATGGAGCAGTTTCCAAATACACTTTTGGTAGAATCTGCAGGTGGATATTTGGAGCTCTCTGAGGATTTCGTTGGAAACGGGAATAATTTCCCATAACTAAACACAAACACTCTGAGAAAGTTCTTCATGATGAATGCATTTAACTCGCAGAGATGAACCTGCCTTTGAGAGTTCAGGTTCGAAACACTCTTTCTGTAGAATCTGCAAGTGGATATTTGGACCACTGGGTGGCCTTCGTTCGAAACGGGTATATGTTCACGTAAAAACTAAAGAGAAGCATTCTCAGAAACTTCTGAGTGATGATTGCATTCAAGTCACACAGTTGAACCCTCCTTTTGATGGAGCAGTTTTGAAACTGTCTTTTTGTAGAATCTGTAAGTGGATACGTGGACCTCTTTGAAGATTTCTTTGGAAACGGGAATATTTCCACAGAAAAACTAAACTGAAGCATTCTCAGAAACCGCTTTGTGATGTTTGTGTTCGAGCCACAGAGTTTAACATTGCTTTTCATAGAGCAGTTTTGAAATATTCTTTTCGCAGAATCTGCAAGTGGACATTTGGAGCGCTTTCAGGCCTGTGGTGGAAAAGGCCTGAAAGCCTTTTCCTTTATCTTCACAGAAAGACGAGAGAGAAGCATTGTCAGAAACTTCTTTGTGATGATTGCATTCAACTCACAGAGTTGAAGAGTCCTTTTGAAACAGCAGTTTCGAAACACTCTTTCTGTGGGATCCGCAAGGGGATATTTGGACCTCTTTGAAGGTTTCTTTGGAAACGGGATAATCTTCACCTAAAAGCTAAACGGAAGCATTCTCAGAAACTTCTTTGGGATGTTTGCATTCACCTCACAGAGTTGAACTTTCCCTTTGATAGCGCAGCTTCGACACACTTTTTCTACAATGTGCAAGTGGATATTTAGCGGGCTTGGAGGACTGTGTTGGAAAAGGAAATATCTTCTCCTAAAAACGACATAGAAGCATTCTCAGAAACTGCTCTGTGATGATTGCATTCAACTCCCAGAGTTGAACATTCCTTTTGATAGAGCAGTTTGCAAACACTCTTTTTGTAGAATCTGCAAGTGGAGATTTGGACCGCTTTGAGGCCTGTGGTAGTGAAGGAAAGAACTTCATATAAAAACCAGACGGTAGCACTCTCAGAAAATTCTTTGTGACGATGGAGTTTAACTCAGGGAGCTGAACATTCGTTATGATGGAGCAGTTTCCAAACACACGTTTTGTAGAATCTGCAAGGGGATATTTGGACCTCTCTGAGGATTTCGTTGGAAACGGGATCAACTTCCCATAACTGAACGGAAGCAAACTCAGAACATTCTTTGTGATGTTTGTATTCAATTCACAGAGTTGAACCTTCCTTTGATAGTTCAGGTTTGCAACACCCTTGTAGTAGAATCTGCAAGTGTATATTTTGACCACTTTGTAGCCTTCGTTTGAAACGTCTATATCTTCACATCAAACCTAGACAGAAGCATTCTCAGAAAGTTTTCTGCAATGACTGCATTCAACTCACAGAGTTGAACAATCCTTTTGATGGAGCAGTTTTGAAACCCTCTTTCTTTGGAATCTGCAAGGGGATATGTGGACCTCTTTGAAGATTTCACTGGAAACGGGATCATCTTCACATAAGAACTAAACAGAAGCATTCTCGGAAACTACTTTGTGATGTTTGTATTCAACTCCCAGAGTTGAACTTTCCTTTTGAAAGAGCAGCTATGAAACACTCTTTTTCGAGAATCTGCAAGTGGACGTTTGGAGGGCTTTGAGGCCTGTGGTGGAAAAGGGAATATCTTCACATAAAAACTAGATAGAAGCATTCTCAGAAACGACTTTGTGAGGATGGCATTCAACTCATGGAGTTGAACAATCCTATTGATAGAGCAGATTGGAATCACTCTTTTTGTAGAATCTGCAAATGGAGATTTGGACTGCTTTGAGGCCTACGGTAGTATAGGAAGGAACTTCATATAAAAGGCAAACGGAAGCATTCTCAGAATATTCTTTGTGATGATGGAGTTTCACTCACAGAGCTGAACATACCTTTTGATGGAGCAGTTTCCAAATACACTTTTGGTAGAATCTGCAGGTGGATATTTGGAGCTCTCTGAGGATTTCGTTGGAAACGGGAATAATTTCCCATAACTAAACACAAACACGCTGAGAAAGTTCTTCATGATGAATGCATTTAACTCGCAGAGATGAACCTGCCTTTGAGAGTTCAGGTTCGAAACACTCTTTCTGTAGAATCTGCAAGTGGATATTTGGACCACTGGCTGGCCTTCGTTCGAAATGGGTATATGTTCACGTAAAAACTAAAGAGAAGCGTTCTCAGAAACTTCTGAGTGATGATTGCTTTCAAGTCACACAGTTGAACCCTCCTTTTGATTGAGCAGTTTTGAAACTGTCTTTTTGTAGAATCTGTAAGTGGATGCGTGGACCTCTTTGAAGATTTCTTTGGAAACGGGAATATTTCCACAGAAAAACTAAACTGAAACATTCTCAGAAACCGCTTTGTGATGTTTGTGTTCCAGCCACAGAGTTTAACATTGCTTTTCATAGAGCAGTTTTGAAATATTCTTTTGGCAGAATCTGCAAGTGGACATTTGGAGCGCTTTCAGGCCTGTGGTGGAAAAGGCCTGAAAGCCTTTTCCTTTATCTTCACAGAAAGACGAGAGAGAAGCATTGTCAGAAACTTCTTTGTGATGATTGCATTCAACTCACAGAGTTGAAGATTCCTTTTGAATCAGCAGTTTCGAAACACTCTTTCTGTGGGATCCGCAAGGGGATATTTGGACCTCTTTGAAGGTTTCGTTGGAAACGGGATAATCTTCACCTAAAAGCTAAACGGAAGCATTCTCAGAAACTTCTTTGGGATGTTTGCATTCACCTCACAGAGTTGAACTTTCCCTTTGATAGCGCAGCTTTGACACACTTTTTCTACAATGTGCAAGTGGCTATTTAGCGGGCTTGGAGGACTGTGTTGGAAAAGGAAATATCTTCTCCTAAAAACGACATAGAAGCATTCTCAGAAACTGCTCTGTGATGATTGCATTCAACTCCCAGAGTTGAACATTCCTTTTGATAGAGCAGTTTGCAAACACTCTTTTTGTAGAATCTGCAAGTGGAGATTTGGACCGCTTTGAGGCCTGTGGTAGTGAAGGAAAGAACTTCATATAAAAACCAGACGGTAGCACTCTCAGAAAATTCTTTGTGACGATGGAGTTTAACTCAGGGAGCTGAACATTCGTTATGATGGAGCAGTTTCCAAACACACGTTTTGTAGAATCTGCAAGGGGATATTTGGACCTCTCTGAGGATTTCGTTGGAAACGGGATCAACTTCCCATAACTGAACGGAAGCAAACTCAGAACATTCTTTGTGATGTTTGTATTCAATTCACAGAGTTGAACCTTCCTTTGATAGTTCAGGTTTGCAACACCCTTGTAGTAGAATCTGCAAGTGTATATTTTGACCACTTTGTAGCCTTCGTTTGAAACGTCTATATCTTCACATCAAACCTAGACAGAAGCATTCTCAGAAAGTTTTCTACGATGACTGCATTCAACTCACAGAGTTGAACAATCCTTCTGATGGAGCAGTTTTTAAACCCTCTTTCTTTGGAATCTGCAAGGGGATATGTGGACCTCTTTGAAGATTTCACTGGAAACGGGATCATCTTCACATAAAAACTAAACAGAAGCATTCTCGGAAACTACTTTGTGATGTTTGTATTCAACTCCCAGAGTTGAACTTTCCTTTTGAAAGAGCAGCTATGAAACACTCTTTTTCGAGAATCTGCAAGTGGACGTTTGGAGGGCTTTGAGGCCTGTGGTGGAAAAGGAAATATCTTCACATAAAAACTAGATAGAAGCATTCTCAGAAACGACTTTGTGAGGATGGCATTCAACTCATGGAGTTGAACAATCCTATTGATAGAGCAGATTGGAATCACTGTTTTTGTAGAATCTGCAAATGGAGATTTGGACTGCTTTGAGGCCTACGGTCGTATAGGAAGGAACTTCATATAAAAGGCAAACGGAAGCATTCTCAGAATATTCTTTGTGATGATGGAGTTTCACTCACAGAGCTGAACATGCCTTTTGATGGAGCAGTTTCCAAATACACTTTTGGTAGAATCTGCAGGTGGATATTTGGAGCTCTCTGAGGATTTCGTTGGAAACGGGAATAATTTCCCATAACTAAACACAAACACGCTGAGAAAGTTCTTCATGATGAATGCATTTAACTCGCAGAGATGAACCTGCCTTTGAGAGTTCAGGTTCGAAACACTCTTTCTGTAGAATCTGCAAGTGGATATTTGGACCACTGGGTGCCCTTCGTTCGAAACGGGTATATGTTCACGTAAAAACTAAAGAGAAGCGTTCTCATAAACTTCTGAGTGATGATTGCATTCAAGTCACACAGTTGAACCCTCCTTTTGATTGAGCAGTTTTGAAACTGTCTTTTTGTAGAATCTGTAAGTGGATGCGTGGACCTCTTTGAAGATTTCTTTGGAAACGGGAATATTTCCACAGAAAAACTAAACTGAAGCATTCTCAGAAACTGCTTTGTGATGTTTGTGTTCGAGTCACAGAGTTTAACATTGCTTTTCATAGAGCAGTTTTGAAATATTCTTTTGGCAGAATCTGCAAGTGGACATTTGGAGCGCTTTCAGGCCTGTGGTGGAAAAGGCCTGAAAGCCTTTTCCTTTATCTTCACAGAAAGACGAGAGAGAAGCATTGTCAGAAACTTCTTTGTGATGATTGCATTCAACTCACAGAGTTGAAGATTCCTTTTGAAACAGCAGTTTCGAAACACTCTTTCTGTGGGATCCGCAAAGGGATATTAGGATCTCTTTGAAGGTTTCGTTTGAAACTGGATAATCGTCACCTAAAAGCAAAACGGAAGCATTCTCAGAAACTTCTTTGGGATGTTTGCATTCACCTCACAGAGTTGAACTTTCCCTTTGATAGCGCAGCTTCGACACACTTTTTCTACAATGTGCAAGTGGATATTTAGCGGGCTTGGAGGACTGTGTTGGAAAAGGAAATATCTTCTCCTAAAAACGACATAGAAGCATTCTCAGAAACTGCTCTGTGATGATTGCATTCAACTCCCAGAGTTGAACATTCCTTTTGATAGAGCAGTTTGCAAACACTCTTTTTGTAGAATCTGCAAGTGGAGATTTGGACCGCTTTGAGGCCTGTGGTAGTGAAGGAAAGAACTTCATATAAAAACCAGACGGTAGCACTCTCAGAAAATTCTTTGTGACGATGGAGTTTAACTCAGGGAGCTGAACATTCGTTATGATGGAGCAGTTTCCAAACACACGTTTTGTAGAATCTGCGAGGGGATATTTGGACCTCTCTGAGGATTTCGTTGGAAACGGGATCAACTTCCCATAACTGAACGGAAGCAAACTCAGAACATTCTTTGTGATGTTTGTATTCAATTCACAGAGTTGAACCTTCCTTTGATAGTTCAGGTTCGCAACACCCTTGTAGTAGAATCTGCAAGTGTATATTTTGACCACTTTGTAGCCTTCGTTTGAAACGTCTATATCTTCACATCAAACCTAGACAGAAGCATTCTCAGAAAGTTTTCTGCGATGACTGCATTCAACTCACAGAGTTGAACAATCCTTTTGATGGAGCAGTTTTGAAACCCTCTTTCTTTGGAATCTGCAAGGGGATATGTGGACCTCTTTGAAGATTTCACTGGAAACGGGATCATACTTCACATAAGAACTAAACAGAAGCATTCTCGGAAACTATTTTGTGATGTTTGTATTCAACTCCCCAGAGTTGAACTTTCCTTTTGAAAGAGCAGCTATGAAACACTCTTTTTCGAGAATCTGCAAGTGGACGTTTGGAGGGCTTTGAGGCCTGTGGTGGAAAAGGAAATATCTTCACACAAAAACCAGATAGAAGCATTCTCAGAAACTACTTTGTGAGGATGGCATTCAACTCATGGAGTTGAACAATCCTATTGATAGAGCAGATTGGAATCACTCTTTTTGTAGAATCTGCAAATGGAGATTTGGACTGCTTTGAGGCCTACGGTAGTACAGGAAGGAACTTCATATAAAAGACAAACGGAAGCATTCTCAGAATATTCTTTGTGATGATGGAGTTTCACTCACAGAGCTGAACATGCCTTTTGATGGAGCAGTTTCCAAATACACTTTTGGTAGAATCTGCAGGTGGATATTTGGAGCTCTCTGAGGATTTCGTTGGAAACGGGAATAATTTCCCATAACTAAACACAAACACTCTGAGAAAGTTCTTCATGATGAATGCATTGAACTCGCAGAGATGAACCTGCCTTTGAGAGTTCAGGTTCGAAACACTCTTTCTGTAGAATCTGCAAGTGGATATTTGGACCACTGGGTGGCCTTCGTTCTAAACGGGTATATGTTCACGTAAAAACTAAAGAGAAGCATTCTCAGAAACTTCTGAGTGATGATTGCATTCAAGTCACACAGTTGAACCCTCCTTTTGATGGAGCAGTTTTGAAACTGTCTTTTTGTAGAATCTGTAAGTGGATACGTGGACCTCTTTGAAGATTTCTTTGGAAACGGGAATATTTCCACAGAAAAACTAAACTGAAACATTCTCAGAAACCGCTTTGTGATGTTTGTGTTCCAGCCACAGAGTTTAACATTGCTTTTCATAGAGCAGTTTTGAAATATTCTTTTGGCAGAATCTGCAAGTGGACATTTGGAGCGCTTTCAGGCCTGTGGTGGAAAAGGCCTGAAAGCCTTTTCCTTTATCTTCACAGAAAGACGAGAGAGAAGCATTGTCAGAAACTTCTTTGTGATGATTGCATTCAACTCACAGAGTTGAAGATTCCTTTTGAATCAGCAGTTTCGAAACACTCTTTCTGTGGGATCCGCAAGGGGATATTTGGACCTCTTTGAAGGTTTCGTTGGAAACGGGATAATCTTCACCTAAAAGCTAAACGGAAGCATTCTCAGAAACTTCTTTGGGATGTTTGCATTCACCTCACAGAGTTGAACTTTCCCTTTGATAGCGCAGCTTTGACACACTTTTTCTACAATGTGCAAGTGGCTATTTAGCGGGCTTGGAGGACTGTGTTGGAAAAGGAAATATCTTCTCCTAAAAACGACATAGAAGCATTCTCAGAAACTGCTCTGTGATGATTGCATTCAACTCCCAGAGTTGAACATTCCTTTTGATAGAGCAGTTTGCAAACACTCTTTTTGTAGAATCTGCAAGTGGAGATTTGGACCGCTTTGAGGCCTGTGGTAGTAAAGCAAAGAACTTCATATAAAAAGTAGACGGTAGCACTCTCAGAAAATTCTTTGTGACGATGGAGTTTAACTCAGGGAGCTGAACATTCGTTATGATGGAGCAGTTTCCAAACACACGTTTTGTAGAATCTGCAAGGGGATATTTGGACCTCTCTGAGGATTTCGTTGGAAACGGGATCAACTTCCCATAACTGAACGGAAGCAAACTCAGAACATTCTTTGTGATGTTTGTATTCAACTCACAGAGTTGAACCTTCCTTTGATAGTTCAGGTTTGCAACACCCTTGTAGTAGAATCTGCAAGTGTATATTTTGACCACTTTGTAGCCTTCGTTTGAAACGTCTATATCTTCACATCAAACCTAGACAGAAGCATTCTCAGAAAGTTTTCTGCGATGACTGCATTCAACTCACAGAGTTGAACAATCCTTTTGATGGAGCAGTTTTGAAACCCTCTTTCTTTGGAATCTGCAAGGGGATATGTGGACCTCTTTGAAGATTTCACTGGAAAGGGGATCATCTTCACATAAGAACTAAACAGAAGCATTCTCGGAAACTACTTTGTGATGTTTGTATTCAACTCCCAGAGTTGAACTTTCCTTTTGAAAGAGCAGCTATGAAACACTCTTTTTCGAGAATCTGCAAGTGGACGTTTGGAGGGCTTTGAGGCCTGTGGTGGAAAAGGAAATATCTTCACATAAAAAGTAGATAGAAGCATTCTCAGAAACGACTTTGTGAGGATGGCATTCAACTCATGGAGTTGAACAGTCCTATTGATAGAGGAGATTGGAATCACTCTTTTTGTAGAATCTGCAAATGGAGATTTGGACTGCTTTGAGGCCTACGGTAGTATAGGAAGGAACTTCATATAAAAGGCAAACGGAAGCATTCTCAGAATATTTTGTGTGATGATGGAGTTTCACTCACAGAGCTGAACATGCCTTTTGATGGAGCAGTTTCCAAATACACTTTTGGTAGAATCTGCAGGTGGATATTTGGAGCTCTCTGAGGATTTCGTTGGAAACGGGAATAATTTCCCATAACTAAACACAAACACGCTGAGAAAGTTCTTCATGATGAATGCATTTAACTCGCAGAGATGAACCTGCCTTTGAGAGTTCAGATTCGAAACACTCTTTCTGTAGAATCTGCAAGTGGATATTTGGACCACTGTCTGGCCTTCGTTCGAAACGGGTATATGTTCAAGTAAAAACTAAAGAGAAGCGTTCTCAGAAACTTCTGAGTGATGATTGCATTCAAGTCACACAGTTGAACCCTCCTTTTGATTGAGCAGTTTTGAAACTGTCTTTTTGTAGAATCTGTAAGTGGATGCGTGGACCTCTTTGAAGATTTCTTTGGAAACGGGAATATTTCCACAGAAAAACTAAACTGAAGCATTCTCAGAAACTGCTTTGTGATGTTTGTGTTCGAGCCACAGAGTTTAACATTGCTTTTCATAGAGCAGTTTTGAAATATTCTTTTGGCAGAATCTGCAAGTGGACATTTGGAGCGCTTTCAGGCCTGTGGTGGAAAAGGCCTGAAAGCCTTTTCCTTTATCTTCACAGAAAGACGAGAGAGAAGCATTGTCAGAAACTTCTTTGTGATGATTGCATTCAACTCACAGAGTTGAAGATTCCTTTTGAAACAGCAGTTTCGAAACACTCTTTCTGTGGGATCCGCAAGGGGATATTTGGACCTCTTTGAAGCTTTCGTTGGAAACGGGATAATCTTCACCTAAAAGCTAAACGGAAGCACTCTCAGAAACTTCTTTGGGATGTTTGCATTCACCTCACAGAGTTGAACTTTCCCTTTGATAGCGCAGCTTTGACACACTTTTTTTCTACAATGTGCAAGTGGATATTTAGCGGGCGTGGAGGACTGTGTTGGAAAAGGAAATATCTTCTCCTAAAAACGACATAGAAGCATTCTCAGAAACTGCTCTGTGATGATTGCATTCAACTCCCAGAGTTGAACATTCCTTTTGATAGAGCAGTTTGCAAACACTCTTTTTGTAGAATCTGCAAGTGGAGATTTGGACCGCTTTGAGGCCTGTGGTAGTGAAGGAAAGAACTTCATATAAAAACCAGACGGTAGCACTCTCAGAAAATTCTTTGTGACGATGGAGTTTAACTCAGGGAGCTGAACATTCGTTATGATGGAGCAGTTTCCAAACACACGTTTTGTAGAATCTGCGAGGGGATATTTGGACCTCTCTGAGGATTTCGTTGGAAACGGGATCAACTTCCCATAACTGAACGGAAGCAAACTCAGAACATTCTTTGTGATGTTTGTATTCAACTCACAGAGTTGAACCTTCCTTTGATAGTTCAGGTTTGCAACACCCTTGTAGTAGAATCTGCAATTGTATATTTTGACCACTTTGTAGCCTTCGTTTGAAACGTCTATATCTTCACATCAAACCTAGACAGAAGCATTCTCAGAAAGTTTTCTGCGATGACTGCATTCAACTCACAGAGTTGAACAATCCTTCTGATGGAGCAGTTTTGAAACCCTCTTTCTTTGGAATCTGCAAGGGGATATGTGGACCTCTTTGAAGATTTCACTGGAAACGGGATCATCTTCACATAAAAACTAAACAGAAGCATTCTCGGAAACTATTTTGTGATGTTTGTATTCAACTCCCAGAGTTGAACTTTCCTTTTGAAAGAGCAGCTATGAAACACTCTTTTTCGAGAATCTGCAAGTGGACGTTTGGAGGGCTTTGAGGCCTGTGGTGGAAAAGGAAATATCTTCACACAAAAACCAGATAGAAGCATTCTCAGAAACGACTTTGTGAGGATGGCATTCAACTCATGGAGTTGAACAATCCTATTGATAGAGCAGATTGGAATCACTCTTTTTGTAGAATCTGCAAATGGAGATTTGGACTGCTTTGAGGCCTACGGTAGTACAGGAAGGAACTTCATATAAAAGGCAAACGGAAGCATTCTCAGAATATTCTTTGTGATGATGGAGTTTCACTCACAGAGCTGAACATGCCTTTTGATGGAGCAGTTTCCAAATACACTTTTGGTAGAATCTGCAGGTGGATATTTGGAGCTCTCTGAGGATTTCGTTGGAAACGGGAATAATTTCCCATAACTAAACACAAACACTCTGAGAAAGTTCTTCATGATGAATGCATTTAACTCGCAGAGATGAACCTGCCTTTGAGAGTTCAGGTTCGAAACACTCTTTCTGTATAATTTGCAAGTGGATATTTGGACCACTGGGTGGCCTTCGTTCGAAACGGGTATATGTTCACGTAAAAACTAAAGAGAAGCATTCTCAGAAACTTCTGAGTGATGATTGCATTCAAGTCACACAGTTGAACCCTCCTTTTGATGGAGCAGTTTTGAAACTGTCTTTTTGTAGAATCTGTAAGTGGATACGTGGACCTCTTTGAAGATTTCTTTGGAAACGGGAATATTTCCACAGAAAAACTAAACTGAAGCATTCTCAGAAACCGCTTTGTGATGTTTGTGTTCGAGCCACAGAGTTTAACATTGCTTTTCATAGAGCAGTTTTGAAATATTCTTTTCGCAGAATCTGCAAGTGGACATTTGGAGCGCTTTCAGGCCTGTGGTGGAAAAGGCCTGAAAGCCTTTTCCTTTATCTTCACAGAAAGACGAGAGAGAAGCATTGTCAGAAACTTCTTTGTGATGATTGCATTCAACTCACAGAGTTGAAGATTCCTTTTGAAACAGCAGTTTCGAAACACTCTTTCTGTGGGATCCGCAAGGGGATATTTGGACCTCTTTGAAGGTTTCGTTGGAAACGGGATAATCTTCACCTAAAAGCTAAACGGAAGCATTCTCAGAAACTTCTTTGGGATGTTTGCATTCACCTCACAGAGTTGAACTTTCCCTTTGATAGCGCAGCTTTGACACACTTTTTCTACAATGTGCAAGTGGCTATTTAGCGGACTTGGAGGACTGTGTTGGAAAAGGAAATATCTTCTCCTAAAAACGACATAGAAGCATTCTCAGAAACTGCTCTGTGATGATTGCATTCAACTCCCAGAGTTGAACATTCCTTTTGATAGAGCAGTTTGCAAACACTCTTTTTGTAGAATCTGCAAGTGGAGATTTGGACCGCTTTGAGGCCTGTGGTAGTAAAGGGAAGAACTTCATATAAAAACCAGACGGTAGCACTCTCAGAAAATTCTTTGTGACGATGGAGTTTAACTCAGGGAGCTGAACATTCGTTATGATGGAGCAGTTTCCAAACACACGTTTTGTAGAATCTGCAAGGGGATATTTGGACCTCTCTGAGGATTTCGTTGGAAACGGGATCAACTTCCCATAACTGAACGGAAGCAAACTCAGAACATTCTTTGTGATGTTTGTATTCAACTCACAGAGTGGAACCTTCCTTTGATAGTTCAGGTTTGCAACACCCTTGTAGTAGAATCTGCAAGTGTATATTTTGACCACTTTGTAGCCTTCGTTTGAAACGTCTATATCTTCACCTCAAACCTAGACAGAAGCATTCTCAGAAAGTTTTCTGCGATGACTGCATTCAACTCACAGAGTTGAACAATCCTTCTGATGGAGCAGTTTTGAAACCCTCTTTCTTTGGAATCTGCAAGGGGATATGTGGACCTCTTTGAAGATTTCACTGGAAACGGGATCATCTTCACATAAAAACTAAACAGAAGCATTCTCGGAAACTACTTTGTGATGTTTGTATTCAACTCCCAGAGTTGAACTTTCCTTTTGAAAGAGCAGCTATAAAACACTCTTTTTCGAGAATCTGCAAGTGGACGTTTGGAGGGCTTTGAGGCCTGTGGTGGAAAAGGAAATATCTTCACACAAAAACCAGATAGAAGCATTCTCAGAAACTACTTTGTGAGGATGGCATTCAACTCATGGAGTTGAACAATCCTATTGATAGAGCAGATTGGAATCACTCTTTTTATAGAATCTGCAAATGGAGATTTGGACTGCTTTGAGGCCTACGGTAGTACAGGAAGGAACTTCATATAAAAGGCAAACGGAAGCATTCTCAGAATATTCATTGTGATGATGGAGTTTCACTCACAGAGCTGAACATGCCTTTTGATGGAGCAGTTTCCAAATACACTTTTGGTAGAATCTGCAGGTGGATATTTGGAGCTCTCTGAGGATTTCGTTGGAAACGGGAATAATTTCCCATAACTAAACACAAACACGCTGAGAAAGTTCTTCATGTTGAATGCATTGAACTCGCAGAGATGAACCTGCCTTTGAGAGTTCAGGTTCGAAACACTCTTTCTGTAGAATCTGCAAGTGGATATTTGGACCACTGGGTGGCCTTCGTTCGAAACGGGTATATGTTCACGTAAAAACTAAAGAGAAGCATTCTCAGAAACTTCTGAGTGATGATTGCATTCAAGTCACACAGTTGAACCCTCCTTTTGATGGAGCAGTTTTGAAACTGTCTTTTTGTAGAATCTGTAAGTGGATGCGTGGACCTCTTTGAAGATTTCTTTGGAAACGGGAATATTTCCACAGAAAAACTAAACTGAAGCATTCTCAGAAACTGCTTTGTGATGTTTGTGTTCGAGCCACAGAGTTTAACATTGCTTTTCATAGAGCAGTTTTGAAATATTCTTTTCGCAGAATCTGCAAGTGGACATTTGGAGCGCTTTCAGGCCTGTGGTGGAAAAGGCCTGAAAGCCTTTTCCTTTATCTTCACAGAAAGACGAGAGAGAAGCATTGTCAGAAACTTCTTTGTGATGATTGCATTCAACTCACAGAGTTGAACATTCCTTTTGAAACAGCAGTTTCGAAACACTCTTTCTGTGGGATCCGCAAGGGGATATTTGGACCTCTTTGAAGGTTTCGTTGGAAACGGGATAATCCTCACCTAAAAGCTAAACGGAAGCATTCTCAGAAACTTCTTTGGGATGTTTGCATTCACCTCACAGAGTTGAACTTTCCCTTTGATAGCGCAGCTTTGACACACTTTTTCTACAATGTGCAAGTGGCTATTTAGCGGGCTTGGAGGACTGTGTTGGAAAAGGAAATATCTTCTCCTAAAAACGACATAGAAGCATTCTCAGAAACTGCTCTGTGATGATTGCATTCAACTCCCAGAGTTGAACATTCCTTTTGATAGAGCAGTTTGCAAACACTCTTTTTGTAGAATCTGCAAGTGGAGATTTGGACCGCTTTGAGGCCTGTGGTAGTGAAGGAAAGAACTTCATATAAAAACCAGACGGTAGCACTCTCAGAAAATTCTTTGTGACGATGGAGTTTAACTCAGGGAGCTGAACATTCGTTATGATGGAGCAGTTTCCAAACACACGTTTTGTAGAATCTGCGAGGGGATATTTGGACCTCTCTGAGGATTTCGTTGGAAACGGGATCAACTTCCCATAACTGAACGGAAGCAAACTCAGAACATTCTTTGTGATGTTTGTATTCAACTCACAGAGTTGAACCTTCCTTTGATAGTTCAGGTTTGCAACACCCTTGTAGTAGAATCTGCAAGTGTATATTTTGACCACTTTGTAGCCTTCGTTTGAAACGTCTATATCTTCACATCAAACCTAGACAGAAGCATTCTCAGAAAGTTTTCTGCGATGACTGCATTCAACTCACAGAGTTGAACAATCCTTCTGATGGAGCAGTTTTGAAACCCTCTTTCTTTGGAATCTGCAAGGGGATATGTGGACCTCTTTGAAGATTTCACTGGAAACGGGATCATCTTCACATAAAAACTAAACAGAAGCATTCTCGGAAACTATTTTGTGATGTTTGCATTCAACTCCCAGACTTGAACTTTCCTTTTGAAAGAGCAGCTATGAAACACTCTTTTTCGAGAATCTGCAAGTGGACGTTTGGAGGGCTTTGAGGCCTGTGGTGGAAAAGGAAATATCTTCACACAAAAACCAGATAGAAGCATTCTCAGAAACTACTTTGTGAGGATGGCATTCAACTCATGGAGTTGAACAATCCTATTGATAGAGCAGATTGGAATCACTCTTTTTATAGAATCTGCAAATGGAGATTTGGACTGCTTTGAGGCCTACGGTAGTACAGGAAGGAACTTCAGATAAAAGGCAAACGGAAGCATTCTCAGAATATTCTTTGTGATGATGGAGTTTCACTCACAGAGCTGAACATGCCTTTTGATGGAGCAGTTTCCAAATACACTTTTGGTAGAATCTGCAGGTGGATATTTGGAGCTCTCTGAGGATTTCGTTGGAAACGGGAATAATTTCCCATAACTAAACACAAACACTCTGAGAAAGTTCTTCATGATGAATGCATTTAACTCGCAGAGATGAACCTGCCTTTGAGAGTTCAGGTTCGAAACACTCTTTCTGTATAATCTGCAAGTGGATATTTGGACCACTGGGTGGCCTTCGTTCGAAACGGGTATATGTTCACGTAAAAACTAAAGAGAAGCATTCTCAGAAACTTCTGAGTGATGATTGCATTCAAGTCACACAGTTGAACCCTCCTTTTGATGGAGCAGTTTTGAAACTGTCTTTTTGTAGAATCTGTAAGTGGATACGTGGACCTCTTTGAAGATTTCTTTGGAAACGGGAATATTTCCACAGAAAAACTAAACTGAAGCATTCTCAGAAACTGCTTTGTGATGTTTGTGTTCGAGCCACAGAGTTTAACATTGCTTTTCATAGAGCAGTTTTGAAATATTCTTTTGGCAGAATCTGCAAGTGGACATTTGGAGCGCTTTCAGGCCTGTGGTGGAAAAGGCCTGAAAGCCTTTTCCTTTATCTTCACAGAAAGACGAGAGAGAAGCATTGTCAGAAACTTCTTTGTGATGATTGCATTCAACCCACAGAGTTGAAGATTCCTTTTGAAACAGCAGTTTCGAAACACTCTTTCTGTGGGATCCGCAAGGGGATATTTGGACCTCTTTGAAGATTTCGTTGGAAACGGGATAATCTTCACCTAAAAGCTAAACGGAAGCATTCTCAGAAACTTCTTTGGGATGTTAGCATTCACCTCACAGAGTTGAACTTTCCCTTTGATAGCGCAGCTTCGACACACTTTTTCTACAATGTGCAAGTGGATATTTAGCGGGCTTGGAGGACTGTGTTGGAAAAGGAAATATCTTCTCCTAAAAACGACATAGAAGCATTCTCAGAAACTGCTCTGTGATGATTGCATTCAACTCCCAGAGTTGAACATTCCTTTTGATAGAGCAGTTTGCAAACACTCTTTTTGTAGAATCTGCAAGTGGAGATTTGGACCGCTTTGAGGCCTGTGGTAGTGAAGGAAAGAACTTCATATAAAAACCAGACGGTAGCACTCTCAGAAAATTCTTTGTGACGATGGAGTTTAACTCAGGGAGCTGAACATTCGTTATGATGGAGCAGTTTCCAAACACACGTTTTGTAGAATCTGCGAGGGGATATTTGGACCTCTCTGAGGATTTCTTTGGAAACGGGATCAACTTCCCATAACTGAACGGAAGCAAACTCAGAACATTCTTTGTGATGTTTGTATTCAACTCACAGAGTTCAACCTTCCTTTGATAGTTCAGGTTTGCAACACCCTTGTAGTAGAATCTGCAAGTGTATATTTTGACCACTTTGTAGCCTTCGTTTGAAACGTCTATATCTTCACATCAAACCTAGACAGAAGCATTCTCAGAAAGTTTTCTGCGATGACTGCATTCAACTCACAGAGTTGAACAATCCTTCTGATGGAGCAGTTTTGAAACCCTCTTTCTTTGGAATCTGCAAGGGGATATGTGGACCTCTTTGAAGATTTCACTGGAAACGGGATCATCTTCACATAAAAACTAAACAGAAGCATTCTCGGAAACTACTTTGTGATGTTTGTATTCAACTCAAAGAGTTGAACTTTCCTTTTGAAAGAGCAGCTATGAAACACTCTTTTTCGAGAATCTGCAAGTGGACGTTTGGAGGGCTTTGAGGCCTGTGGTGGAAAAGGAAATATCTTCACACAAAAACCAGATAGAAGCATTCTCAGAAACTACTTTGTGAGGATGGCATTCAACTCATGGAGTTGAACAATCCTATTGATAGAGCAGATTGGAATCACTCTTTTTATAGAATCTGCAAATGGAGATTTGGACTGCTTTGAGGCCTACGGTAGTACAGGAAGGAACTTCATATAAAAGGCAAACGGAAGCATTCTCAGAATATTCTTTGTGATGATGGAGTTTCACTCACAGAGCTGAACATGCCTTTTGATGGAGCAGTTTCCAAATACACTTTTGGTAGAATCTGCAGGTGGATATTTGGAGCTCTCTGAGGATTTCGTTGGAAACGGGAATAATTTCCCATAACTAAACACAAACACGCTGAGAAAGTTCTTCATGATGAATGCATTGAACTCGCAGAGATGAACCTGCCTTTGAGAGTTCAGGTTCGAAACACTCTTTCTGTAGAATCTGCAAGTGGATATTTGGACCACTGGGTGGCCTTCTTTCGAAACGGGTATATGTTCACGTAAAAACTAAAGAGAAGCGTTCTCAGAAACTTCTGAGTGATGATTGCATTCAAGTCACACAGTTGAACCCTCCTTTTGATTGAGCAGTTTTGAAACTGTCTTTTTGTAGAATCTGTAAGTGGATGCGTGGACCTCTTTTGAAGATTTCTTTGGAAACGGGAATATTTCCACAGAAAAACTAAACTGAAGCATTCTCAGAAACCGCTTTGTGATGTTTGTGTTCGAGCCACAGAGTTTAACATTGCTTTTCATAGAGCAGTTTTGAAATATTCTTTTCGCAGAATCTGCAAGTGGACATTTGGAGCGCTTTCAGGCCTGTGGTGGAAAAGGCCTGAAAGCCTTTTCCTTTATCTTCACAGAAAGACGAGAGAGAAGCATTGTCAGAAACTTCTTTGTGATGATTGCATTCAACTCACAGAGTTGAAGATTCCTTTTGAAACAGCAGTTTCGAAACACTCTTTCTGTGGGATCCGCAAGGGGATATTTGGACCTCTTTGAAGCTTTCGTTGGAAACGGGATAATCTTCACCTAAAAGCTAAACGGAAGCACTCTCAGAAACTTCTTTGGGATGTTTGCATTCACCTCACAGAGTTGAACTTTCCCTTTGATAGCGCAGCTTTGACACACTTTTTCTACAATGTGCAAGTGGATATTTAGCGGGCGTGGAGGACTGTGTTGGAAAAGGAAATATCTTCTCCTAAAAACGACATAGAAGCATTCTCAGAAACTGCTCTGTGATGATTGCATTCAACTCCCAGAGTTGAACATTCCTTTTGATAGAGCAGTTTGCAAACACTCTTTTTGTAGAATCTGCAAGTGGAGATTTGGACCGCTTTGAGGCCTGTGGTAGTAAAGGAAAGAACTTCATATAAAAACTAGACGGTAGCACTCTCAGAAAATTCTTTGTGACGATGGAGTTTAACTCAGAGAGCTGAACATTCGTTATGATGGAGCAGTTTCCAAACACACGTTTTGCAGAATCTGCAAGGGGATATTTGGACCTCTCTGAGGATTTCGTTGGAAACGGGATCAACTTCCCATAAGTGAACGGAAGCAAACTCAGAACATTCTTTGTGATGTTTGTATTCAACTCACAGAGTTGAACCTTCCTTTGATAGTTCAGGTTTGCAACACCCTTGTAGTAGAATCTGCAAGTGTATATTTTGACCACTTTGTAGCCTTCGTTTGAAACGTCTATATCTTCACATCAAACCTAGACAGAAGCATTCTCAGAAAGTTTTCTGCGATGACTGCATTCTACTCACAGAGTTGAGCAATCCTTTTGATGGAGCAGTTTTGAAACCCACTTTCTTTGGAATCTGCAAGGGCATATGTGGACCTCTTTGAAGATTTCACTGGAAACGGGATCATCTTCACATAAGAACTAAACAGAAGCATTCTCGGAAACTACTTTGTGATGTTTGTATTCAACTCCCAGAGTTGAACTTTCCTTTTGAAAGAGCAGCTATGAAACACTCTTTTTCGAGAATCTGCAAGTGGATGTTTGGAGGGCTTTGAGGCCTGTGGTGGAAAAGGAAATATCTTCACATAAAAACTAGATAGAAGCATTCTCAGAAACGACTTTGTGAGGAAGGCATTCAACTCATGGAGTTGAACAATCCTATTGATAGAGCAGATTGGAATCACTCTTTTTGTAGAATCTGCAAATGGAGATTTGGACTGCTTTGAGGCCTACGGTAGTATAGGAAGGAACTTCATGTAAAAGGCAAACGGAAGCATTCTCAGAATATTCTTTGTGATGATGGAGTTTCACTCACAGAGCTGAACATGCCTTTTGATGGAGCAGTTTCCAAATACACTTTTGGTAGAATCTGCAGGTGGATATTTGGACCTCTCGGAGGATTTCGTTGGAAACGGGAATAATTTCCCATAACTAAACACAAACACTCTGAGAAAGTTCTTCATGATGAATGCATTTAACTCGCAGAGATGAACCTGCCTTTGAGAGTTCAGGTTCCAAACACTCTTTCTGTAGAATCTGCAAGTGGATATTTGGACCACTGGGTGGCCTTCGTTCGAAACGGGTATATGTTCACGTAAAAACTAAAGAGAAGCATTCTCAGAAACTTCTGAGTGATGATTGCATTCAAGTCACACAGTTGAACCCTCCTTTTGATGGAGCAGTTTTGAAACTGTCTTTTTGTAGAATCTGTAAGTGGATACGTGGACCTCTTTGAAGATTTCTTTGGAAACGGGAATATTTCCACAGAAAAACTAAACTGAAGCATTCTCAGAAACTGCTTTGTGATGTTTGTGTTCGAGCCACAGAGTTTAACATTGCTTTTCATAGAGCAGTTTTGAAATATTCTTTTCGCAGAATCTGCAAGTGGACATTTGGAGCGCTTTCAGGCCTGTGGTGGCAAAGGCCTGAAAGCCTTTTCCTTTATCTTCACAGAAAGACGAGAGAGAAGCATTGTCAGAAACTTCTTTGGGATGATTGCATTCAACTCACAGAGTTGAAGATTCCTTTTGAAACAGCAGTTTCGAAACACTCTTTCTGTGGGATCCGCAAGGGGATATTTGGACCTCTTTGAAGGTTTCGTTGGAAACGGGATAATCTTCACCTAAAAGCTAAACGGAAGCATTCTCAGAAACTTCTTTGGGATGTTTGCATTCACCTCACAGAGTTGAACTTTCCCTTTGATAGCGCAGCTTTGACACACTTTTTCTACAATGTGCAAGTGGCTATTTAGCGGGCTTGGAGGACTGTGTTGGAAAAGGAAATATCTTCTCCTAAAAACGACATAGAAGCATTCTCAGAAACTGCTCTGTGATGATTGCATTCAACTCCCAGAGTTGAACATTCCTTTTGATAGAGCAGTTTGCAAACACTCTTTTTGTAGAATCTGCAAGTGGAGATTTGGACCGCTTTGAGGCCTGTGGTAGTGAAGGAAAGAACTTCATATAAAAACCAGACGGTAGCACTCTCAGAAAATTCTTTGTGACGATGGAGTTTAACTCAGGGAGCTGAACATTCGTTATGATGGAGCAGTTTCCAAACACACGTTTTGTAGAATCTGCAAGGGGATATTTGGACCTCTCTGAGGATTTCGTTGGAAACGGGATCAACTTCCCATAACTGAACGGAAGCAAACTCAGAACATTCTTTGTGATGTTTGTATTCAATTCACAGAGTTGAACCTTCCTTTGATAGTTCAGGTTTGCAACACCCTTGTAGTAGAATCTGCAAGTGTATATTTTGACCACTTTGTAGCCTTCGTTTGAAACGTCTATATCTTCACATCAAACCTAGACAGAAGCATTCTCAGAAAGTTTTCTGCGATGACTGCATTCAACTCACAGAGTTGAACAATCCTTCTGATGGAGCAGTTTTGAAACCCTCTTTCTTTGGAATCTGCAAGGGGATATGTGGACCTCTTTGAAGATTTCACTGGAAACGGGATCATCTTCACATAAAAACTAAACAGAAGCATTCTCGGAAACTATTTTGTGATGTTTGCATTCAACTCCCAGAGTTGAACTTTCCTTTTGAAAGAGCAGCTATGAAACACTCTTTTTCGAGAATCTGCAAGTGGACGTTTGGAGGGCTTTGAGGCCTGTGGTGGAAAAGGAAATATCTTCACACAAAAACCAGATAGAAGCATTCTCAGAAACTACTTTGTGAGGATGGCATTCAAATCATGGAGTTGAACAATCCTATTGATAGAGCAGATTGGAATCACTCTTTTTATAGAATCTGCAAATGGAGATTTGGACTGCTTTGAGGCCTACGGTAGTACAGGAAGGAACTTCATATAAAAGGCAAACGGAAGCATTCTCAGAATATTCTTTGTGATGATGGAGTTTCACTCACAGAGCTGAACATGCCTTTTGATGGAGCAGTTTCCAAATACACTTTTGGTAGAATCTGCAGGTGGATATTTGGAGCTCTCTGAGGATTTCGTTGGAAACGGGAATAATTTCCCATAACTAAACACAAACACTCTGAGAAAGTTCTTCATGATGAATGCATTTAACTCGCAGAGATGAACCTGCCTTTGAGAGTTCAGGTTCGAAATACTCTTTCTGTATAATCTGCAAGTGGATATTTGGACCACTGGGTGGCCTTCGTTCGAAACGGGTATATGTTCACGTAAAAACTAAAGAGAAGCATTCTCAGAAACTTCTGAGTGATGATTGCATTCAAGTCACACAGTTGAACCCTCCTTTTGATGGAGCAGTTTTGAAACTGTCTTTTTGTAGAATCTGTAAGTGGATACGTGGACCTCTTTGAAGATTTCTTTGGAAACGGGAATATTTCCACAGAAAAACTAAACTGAAGCATTCTCAGAAACGGCTTTGTGATGTTTGTGTTCGAGCCACAGAGTTTAACATTGCTTTTCATAGAGCAGTTTTGAAATATTCTTTTGGCAGAATCTGCAAGTGGACATTTGGAGCACGTTCAGGCCTGTGGTGGAAAAGGCCTGAAAGCCTTTTCCTTTACCTTCACAGAAAGACGAGAGAGAAGCATTGTCAGAAACTTCTTTGTGATGATTGCATTCAACTCACAGAGTTGAAGATTCCTTTTGAAACAGCAGTTTCGAAACACTCTTTCTGTGGGATCCGCGAGGGGATATTTGGACCTCTTTGAAGATTTCGTTGGAAACGGGATAATCTTCACCTAAAAGCTAAACGGAAGCATTCTCAGAAACTTCTTTGGGATGTTTGCATTCACCTCACAGAGTTGAACTTTCCCTTTGATAGCGCAGCTTTGACACACTTTTTCTACAATGTGCAAGTGGCTATTTAGCGGGCTTGGAGGACTGTGTTGGAAAAGGAAATATCTTCTCCTAAAAACGACATAGAAGCATTCTCAGAAACTGCTCTGTGATGATTGCATTCAACTCCCAGAGTTGAACATTCCTTTTGATAGAGCAGTTTGCAAACACTCTTTTTGTAGAATCTGCAAGTGGAGATTTGGACCGCTTTGAGGCCTGTGGTAGTGAAGGAAAGAACTTCATATAAAAACCAGACGGTAGCACTCTCAGAAAATTCTTTGTGACGATGGAGTTTAACTCAGGGAGCTGAACATTCGTTATGATGGAGCAGTTTCCCAACACACGTTTTGTAGAATCTGCAAGGGGATATTTGGACCTCTCTGAGGATTTTGTTGGAAACGGGATCAACTTCCCATAACTGAACGGAAGCAAACTCAGAACATTCTTTGTGATGTTTGTATTCAACTCACAGAGTTGAACCTTCCTTTGATAGTTCAGGTTTGCAACACCCTTGTAGCAGAATCTGCAAGTGTATATTTTGACCACTTTGTAGCCTTCGTTTGAAACGTCTATATCTTCACATCAAACCTAGACAGAAGCATTCTCAGAAAGTTTTCTGCGATGACTGCATTCAACTCACAGAGTTGAACAATCCTTCTGATGGAGCAGTTTTGAAACCCTCTTTCTTTGGAATCTGCAAGGGGATATGTGGACCTCTTTGAAGATTTCACTGGAAACGGGATCATCTTCACATAAAAACTAAACAGAAGCATTCTCGGAAACTACTTTGTGATGTTTGTATTCAACTGCCAGATTTGAACTTTCCTTTTGAAAGAGCAGCTATGAAACACTCTTTTTCGAGAATCTGCAAGTGGACGCTTGGAGGGCTTTGAGGCCTGTGGTGGAAAAGGAAATATCTTCACATAAAAACTAGATAGAAGCATTCTCAGAAACGACTTTGTGAGGATGGCATTCAACTCATGGAGTTGAACAATCCTATTGATAGAGCAGATTGGAATCACTCTTTTTGTAGAATCTGCAAATGGAGATTTGGACTGCTTTGAGGCCTACGGTCGTATAGGAAGGAACTTCATATAAAAGGCAAACGGAAGCATTCTCAGAATATTCTTTGTGATGATGGAGTTTCACTCACAGAGCTGAACATGCCTTTTGATGGAGCAGTTTCCAAATACACTTTTGGTAGAATCTGCAGGTGGATATTTGGACCTCTCTGAGGATTTCGTTGGAAACGGGAATAATTTCCCATAACTAAACACAAACACTCTGAGAAAGTTCTTCATGATGAATGCATTTAACTCGCAGAGATGAACCTGCCTTTGAGAGTTCAGGTTCGAAACACTCTTTCTGTAGAATCTGCAAGTGGATATTTGGACCACTGGCTGGCCTTCGTTCGAAACGGGTATATGTTCACGTAAAAACTAAAGAGAAGCATTCTCAGAAACTTGTGAGTGATGATTGCATTCAAGTCACACAGTTGAACCCTCCTTTTGATGGAGCAGTTTTGAAACTGTCTTTTTGTAGAATCTGTTAGTGGATACGTGGACCTCTTTGAAGATTTCTTTGGAAACGGGAATATTTCCACAGAAAAACTAAACTGAAGCATTCTCAGAAACTGCTTTGTGATGTTTGTGTTCGAGCCGCAGAGTTTAACATTGCTTTTCATAGAGCAGTTTTGAAATATTCTTTTGGCAGAATCTGCAAGTGGACATTTGGAGCGCTTTCAGGCCTGTGGTGGAAATGGCCTGAAAGCCTTTTCCTTTATCTTCACAGAAAGACGAGAGAGAAGCATTGTCAGAAACTTCTTTGTGATGATTGCATTCAACTCACAGAGTTGAAGATTCCTTTTGAAACAGCAGTTTCGAAACACTCTTTCTGTGGGATCCGCAAGGGGATATTTGGACCTCTTTGAAGATTTCGTTGGAAACGGGATAATCTTCACTTAAAGCTAAACGGAAGCATTCTCAGAAACTTCTTTGGGATGTTTGCATTCACCTCACAGAGTTGAACTTTCCCTTTGATAGCGCAGCTTCGACACACTTTTTCTACAATGTGCAAGTGGATATTTAGCGGGCTTGGAGGACTGTGTTGGAAAAGGAAATATCTTCTCCTAAAAACGACATAGAAGCATTCTCAGAAACTGCTCTGTGATGATTGCATTCAACTCCCAGAGTTGAACATTCCTTTTGATAGAGCAGTTTGCAAACACTCTTTTTGTAGAATCTGCAAGTGGAGATTTGGACCGCTTTGAGGCCTGTGGTAGTGAAGGAAAGAGCTTCATATAAAAACCAGACGGTAGCACTCTCAGAAAATTCTTTGTGACGATGGAGTTTAACTCAGGGAGCTGAACATTCGTTATGATGGAGCAGTTTCCAAACACACGTTTTGTAGAATCTGCGAGGGGATATTTGGACCTCTCTGAGGATTTCGTTGGAAACGGGATCAACTTCCCATAACTGAACGGAAGCAAACTCAGAACATTCTTTGTGATGTTTGTATTCAACTCACAGAGTTGAACCTTCCTTTGATAGTTCAGGTTTGCAACACCCTTGTAGTAGAATCTGCAAGTGTATATTTTGACCACTTTGTAGCCTTCGTTTGAAACGTCTATATCTTCACATCAAACCTAGACAGAAGCATTCTCAGAAAGTTTTCTGCGATGACTGCATTCAACTCACAGAGTTGAACAATCCTTCTGATGGAGCAGTTTTGAAACCCTCTTTCTTTGGAATCTGCAAGGGGATATGTGGACCTCTTTGAAGATTTCACTGGAAACGGGATCATCTTCACATAAAAACTAAACAGAAGCATTCTCGGAAACTATTTTGTGATGTTTGCATTCAACTCCCAGAGTTGAACTTTCCTTTTGAAAGAGCAGCTATGAAACACTCTTTTTCGAGAATCTGCAAGTGGACGTTTGGAGGGCTTTGAGGCCTGTGGTGGAAAAGGAAATATCTTCACACAAAAACCAGATAGAAGCATTCTCAGAAACTACTTTGTGAGGATGGCATTCAACTCACGGAGTTGAACAATCCTATTGATAGAGCAGATTGGAAACACTCTTTTTGTAGAATCTGTAAATGGAGATTTGGACTGCTTTGAGGCCTACGGTAGTATAGGAAGGAACTTCATATAAAAAGCAAACGGAAGCATTCTCAGAATATTCTTTGTGATGATGGAGTTTCACTCACAGAGCTTAACATGCCTTTTGTTGGAGCAGTTTCCAAATACACTTTTGGTAGAATCTGCAGGTGGATATTTGGAGCTCTCTGAGGATTTCGTTGGAAACGGGAATAATTTCCCATAACTAAACACAAACACTCTGAGAAAGTTCTTCATGATGAATGCATTTAACTCGCAGAGATGAACCTGCCTTTGAGAGTTCAGGTTCGAAACACTCTTTCTGTAGAATCTGCAAGTGGATATTTGGACCACTGGCTGGCCTTCGTTCGAAACGGGTATATGTTCACGTAAAAACTAAAGAGAAGCATTCTCAGAAACTTCTGAGTGATGATTGCATTCAAGTCACACGGTTGAACCCTCCTTTTGATGGAGCAGTTTTGAAACTGTCTTTTTGTAGAATCTGTAAGTGGATACGTGGACCTCTTTGAAGATTTCTTTGGAAACGGGAATATTTCCACAGAAAAACTAAACTGAAGCATTCTCAGAAACTGCTTTGTGATGTTTGTGTTCGAGCCACAGAGTTTAACATTGCTTTTCATAGAGCAGTTTTGAAATATTCTTTTCGCAGAATCTGCAAGTGGACATTTGGAGCGCTTTCAGGCCTGTGGTGGAAAAGGCCTGAAAGCCTTTTCCTTTATCTTCACAGAAAGACGAGAGAGAAGCATTGTCAGAAACTTCTTTGTGATGATTGCATTCAACTCACAGAGTTGAAGATTCCTTTTGAAACAGCAGTTTCGAAACACTCTTTCTGTGGGATCCGCAAGGGGATATTTGGACCTCTTTGAAGCTTTCGTTGGAAACGGGATAATCTTCACCTAAAAGCTAAACGGAAGCATTCTCAGAAACTTCTTTGGGATGTTTGCATTCACCTGACAGAGTTGAACTTTCCCTTTGATAGCGCAGCTTTGACACACTTTTTCCACAATGTGCAAGTGGCTATTTAGCGGGCTTGGGGGACTGTGTTGGAAAAGGAAATATCTTCTCCTAAAAACGACATAGAAGCATTCTCAGAAACTGCTCTGTGATGATTGCATTCAACTCCCAGAGTTGAACATTCCTTTTGATAGAGCAGTTTGCAAACACTCTTTTTGTAGAATCTGCAAGTGGAGATTTGGACCGCTTTGAGGCCTGTGGTAGTGAAGGAAAGAACTTCATATAAAAACCAGACGGTAGCACTCTCAGAAAATTCTTTGTGACGATGGAGTTTAACTCAGGGAGCTGAACATTCGTTATGATGGAGCAGTTTCCAAACACACGTTTTGTAGAATCTGCAAGGGGATATTTGGACCTCTCTGAGGATTTCGTTGGAAACGGGATCAACTTCCCATAACTGAACGGAAGCAAACTCAGAACATTCTTTGTGATGTTTGTATTCAACTCACAGAGTTGAACCATCCTTTGATAGTTCAGGTTTGTAACACCCTTGTAGTAGAATCTGCAAGTGTATATTTTGACCACTTTGTAGCCTTCGTTTGAAACGTCTATATCTTCACATCAAACCTAGACAGAAGCATTCTCAGAAAGTTTTCTGCGATGACTGCATTCAACTCACAGAGTTGAACAATCCTATTGATGGAGCAGTTTTGAAACCCTCTTTCTTTGGAATCTGCAAGGGGATATGTGGACCTCTTTGAAGATTTCACTGGAAACGGGATCATCTTCACATAAAAACTAAACAGAAGCATTCTCGGAAACTACTTTGTGATGTTTGTATTCAACTCCCAGAGTTGAACTTTCCTTTTGAAAGAGCAGCTATGAAACACTCTTTTTCGAGAATCTGCAAGTGGACGTTTGGAAGGCTTTGAGGCCTGTGGTGGAAAAGGAAATATCTTCACATAAAAACTAGATAGAAGCATTCTCAGAAACGACTTTGTGAGGATGGCATTCAACTCATGGAGTTGAACAATCCTATTGATAGAGCAGATTGGAATCACTCTTTTTGTAGAATCTGCAAATGGAGATTTGGACTGCTTTGAGGCCTACGGTAGTATAGGAAGGAACTTCATATAAAAGGCAAACGGAAGCATTCTCAGAATATTCTTTGTGATGACGGAGTTTCACTCACAGAGCTGAACATGCCTTTTCATGGAGCAGTTTCCAAATACACTTTTGGTAGAATCTGCAGGTGGATATTTGGAGCTCTCTGAGGATTTCGTTGGAAACGGGAATAATTTCCCATAACTAAACACAAACACGCTGAGAAAGTTCTTCATGATGAATGCATTTAACTCGCAGAGATGAACCTGCCTTTGAGAGTTCAGGTTCAAAACACTCTTTCTGTAGAATCTGCAAGTGGATATTTGGACCACTGGCTGGCCTTCGTTCGAAACGGGTATATGTTCACGTAAAAACTAAAGAGAAGCATTCTCAGAAACTTCTGAGTGATGATTGCATTCAAGTCACACAGTTGAACCCTCCTTTTGATGGAGCAGTTTTGAAACTGTCTTTTTGTAGAATCTGTAAGTGCATACGTGGACCTCTTTGAAGATTTCTTTGGAAACGGGAATATTTCCACAGAAAAACTAAACTGAAGCATTCTCAGAAACCGCTTTGTGATGTTTGTGTTCGAGCCACAGAGTTTAACATTGCTTTTCATAGAGCAGTTTTGAAATATTCTTTTGGCAGAATCTGCAAGTGGACATTTGGAGCGCTTTCAGGCCTGTGGTGGAAAAGGCCTGAAAGCCTTTTCCTTTATCTTCACAGAAAGACGAGAGAGAAGCATTGTCAGAAACTTCTTTGTGATGATTGCATTCAACTCACAGAGTTGAAGATTCCTTTTGAAACAGCAGTTTCGAAACACTCTTTCTGTGGGATCCGCAAGGGGATATTTGGACCTCTTTGAAGGTTTCGTTGGAAACGGGATAATCTTCACCTAAAAGCTAAACGGAAGCATTCTCAGAAACTTCTTTGGGATGTTTGCATTCACCTCACAGAGTTGAACTTTCCCTTTGATAGCGCAGCTTTGACACACTTTTTCTACAATGTGCAAGTGGCTATTTAGCGGGCTTGGAGGACTGTGTTGGAAAAGGAAATATCTTCTCCTAAAAACGACATAGAAGCATTCTCAGAAACTGCTCTGTGATGATTGCATTCAACTCCCAGAGTTGAACATTCCTTTTGATAGAGCAGTTTGCAAACACTCTTTTTGTAGAATCTGCAAGTGGAGATTTGGACCGCTTTGAGGCCTGTGGTAGTGAAGGAAAGAACTTCATATAAAAACCAGACGGTAGCACTCTCAGAAAATTCTTTGTGACGATGGAGTTTAACTCAGGGAGCTGAACATTCGTTATGATGGAGCAGTTTCCAAACACACGTTTTGTAGAATCTGCGAGGGGATATTTGGACCTCTCTGAGGATTTCGTTGGAAACGGGATCAACTTCCCATAACTGAACGGAAGCAAACTCAGAACATTCTTTGTGATGTTTGTATTCAACTCACAGAGTTGAACCTTCCTTTGATAGTTCAGGTTTGCAACACCCTTGTAGTAGAATCTGCAAGTGTATATTTTGACCACTTTGTAGCCTTCGTTTGAACGTCTATATCTTCACATCAAACCTAGACAGAAGCATTCTCAGAAAGTTTTCTGCGATGACTGCATTCAACTCACAGAGTTGAACAATCCTTCTGATGGAGCAGTTTTGAAACCCTCTTTCTTTGGAATCTGCAAGGGGATATGTGGACCTCTTTGAAGATTTCACTGGAAACGGGATCATCTTCACATAAAAACTAAACAGAAGCATTCTCGGAAACTATTTTGTGATGTTTGTATTCAACTCCCAGAGTTGAACTTTCCTTTTGAAAGAGCAGCTATGAAACACTCTTTTTCGAGAATCTGCAAGTGGACGTTTGGAGGGCTTTGAGGCCTGTGGTGGAAAAGGAAATATCTTCACACAAAAACCAGATAGAAGCATTCTCAGAAACGACTTTGTGAGGATGGCATTCAACTCATGGAGTTGAACAATCCTATTGATAGAGCAGATTGGAATCACTCTTTTTGTAGAATCTGCAAATGGAGATTTGGACTGCTTTGAGGCCTACGGTCGTATAGGAAGGAACTTCATATAAAAGGCAAACGGGAAGCATTCTCAGAATATTCTTTGTGATGATGGAGTTTCACTCACAGAGCTGAACATGCCTTTTGATGGAGCAGTTTCCAAATACACTTTTGGTAGAATCTGCAGGTGGATATTTGGAGCTCTCTGAGGATTTCGTTGGAAACGGGAATAATTTCCCATAACTAAACACAAACACGCTGAGAAAGTTCTTCATGATGAATGCATTTAACTCGCAGAGATGAACCTGCCTTTGAGAGTTCAGGTTCGAAACACTCTTTCTGTAGAATCTGCAAGTGGATATTTGGACCACTGGGTGGCCTTCGTTCGAAACGGGTATATGTTCACGTAAAAACTAAAGAGAAGCATTCTCAGAAACTTCTGAGTGATGATTGCATTCAAGTCACACAGTTGAACCCTCCTTTTGATGGAGCAGTTTTGAAACTGTCTTTTTGTAGAATCTGTAAGTGGATACGTGGACCTCTTTGAAGATTTCTTTGGAAACGGGAATATTTCCACAGAAAAACTAAACTGAAGCATTCTCAGAAACTGATTTGTGATGTTTGTGTTCGAGCCACAGAGTTTAACATTGCTTTTCATAGAGCAGTTTTGAAACATTCTGTTCGCAGAATCTGCAAGAGGACATTTGGAGCGCTTTCAGGCCTGTGGTGGAAAAGGAAATATCTTCACATAAAGACGAGAGAGAAGCATTGTCAGAAACTTCTTTGTGATGATTGCATTCAACTCACAGAGTTGAAGATTCCTTTTGAAACAGCAGTTTCGAAACACTCTTTCTGTGGGATCCGCAAGGGGATATTTGGACCTCTTTGAAGATTTCGTTGGAAACGGGATAATCTTCACCTAAAAGCTAAACGGAAGCATTCTCAGAAACTTCTTTGGGATGTTTGCATTCACCTCACAGAGTTGAACTTTCCCTTTGATAGCGCAGCTTCGACACACTTTTTCTACAATGTGCAAGTGGCTATTTAGCGGGCTTGGAGGACTGTGTTGGAAAAGGAAATATCTTCTCCTAAAAACGACATAGAAGCATTCTCAGAAACTGCTCTGTGATGATTGCATTCAACTCCCAGAGTTGAACATTCCTTTTGATAGAGCAGTTTGCAAACACTCTTTTTGTAGAATCTGCAAGTGGAGATTTGGACCGCTTTGAGGCCTGTGGTAGTGAAGGAAAGAGCTTCATATAAAAACCAGACGGTAGCACTCTCAGAAAATTCTTTGTGACGATGGAGTTTAACTCAGGGAGCTGAACATTCGTTATGATGGAGCAGTTTCCAAACACACGTTTTGTAGAATCTGCAAGGGGATATTTGGACCTCTCTGAGGATTTCGTTGGAAACGGGATCAACTTCCCATAACTGAACGGAAGCAAACTCAGAACATTCTCTGCGATGTTTGTATTCAACCCACAGAGTTGAACCTTCCTTTGATAGTTCAGGTTTGCAACACCCTTTTAGTACAATCTGCAAGTGTATATTTTGACCACTTTGTAGCCTTCGTTTGAAACGTCTATATCTTCACATCAAACCTAGACAGAAGCATTCTCAGAAAGTTTTCTGCGATGACTGCATTCAACTCACAGAGTTGAACAATCCTTCTGATGGAGCAGTTTTGAAACCCTCTTTCTTTGGAATCTGCAAGGGGATATGTGGACCTCTTTGAAGATTTCACTGGAAACGGGATCATCTTCACATAAAAACTAAACAGAAGCATTCTCGGAAACTACTTTGTGATGTTTGTATTCAACTCCCAGAGTTGAACTTTCCTTTTGAAAGAGCAGCTATGAAACACTCTTTTTCGAGAATCTGCAAGTGGACGTTTGGAGGGATTTGAGGCCTGTGGTGGAAAAGGAAATATCTTCACATAAAAACTAGATAGAAGCATTCTCAGAAACGACTTGGTGAGGATGGCATTCAACTCATGGAGTTGAACAATCCTATTGATAGAGCAGATTGGAATCACTCTTTTTGTAGAATCTGCAAATGGAGATTTGGACTGCTTTGAGGCCTACGGTCGTATAGGAAGGAACTTCATATAAAAGGCAAACGGAAGCATTCTCAGAATATTCTTTGTGATGATGGAGTTTCACTCACAGAGCTGAACATGCCTTTTGATGGAGCAGTTTCCAAATACACTTTTGGTAGAATCTGCAGGTGGATATTTGGAGCTCTCTGAGGATTTCGTTGGAAATGGGAATAATTTCCCATAACTAAACACAAACACTCTGAGAAAGTTCTTCATGATGAATGCATTTAACTCGCAGAGATGAACCTGCCTTTGAGAGTTAATGTTCGAAACACTCTTTCTGTAGAATCTGCAAGTGGATATTTGGACCACTGGCTGGCCTTCGTTCGAAACGGGTATATGTTCACGTAAAAACTAAAGAGAAGCATTCTCAGAAACTTCTGAGTGATGATTGCATTCAAGTCACACAGTTGAACCCTCCTTTTGATGGAGCAGTTTTGAAACTGTCTTTTTGTAGAATCTGTAAGTGGATACGTGGACCTCTTTGAAGATTTCTTTGGAAACGGGAATATTTCCACAGAAAAACTAAACTGAAGCATTCTCAGAAACCGCTTTGTGATGTTTGTGTTCGAGCCACAGAGTTTAACATTGCTTTTCGTAGAGCAGTTTTGAAATATTCTTTTCGCAGAATCTGCAAGTGGACATTTGGAGCGCTTTCAGGCCTGTGGTGGAAAAGGCCTGAAAGCCTTTTCCTTTATCTTCACAGAAAGACGAGAGAGAAGCATTGTCAGAAACTTCTTTTTGATGATTGCATTCAACTCACAGAGTTGAAGATTCCTTTTGAAACAGCAGTTTCGAAACACTCTTTCTGTGGGATCCGCAAGGGGATATTTGGACCTCTTTGAAGGTTTCGTTGGAAACGGGATAATCTTCACCTAAAAGCTAAACGGAAGCATTCTCAGAAACTTCTTTGGGATGTTTGCATTCACCTCACAGAGTTGAACTTTCCCTTTGATAGCGCAGCTTTGACACACTTTTTCTACAATGTGCAAGTGGCTATTTAGCGGGCTTGGAGGACTGTGTTGGAAAAGGAAATATCTTCTCCTAAAAACGACATAGAAGCATTCTCAGAAACTGCTCTGTGATGATTGCATTCAACTCCCAGAGTTGAACATTCCTTTTGATAGAGCAGTTTGCAAACACTCTTTTTGTAGAATCTGCAAGTGGAGATTTGGACCGCTTTGAGGTCTGTGGTAGTGAAGGAAAGAGCTTCATATAAAAACCAGACGGTAGCACTCTCAGAAAATTCTTTGTGACGATGGAGTTTAACTCAGGGAGCTGAACATTCGTTATGATGGAGCAGTTTCCAAACACACATTTTGTAGAATCTGCAAGGGGATATTTGGACCTCTCTGAGGATTTCGTTGGAAACGGGATCAACTTCCCATAACTGAACGGAAGCAAACTTCGTAACATTCTTTGTGATGTTTGTATTCAACTCACAGAGTTGAACCTTCCTTTGATAGTTCAGGTTTGCAACACCCTTGTAGTAGAATCTGCAAGTGTATATTTTGACCACTTTGTAGCCTTCGTTTGAAACGTCTATATCTTCACATCAAACCTAGACAGAAGCATTCTCAGAAAGTTTTCTGCGATGACTGCATTCAACTCACAGAGTTGAACAATCCTTTTGATGGAGCAGTTTTGAAACCCTCTTTCTTTGGAATCTGCAAGGGGATATGTGGACCTCTTTGAAGATTTCACTGGAAACGGGATCATCTTCACATAAGAACTAAACAGAAGCATTCTCGGAAACTACTTTGTGATGTTTGTATTCAACTCCCAGAGTTGAACTTTCCTTTTGAAAGAGCAGCTATGAAACACTCTTTTTCGAGAATCTGCAAGTGGACGTTTGGAGGGCTTTGAGGCCTGTGGTGGAAAAGGAAATATCTTCACATAAAAACTAGATAGAAGCATTCTCAGAGACTACTTTGTGAGGATGGCATTCAACTCATGGAGTTGAACAATCCTATTGATAGAGCAGATTGGAATCACTCTTTTTGTAGGATCTGCAAATGGAGATTTGGACTGCTTTGAGGCCTACAGTAGTACAGGAAGGAACTTCATATAAAAGGCAAACGGAAGCATTCTCAGAATATTCTTTGTGATGATGGAGTTTCACTCACAGAGCTGAACATGCCTTTTGATGGAGCAGTTTCCAAATACACTTTTGGTAGAATCTGCAGGTGGATATTTGGACCTCTCTGAGGATTTCGTTGGAAACGGGAATAATTTCCCATACCTAAACACAAACACGCTGAGAAAGTTCTTCATGATGAATGCATTGAACTCGCAGAGATGAACCTGCCTTTGAGAGTTCAGGTTCGAAACACTCTTTCTGTAGAATCTGCAAGTGGATATTTGGACCACTGGGTGGCCTTCGTTCGAAACGGGTATATGTTCACGTAAAAACTAAAGAGAAGCGTTCTCAGAAACTTCTGAGTGATGATTGCACTCAAGTCACACGGTTGAACCCTCCTTATGATTGAGCAGTTTTGAAACTGTCTTTTTGTAGAATCTGTAAGTGGATGCGTGGACCTCTTTGAAGATTTCTTTCGAAACGGGAATATTTCCACAGAAAAACTAAACTGAAGCATTCTCAGAAACTGCTTTGTGATGTTTGTGTTCGAGCCACAGAGTTTAACATTGCTTTTCATAGAGCAGTTTTGAAATATTCTTTTGGCAGAATCTGCAAGTGGACATTTGGAGCGCTTTCAGGCCTGTGGTGGAAAAGGCCTGAAAGCCTTTTCCTTTATCTTCACAGAAAGACGAGAGAGAAGCATTGTCAGAAACTTCTTTGTGATGATTGCATTCAACTCACAGAGTTGAAGATTCCTTTTGAAACAGCAGTTTCGAAACACTCTTTCTGTGGGATCCGCAAGGGGATATTTGGACCTCTTTGAAGATTTCGTTGCCAACGGGATAATCTTCACTTAAAAGCAAAACGGAAGCATTCTCAGAAACTTCTTTGGGATGTTTGCATTCACCTCACAGAGTTGAACTTTCCCTTTGATAGCGCAGCTTCGACACACTTTTTCTACAATGTGCAAGTGGATATGTAGCGGGCTTGGAGGACTGTGTTGGAAAAGGAAATATCTTCTCCTAAAAACGACATAGAAGCATTCTCAGAAACTGCTCTGTGATGATTGCATTCAACTCCCAGAGTTGAACATTCCTTTTGATAGAGCAGTTTGCAAACACTCTTTTTGTAGAATCTGCAAGTGGAGATTTGGACCGCTTTGAGGCCTGTGGTAGTAACGGAAAGAACTTCATATAAAAACTAGACGGTAGCACTCTCAGAAAATTCTTTGTGACGATGGAGTTTAACTCAGAGAGCTGAACGTTCGTTATGATGGAGCAGTTTCCAAACACAAGTTTTGTAGAATCTGCAAGGGGATATTTGGACCTCTCTGAGGATTTCGTTGGAAACGGGATCAACTTCCCATAACTGAACGGAAGCAAACTCAGAACATTCTTTGTGATGTTTGTATTCAACACACAGAGTTGAACCTTCCTTTGATAGTTCAGGTTTGCATCACCCTTGTAGTAGAATCTGCAAGTGTATATTTTGAACACTTTGTAGCCTTCGTTTGAAACGTCTATATCTTCACCTCAAACCTAGACAGAAGCATTCTCAGAAAGTTTTCTGCGATGACTGCATTCAACTCACAGAGTTGAACAATCCTTTTGATGGAGCAGTTTTGAAACCCTCTTTCTTTGGAATCTGCAAGGGGATATGTGGACCTCTTTGAAGATTTCACTGGAAACGGGATCATACTTCACATAAGAACTAAACAGAAGCATTCTCGGAAACTATTTTGTGATGTTTGTATTCAACTCCCCAGAGTTGAACTTTCCTTTTGAAAGAGCAGCTATGAAACACTCTTTTTCGAGAATCTGCAAGTGGACGTTTGGAGGGCTTTGAGGCCTGTGGTGGAAAAGGAAATATCTTCACACAAAAACCAGATAGAAGCATTCTCAGAAACTACTTTGTGAGGATGGCATTCAACTCATGGAGTTGAACAATCCTATTGATAGAGCAGATTGGAATCACTCTTTTTATAGAATCTGCAAATGGAGATTTGGACTGCTTTGAGGCCTACGGTAGTACAGGAAGGAACTTCATATAAAAGGCAAACGGAAGCATTCTCAGAATATTCTTTGTGATGATGGAGTTTCACTCACAGAGCTGAACATGCCTTTTGATGGAGCAGTTTCCAAATACACTTTTGGTAGAATCTGCAGGTGGATATTTGGAGCTCTCTGAGGATTTCGTTGGAAAAGGGAATAATTTCCCATAACTAAACACAAACACTCTGAGAAAGTTCTTCATGATGAATGCATTTAACTCGCAGAGATGAACCTGCCTTTGAGAGTTCAGGTTCGAAACACTCTTTCTGTATAATCTGCAAGTGGATATTTGGACCACTGGGTGGCCTTCGTTCGAAACGGGTATATGTTCACGTAAAAACTAAAGAGAAGCATTCTCAGAAACTTCTGAGTGATGATTGCATTCAAGTCACACAGTTGAACCCTCCTTTTGATGGAGCAGTTTTGAAACTGTCTTTTTGTAGAATCTGTAAGTGGATACGTGGACCTCTTTGAAGATTTCTTTGGAAACGGGAATATTTCCACAGAAAAACTAAACTGAAGCATTCTCAGAAACCGCTTTGTGATGTTTGTGTTCGAGCCACAGAGTTTAACATTGCTTTTCATAGAGCAGTTTTGAAATATTCTTTTCGCAGAATCTGCAAGTGGACATTTGGAGCGCTTTCAGGCCTGTGGTGGAAAAGGCCTGAAAGCCTTTTCCTTTATCTTCACAGAAAGACGAGAGAGAAGCATTGTCGGAAACTTCTTTGAGATGATTGCATTCAACTCACAGAGTTGAAGATTCCTTTTGAAACAGCAGTTTCGAAACACTCTTTCTGTGGGATCCGCAAGGGGATATTTGGACCTCTTTGAAGATATCGTTGGAAACGGGATAATCTTCACCTAAAAGCTAAACGGAAGCATTCTCAGAAACTTCTTTGGGATGTTTGCATTCACCTCACAGAGTTGAACTTTCCCTTTGATAGCGCAGCTTTGACACACTTTTTCTACAATGTGCAAGTGGATATTTAGCGGGCTTGGAGGACTGTGTTGGAAAAGGAAATATCTTCTCCTAAAAACGACATAGAAGCATTCTCAGAAACTGCTCTGTGATGATTGCATTCAACTCCCAGAGTTGAACATTCCTTTTGATAGAGCAGTTTGCAAACACTCTTTTTGTAGAATCTGCAAGTGGAGATTTGGACCGCTTTGAGGCCTGGGGTAGTGAAGGAAAGAACTTCATATAAAAACCAGACGGTAGCACTCTCAGAAAATTCTTTGTGACGATGGAGTTTAACTCAGGGAGCTGAACATTCGTTATGATGGAGCAGTTTCCAAACACACGTTTTGTAGAATCTGCAAGGGGATATTTGGACCTCTCTGAGGATTTCGTTGGAAACGGGATCAACTTCCCATAACTGAACGGAAGCAAACTCAGAACATTCTTTGTGATGTTTGTATTCAACTCACAGAGTTGAACCTTCCTTTGATAGTTCAGGTTTGCAACACCCTTGTAGTAGAATCTGCAAGTGTATATTTTGACCACTTTGTAGCCTTCGTTTGAAACGTCTATATCTTCACATCAAACCTAGACAGAAGCATTCTCAGAAAGTTTTCTGCGATGACTGCATTCAACTCACAGAGTTGAACAATCCTTTTGATGGAGCAGTTTTGAAACCCTC
This sequence comes from Homo sapiens, assembly GCF_000001405.40. Lineage (NCBI taxonomy): Eukaryota > Metazoa > Chordata > Mammalia > Primates > Hominidae > Homo > Homo sapiens. Next base: position 62,245,309 of record NC_000023.11, read on the forward strand.
TTTCTTTGGAATCTGCAAGGGGATATGTGGACCTCTTTCAAGATTTCACTGGAAACGGGATCATCTTCACATAAGAACTAAACAGAAGCATTCTCGGAAACTACTTTGTGATGTTTGTATTCAACTCCCAGAGTTGAACTTTCCTTTTGAAAGAGCAGCTATGAAACACTCTTTTTCGAGAATCTGCAAGTGGACGTTTGGAGGGCTTTGAGGCCTGTGGTGGAAAAGGAAATATCTTCACATAAAAACTAGATAGAAGCATTCTCAGAAACGACTTTGTGAGGATGGCATTCAACTCATGGAGTTGAACAATCCTATTGATAGAGCAGATTGGAATCACTCTTTTTGTAGAATCTGCAAATGGAGATTTGCACTGCTTTGAGGCCTACGGTCGTATAGGAAGGAACTTCATATAAAAGGCAAACGGAAGCATTCTCAGAATATTCTTTGTGATGATGGAGTTTCACTCACAGAGCTGAACATGCCTTTTGATGGAGCAGTTTCCAAATACACTTTTGGTAGAATCTGCAGGTGGATATTTGGAGCTCTCTGAGGATTTCGTTGGAAACGGGAATAATTTCCCATAACTAAACACAAACACGCTGAGAAAGTTCTTCATGATGAATGCATTTAACTCGCAGAGATGAACCTGCCTTTGAGAGTTCAGGTTCGAAACACTCTTTCTGTAGAATCTGCAAGTGGATATTTGGACCACTGGGTGGCCTTCGTTCGAAACGGGTATATGTTCACGTAAAAACTAAAGAGAAGCATTCTCAGAAACTTCTGAGTGATGATTGCATTCAAGTCACACAGTTGAACCCTCCTTTTGATGGAGCAGTTTTGAAACTGTCTTTTTGTAGAATCTGTAAGTGGATACGTGGACCTCTTTGAAGATTTCTTTGGAAACGGGAATATTTCCACAGAAAAACTAAACTGAAGCATTCTCAGAAACTGCTTTGTGATGTTTGTGTTCGAGCCACAGAGTTTAACATTGCTTTTCATAGAGCAGTTTTGAAATATTCTTTTCACAGAATCTGCAAGTGGACATTTGGAGCGCTTTCAGGCCTGTGGTGGAAAAGGCCTGAAAGCCTTTTCCTTTATCTTCACAGAAAGACGAGAGAGAAGTATTGTCAGAAACTTCTTTGTGATGATTGCATTCAACTCACAGAGTTGAAGATTCCTTTTGAAACAGCAGTTTCGAAACACTCTTTCTGTGGGATCCGCAAGGGGATATTTGGACCTCTTTGAAGGTTTCGTTGGAAACGGGATAATCTTCACCTAAAAGCTAAACGGAAGCATTCTCAGAAACTTCTTTGGGATGTTTGCATTCACCTCACAGAGTTGAACTTTCCCTTTGATAGCGCAGCTTTGACACACTTTTTCTACAATGTGCAAGTGGCTATTTAGCGGGCTTGGAGGACTGTGTTGGAAAAGGAAATATCTTCTCCTAAAAACGACATAGAAGCATTCTCAGAAACTGCTCTGTGATGATTGCATTCAACTCCCAGAGTTGAACATTCCTTTTGATAGAGCAGTTTGCAAACACTCTTTTTGTAGAATCTGCAAGTGGAGATTTGGACCGCTTTGAGGCCTGTGGTAGTGAAGGAAAGAACTTCATATAAAAACCAGACGGTAGCACTCTCAGAAAATTCTTTGTGACGATGGAGTTTAACTCAGAGAGCTGAACATTCGTTATGATGGAGCAGTTTCCAAACACACGTTTTGCAGAATCTGCAAGGGGATATTTGGACCTCTCTGAGGATTTCGTTGCAAACGGGATCAACTTCCCATAACTGAACGGAAGCAAACTCAGAACATTCTTTGTGATGTTTGTATTCAACTCACAGAGTTGAACCTTCCTTTGATAGTTCAGGTTGGCAACACCCTTGTAGTAGAATCTGCAAGTGTATATTTTGACCACTTTGTAGCCTTCGTTTGAAACGTCTATATCTTCACATCAAACCTAGACAGAAGCGTTCTCAGAAAGTTTTCTGCGATGACTGCATTCAACTCACAGAGTTGAACAATCCTTTTGATGGAGCAGTTTTGAAACCCTCTTTCTTTGGAATCTGCAAGGGGATATGTGGACCTCTTTGAAGATTTCACTGGAAACGGGATCATCTTCTCATAAGAACTAAACAGAAGCATTCTCGGAAACTACTTTGTGATGTTTGTATTCAACTCCCAGAGTTGAACTTTCCTTTTGAAAGAGCAGCTATGAAACACACTATTTCGAGAATCTGCAAGCGAACGTTTGGAGGGCTTTGAGGCCTGTGGTGGAAAAGGAAATATCTTCACATAAAAACTAGATAGAAGCATTCTCAGAAACGACTTTGTGAGGATGGCATTCAACTCATGGAGTTGAACAATCCCATTGAGAGAGCAGATTGGAATCACTCTTTTTGTAGAATCTGCAAATGGAGATTTGGACTGCTTTGGGGCCTACGGTAGTATAGGAAGGAACTTCATATAAAAGGCAAACGGAAGCATTCTCAGAATATTCTTTGTGATGATGGAGTTTCACTCACAGCAGCTGAACATGCCTTTTGATGGAGCAGTTTCCAAATACACTTTTGGTAGAATCTGCAGGTGGATATTTGGACCTCTCTGAGGATTTCGTTGGAAACGGGAATAATTTCCCATAACTAAACACAAACACGCTGAGAAAGTTCTTCATGATGAATGCATTGAACTCGCAGAGATGAACCTGCCTCTGAGAGTTCAGGTTCGAAACACTCTTTCTGTAGAATCTGCAAGTGGATATTTGGACCACTGGGTGGCCTTCGTTCGAAACGGTTATATGTTCACGTAAAAACTAAAGAGAAGCGTTCTCAGAAACTTCTGAGTGATGATTGCATTCAAGTCACACAGTTGAACCCTCCTTTTGATTGAGCAGTTTTGAAACTGTCTTTTTGTAGAATCTGTAAGTGGATGCGTGGACCTCTTTGAAGATTTCTTTGGAAACGGGAATATTTCCACAGAAAAACTAAACTGAAGCATTCTCAGAAACCGCTTTTTGATGTTTGTGTTCGAGCCACAGAGTTTAACATTGCTTTTCATAGAGCAGTTTTGAAATATTCTTTTCGCAGAATCTGCAAGTGGACATTTGGAGCGCTTTCAGGCCTGTGGTGGAAAAGGCCTGAAAGCCTTTTCCTTTATCTTCACAGAAAGACGAGAGAGAAGCATTGTCAGAAACTTCTTTGTGATGATTGCATTCAACTCACAGAGTTGAAGATTCCTTTTGAAACAGCAGTTTCGAAACACTCTTTCTGTGGGATCCGCAAGGGGATATTTGGACCTCTTTGAAGATTTCGTTGGAAACGGGATAATCTTCACCTAAAAGCTAAACGGAAGCATTCTCAGAAACTTCTTTGGGATGTTTGCATTCACCTCACAGAGTTGAACTTTCCCTTTGATAGCGCAGCTTCGACACACTTTTTCTACAATGTGCAAGTGGCTATTTAGCGGGCTTGGAGGACTGTGTTGGAAAAGGAAATATCTTCTCCTAAAAACGACATAGAAGCATTCTCAGAAACTGCTCTGTGATGATTGCATTCAACTCCCAGAGTTGAACATTCCTTTTGATAGAGCAGTTTGCAAACACTCTTTTTGTAGAATCTGCAAGTGGAGATTTGGACCGCTTTGAGGCCTGTGGTAGTGAAGGAAAGAACTTCATATAAAAACCAGACGGTAGCACTCTCAGAAAATTCTTTGTGACGATGGAGTTTAACTCAGGGAGCTGAACATTCGTTATGATGGAGCAGTTTCCAAACACACGTTTTGTAGAATCTGCGAGGGGATATTTGGACCTCTCTGAGGATTTCGTTGGAAACGGGATCAACTTCCCATAACTGAACGGAAGCAAACTCAGAACATTCTTTGTGATGTTTGTATTCAACTCACAGAGTTGAACCTTCCTTTGATAGTTCAGGTTTGCAACACCCTTGTAGTAGAATCTGCAAGTGTATATTTTGACCACTTTGTAGCCTTCGTTTGAAACATGCTATATCTTCACATCAAACCTAGACAGAAGCATTCTCAGAAAGTTTTCTGCGATGACTGCATTCAACTCACAGAGTTGAACAATCCTTCTGATGGAGCAGTTTTGAAACCCTCTTTCTTTGGAATCTGCAAGGGGATATGTGGACCTCTTTGAAGATTTCACTGGAAACGGGATCATCTTCACATAAAAACTAAACAGAAGCATTCTCGGAAACTATTTTGTGATGTTTGTATTCAACTCCCAGAGTTGAACTTTCCTTTTGAAAGAGCAGCTATGAAACACTCTTTTTCGAGAATCTGCAAGTGGACGTTTGGAGGGCTTTGAGGCCTGTGGTGGAAAAGGAAATATCTTCACACAAAAACCAGATAGAAGCATTCTCAGAAACTGCTTTGTGAGGATGGCATTCAACTCATGGAGTTGAACAATCCTATTGATAGAGCAGATTGGAATCACTCTTTTTGTAGAATCTGCAAATGGAGATTTGGACTGCTTTGAGGCCTACAGTAGTACAGGAAGGAACTTCATATAAAAGGCAAACGGAAGCATTCTCAGAATATTCTTTGTGATGATGGAGTTTCACTCACAGAGCTGAACATGCCTTTTGATGGAGCAGTTTCCAAATACACTTTTGGTAGAATCTGCAGGTGGATATTTGGAGCTCTCTGAGGATTTCGTTGGAAACGGGAATAATTTCCCATAACTAAACACAAACACTCTGAGAAAGTTCTTCATGATGAATGCATTTAACTCGCAGAGATGAACCTGCCTTTGAGAGTTCAGGTTCGAAACACTCTTTCTGTAGAATCTGCAAGTGGATATTTGGACCACTGGCTGGCCTTCGTTCGAAACGGGTATATGTACACGTAAAAACTAAAGAGAAGCATTCTCAGAAACTTCTGAGTGATGATTGCATTCAAGTCACACAGTTGAACCCTCCTTTTGATGGAGCAGTTTTGAAACTGTCTTTTTGTAGAATCTGTAAGTGGATACGTGGACCTCTTTGAAGATTTCTTTGGAAACGGGAATATTTCCACAGAAAAACTAAACTGAAGCATTCTCAGAAACTGCTTTGTGATGTTTGTGTTCGAGCCGCAGAGTTTAACATTGCTTTTCATAGAGCAGTTTTGAAATATTCTTTTGGCAGAATCTGCAAGTGGACATTTGGAGCGCTTTCAGGCCTGTGGTGGAAATGGCCTGAAAGCCTTTTCCTTTATCTTCACAGAAAGACGAGAGAGAAGCATTGTCAGAAACTTCTTTTTGATGATTGCATTCAACTCACAGAGTTGAAGATTCCTTTTGAAACAGCAGTTTCGAAACACTCTTTCTGTGGGATCCGCAAGGGGATATTTGGACCTCTTTGAAGGTTTCGTTGGAAACGGGATAATCTTCACCTAAAAGCTAAACGGAAGCATTCTCAGAAACTTCTTTGGGATGTTTGCATTCACCTCACACAGTTGAACTTTCCCTTTGATAGCGCAGCTTTGACACACTTTTTCTACAATGTGCAAGTGGCTATTTAGCGGGCTTGGAGGACTGTGTTGGAAAAGGAAATATCTTCTCCTAAAAACGACATAGAAGCATTCTCAGAAACTGCTCTGTGATGATTGCATTCAACTCCCAGAGTTGAACATTCCTTTTGATAGAGCAGTTTGCAAACACTCTTTTTGTAGAATCTGCAAGTGGAGATTTGGACCGCTTTGAGGCCTGTGGTAGTGAAGGAAAGAGCTTCATATAAAAACCAGACGGTAGCACTCTCAGAAAATTCTTTGTGACGATGGAGTTTAACTCAGAGAGCTGAACATTCGTTATGATGGAGCAGTTTCCAAACACACGTTTTGTAGAATCTGCAAGGGGATATTTGGACCTCTCTGAGGATTTCGTTGGAAACGGGATCAACTTCCCATAACTGAACGGAAGCAAACTCAGAACATTCTTTGTGATGTTTGTATTCAACTCACAGAGTTGAACCATCCTTTGATAGTTCAGGTTTGTAACACCCTTGTAGTAGAATCTGCAAGTGTATATTTTGACCACTTTGTAGCCTTCGTTTGAAACGTCTATATCTTCACATCAAACCTAGACAGAAGCATTCTCAGAAAGTTTTCTGCGATGACTGCATTCAACTCACAGAGTTGAACAATCCTTCTGATGGAGCAGTTTTGAAACCCTCTTTCTTTGGAATCTGCAAGGGGATATGTGGACCTCTTTGAAGATTTCACTGGAAACGGGATCATCTTCACATAAAAACTAAACAGAAGCATTCTCGGAAACTACTTTGTGATGTTTGTATTCAACTCCCAGAGTTGAACTTTCCTTTTGAAAGAGCAGCTATGAAACACTCTTTTTCGAGAATCTGCAAGTGGACGTTTGGAGGGCTTTGAGGCCTGTGGTGGAAAAGGAAATATCTTCACATAAAAACTAGAATAGAAGCATTCTCAGAAACGACTTTGTGAGGATGGCATTCAACTCATGGAGTTGAACAATCCTATTGATAGAGCAGATTGGAATCACTCTTTTTGTAGAATCTGCAAATGGAGATTTGGACTGCTTTGAGGCCTACGGTCGTATAGGAAGGAACTTCATATAAAAGGCAAACGGAAGCATTCTCAGAATATTCTTTGTTATGATGGAGTTTCACTCACAGAGCGGAACATGCCTTTTGATGGAGCAGTTTCCAAATCCACTTTTGGTAGAATCTGCAGGTGGATATTTGGAGCTCTCTGAGGATTTCGTTGGAAACGGGAATAATTTCCCATAACTAAACACAAACACTCTGAGAAAGTTCTTCATGATGAATGCATTTAACTCGCAGAGATGAACCTGCCTTTGAGAGTTCATGTTCGAAACACTCTTTCTGTAGAATCTGCAAGTGGATATTTGGACCACTGGGTGGCCTTCGTTCGAAACGGGTATATGTTCACGTAAAAACTAAAGAGAAGCATTCTCAGAAACTTCTGAGTGATGATTGCATTCAAGTCACACAGTTGAACCCTCCTTTTGATGGAGCAGTTTTGAAACTGTCTTTTTGTAGAATCTGTAAGTGGATACGTGGACCTCTTTGAAGATTTCTTTGGAAACGGGAATATTTCCACAGAAAAACTAAACTGAAGCATTCTCAGAAACCGCTTTGTGATGTTTGTATTCGAGCCACAGAGTTTAACATTGCTTTTCATAGAGCAGTTTTGAAATATTCTTTTGGCAGAATCTGCAAGTGGACATTTGGAGCGCTTTCAGGCCTGTGGTGGAAAAGGCCTGAAAGCCTTTTCCTTTATCTTCACAGAAAGACGAGAGAGAAGCATTGTCAGAAACTTCTTTGTGATGATTGCATTCAACTCACAGAGTTGAAGATTCCTTTTGAAACAGCAGTTTCGAAACACTCTTTCTGTGGGATCCGCAAGGGGATATTTGGACCTCTTTGAAGCTTTCGTTGGAAACGGGATAATCTTCACCTAAAAGCTAAACGGAAGCATTCTCAGAAACTTCTTTGGGATGTTTGCATTCACCTCACAGAGTTGAACTTTCCCTTTGATAGCGCAGCTTTGACACACTTTTTCTACAATGTGCAAGTGGCTATTTAGCGGGCTTGGAGGACTGTGTTGGAAAAGGAAATATCTTCTCCTAAAAACGACATAGAAGCATTCTCAGAAACTGCTCTGTGATGATTGCATTCAACTCCCAGAGTTGAACATTCCTTTTGATAGAGCAGTTTGCAAACACTCTTTTTGTAGAATCTGCAAGTGGAGATTTGGACCGCTTTGAGGCCAGTGGTAGTGAAGGAAAGAACTTCATATAAAAACCAGACGGTAGCACTCTCAGAAAATTCTTTGTGAGGATGGAGTTTAACTCAGGGAGCTGAACATTCGTTATGATGGAGCAGTTTCCAAACACACCTTTTGTAGAATCTGCAAGGGGATATTTGGACCTCTCTGAGGATTTCGTTGGAAACGGGATCAACTTCCCATAACTGAACGGAAGCAAACTCAGAACATTCTTTGTGATGTTTGTATTCAACTCACAGAGTTGAACCTTCCTTTGATAGTTCAGGTTTGCAACACCCTTGTAGTAGAATCTGCAAGTGTATATTTTGACCACTTTGTAGCCTTCGTTTGAAACGTCTATATCTTCACATCAAACCTAGACAGAAGCATTCTCAGAAAGTTTTCTGCGATGACTGCATTCAACTCACAGAGTTGAACAATCCTTCTGATGGAGCAGTTTTGAAACCCTCTTTCTTTGGAATCTGCAAGGGGATATGTGGACCTCTTTGAAGATTTCACTGGAAACGGGATCATCTTCACATAAAAACTAAACAGAAGCATTCTCGGAAACTACTTTGTGATGTTTGTATTCAACTCCCAGAGTTGAACTTTCCTTTTGAAAGAGCAGCTATGAAACACTCTTTTTCGAGAATCTGCAAGTGGACGTTTGGAGGGCTTTGAGGACTGTGGTGGAAAAGGAAATATCTTCACACAAAAACCAGATAGAAGCATTCTCAGAAACTACTTTGTGAGGATGGCATTCAACTCATGGAGTTGAACAATCCTATTGATAGAGCAGATTGGAATCACTCTTTTTATAGAATCTGCAAATGGAGATTTGGACTGCTTTGAGGCTTACGGTAGTACAGGAAGGAACTTCATATAAAAGGCAAACGGAAGCATTCTCAGAATATTCTTTGTGATGATGGAGTTTCACTCACAGAGCTGAACATGCCTTTTGATGGAGCAGTTTCCAAATACACTTTTGGTAGAATCTGCAGGTGGATATTTGGAGCTCTCTGAGGATTTCGTTGGAAACGGGAATAATTTCCCATAACTAAACACAAACACTCTGAGAAAGTTCTTCATGATGAATGCATTTAACTCGCAGAGATGAACCTGCCTTTGAGAGTTCAGGTTCGAAACACTCTTTCTGTAGAATCTGCAAGTGGATATTTGGACCACTGGGTGGCCTTCTTTCGAAACGGGTATATGTTCACGTAAAAACTAAAGAGAAGCATTCTCAGAAACTTCTGAGTGATGATTGCATTCAAGTCACACAGTTGAACCCTCCTTTTGATGGAGCAGTTTTGAAACTGTCTTTTTGTAGTATCTGTAAGTGGATACGTGGACCTCTTTGAAGATTTCTTTGGAAACGGGAATATTTCCACAGAAAAACTAAACTGAAGCATTCTCAGAAACCGCTTTGTGATGTTTGTGTTCGAGCCACAGAGTTTAACATTGCTTTTCATAGAGCAGTTTTGAAATATTCTTTTCGCAGAATCTGCAAGTGGACATTTGGAGCGCTTTCAGGCCTGTGGCGGAAAAGGCCTGAAAGCCTTTTCCTTTATCTTCACAGAAAGACGAGAGAGAAGCATTGTCAGAAACTTCTTTGTGATGATTGCATTCAACTCACAGAGTTGAAGATTCCTTTTGAAACAGCAGTTTCGAAACACTCTTTCTGTGGGATCCGCAAGGGGATATTTGGACCTCTTTGAAGGTTTCGTTGGAAACGGGATAATCTTCACCTAAAAGCTAAACGGAAGCATTCTCAGAAACTTCTTTGGGATGTTTGCATTCACCTCACAGAGTTGAACTTTCCCTTTGATAGCGCAGCTTTGACACACTTTTTCTACAATGTGCAAGTGGCTATTTAGCGGGCTTGGAGGACTGTGTTGGAAAAGGAAATATCTTCTCCTAAAAACGACATAGAAGCATTCTCAGAAACTGCTCTGTGATGATTGCATTCAACTCCCAGAGTTGAACATTCCTTTTGATAGAGCAGTTTGCAAACACTCTTTTTGTAGAATCTGCAAGTGGAGATTTGGACCGCTTTGAGGCCTGTGGTAGTGAAGGAAAGAACTTCATATAAAAACCAGACGGTAGCACTCTCAGAAAATTCTTTGTGACGATGGAGTTTAACTCAGGGAGCTGAACATTCGTTATGATGGAGCAGTTTCCAAACACACGTTTTGTAGAATCTGCAAGGGGATATTTGGACCTCTCTGAGGATTTCGTTGGAAACGGGATCAACTTCCCATAACTGAACGGAAGCAAACTCAGAGCATTCTTTGCGATGTTTGTATTCAACTCACAGAGTTGAACCTTCCTTTGATAGTTCAGGTTTGCAACACCCTTGTAGTAGAATCTGCAAGTGTATATTTTGACCACTTTGTAGCCTTCGTTTGAAACGTCTATATCTTCACATCAAACCTAGACAGAAGCATTCTCAGAAAGTTTTCTGCGATGACTGCATTCAACTCACAGAGTTGAACAATCCTTCTGATGGAGCAGTTTTGAAACCCTCTTTCTTTGGAATCTGCAAGGGGATATGTGGACCTCTTTGAAGATTTCACTGGAAACGGGATCATCTTCACATAAAAACTAAACAGAAGCATTCTCGGAAACTATTTTGTGATGTTTGTATTCAATTCCCAGAGTTGAACTTTCCTTTTGAAAGAGCAGCTATGAAACACTCTTTTTCGAGAATCTGCAAGTGGACGTTTGGAGGGCTTTGAGGCCTGTGGTGGAAAAGGAAATATCTTCACACAAAAACCAGATAGAAGCATTCTCAGAAACGACTTTGTGAGGATGGCATTCAACTCATGGAGTTGAACAATCCTATTGATAGAGCAGATTGGAATCACTCTTTTTGTAGAATCTGCAAATGGAGATTTGGACTGCTTTGAGGCCTACGGTAGTATAGGAAGGAACTTCATATAAAAGGCAAACGGAAGCATTCTCAGAATATTCTTTGTGATGATGGAGTTTCACTGACAGAGCTGAACATGCCTTTTGATGGAGCAGTTTCCAAATACACTTTTGGTAGAATCTGCAGGTGGATATTTGGAGCTCTCTGAGGATTTCGTTGGAAACGGGAATAATTTCCCATAACTAAACACAAACACTCTGAGAAAGTTCTTCATGATGAATGCATTTAACTCGCAGAGATGAACCTGCCTTTGAGAGTTCAGGTTCGAAACACTCTTTCTGTATAATCTGCAAGTGGATATTTGGACCACTGGGTGGCCTTCGTTCGAAACGGGTATATGTTCACGTAAAAACTAAAGAGAAGCATTCTCAGAAACTTCTGAGTGATGATTGCATTCAAGTCACACAGTTGAACCCTCCTTTTGATGGAGCAGTTTTGAAACTGTCTTTTTGTAGAATCTGTAAGTGGATACGTGGACCTCTTTGAAGATTTCTTTGGAAACGGGAATATTTCCACAGAAAAACTAAACTGAAACATTCTCAGAAACCGCTTTGTGATGTTTGTGTTCCAGCCACAGAGTTTAACATTGCTTTTCATAGAGCAGTTTTGAAATATTCTTTTGGCAGAATCTGCAAGTGGACATTTGGAGCGCTTTCAGGCCTGTGGTGGAAAAGGCCTGAAAGCCTTTTCCTTTATCTTCACAGAAAGACGAGAGAGAAGCATTGTCAGAAACTTCTTTGTGATGATTGCATTCAGCTCACAGAGTTGAAGATTCCTTTTGAAACAGCAGTTTCGAAACACTCTTTCTGTGGGATCCGCAAGGGGATATTTGGACCTCTTTGCAGGTTTCGTTGGAAACGGGATAATCTTCACCTAAAAGCTAAACGGAAGCATTCTCAGAAACTTCTTTGGGATGTTTGCATTCACCTCACAGAGTTGAACTTTCCCTTTGATAGCGCAGCTTTGACACACTTTTTCTACAATGTGCAAGTGGCTATTTAGCGGGCTTGGAGGACTGTGTTGGAAAAGGAAATATCTTCTCCTAAAAACGACATAGAAGCATTCTCAGAAACTGCTCTGTGATGATTGCATTCAACTCCCAGAGTTGAACATTCCTTTTGATAGAGCAGTTTGCAAACACTCTTTTTGTAGAATCTGCAAGTGGAGATTTGGACCGCTTTGAGGCCTGTGGTAGTGAAGGAAAGAACTTCATATAAAAACCAGACGGTAGCACTCTCAGAAAATTCTTTGTGACGATGGAGTTTAACTCAGGGAGCTGAACATTCGTTATGATGGAGCAGTTTCCAAACACACGTTTTGTAGAATCTGCAAGGGGATATTTGGACCTCTCTGAGGATTTCGTTGGAAACGGGATCAACTTCCCATAACTGAACGGAAGCAAACTCAGAACATTCTTTGTGATGTTTGTATTCAATTCACAGAGTTGAACCTTCCTTTGATAGTTCAGGTTTGCAACACCCTTGTAGTAGAATCTGCAAGTGTATATTTTGACCACTTTGTAGCCTTCGTTTGAAACGTCTATATCTTCACATCAAACCTAGACAGAAGCATTCTCAGAAAGTTTTCTGCGATGACTGCATTCAACTCACAGAGTTGAACAATCCTTCTGATGGAGCAGTTTTGAAACCCTCTTTCTTTGGAATCTGCAAGGGGATGTGTGGACCTCTTTGAAGATTTCACTGGAAACGGGATCATCTTCACATAAAAACTAAACAGAAGCATTCTCGGAAACTATTTTGTGATGTTTGTATTCAACTCCCAGAGTTGAACTTTCCTTTTGAAAGAGCAGCTATAAAACACTCTTTTTCGAGAATCTGCAAGTGGACGTTTGGAGGGCTTTGAGGCCTGTGGTGGAAAAGGAAATATCTTCACACAAAAACCAGATAGAAGCATTCTCAGAAACGACTTTGTGAGGATGGCATTCAACTCATGGAGTTGAACAATCCTATTGATAGAGCAGATTGGAATCACTCTTTTTGTAGAATCTGCAAATGGAGATTTGGACTGCTTTGAGGCCTACGGTAGTATAGGAAGGAACTTCATATAAAAGGCAAACGGAAGCATTCTCAGAATATTCTTTGTGATGATGGAGTTTCACTCACAGAGCTGAACATGCCTTTTGATGGAGCAGTTTCCAAATACACTTTTGGTAGAATCTGCAGGTGGATATTTGGAGCTCTCTGAGGATTTCGTTGGAAACGGGAATAATTTCCCATAACTAAACACAAACACGCTGAGAAAGTTCTTCATGATGAATGCATTTAACTCGCAGAGATGAACCTGCCTTTGAGAGTTCAGGTTCGAAACACTCTTTCTGTGGAATCTGCAAGTGGATATTTGGACCACTGGCTGGCCTTCATTCCAAACGGGTATATGTTCACGTAAAAACTAAAGAGAAGCGTTCTCAGAAACTTCTGAGTGATGATTGCATTCAAGTCACACAGTTGAACCCTCCTTTTGATTGAGCAGTTTTGAAACTGTCTTTTTGTAGAATCTGTAAGTGGATGCGTGGACCTCTTTGAAGATTTCTTTGGAAACGGGAATATTTCCACAGAAAAACTAAACTGAAGCATTCTCAGAAACTGCTTTGTGATGTTTGTGTTCGAGCCACAGAGTTTAACATTGCTTTTCATAGAGCAGTTTTGAAATATTCTTTTCGCAGAATCTGCAAGTGGACATTTGGAGCGCTTTCAGGCCTGTGGTGGCAAAGGCCTGAAAGCCTTTTCCTTTATCTTCACAGAAAGACGAGAGAGAAGCATTGTCAGAAACTTCTTTGTGATGATTGCATTCAACTCACAGAGTTGAAGATTCCTTTTGAAACAGCAGTTTCGAAACACTCTTTCTGTGGGATCCGCAAGGGGATATTTGGACCTCTTTGAAGGTTTCGTTGGAAACGGGATAATCTTCACCTAAAAGCTAAACGGAAGCATTCTCAGAAACTTCTTTGGGATGTTTGCATTCACCTCACAGAGTTGAACTTTCCCTTTGATAGCGCAGCTTTGACACACTTTTTCTACAATGTGCAAGTGGCTATTTAGCGGGCTTGGAGGACTGTGTTGGAAAAGGAAATATCTTCTCCTAAAAACGACATAGAAGCATCTCAGAAACTGCTCTGTGATGATTGCATTCAACTCCCAGAGTTGAACATTCCTTTTGATAGAGCAGTTTGCAAACACTCTTTTTGTAGAATCTGCAAGTGGAGATTTGGACCGCTTTGAGGCCTGTGGTAGTGAAGGAAAGAACTTCATATAAAAACCAGACGGTAGCACTCTCAGAAAATTCTTTGTGACGATGGAGTTTAACTCAGGGAGCTGAACATTCGTTATGATGGAGCAGTTTCCAAACACACGTTTTGTAGAATCTGCAAGGGGATATTTGGACCTCTCTGAGGATTTCGTTGGAAACGGGATCAACTTCCCATAACTGAACGGAAGCAAACTCAGAACATTCTTTGTGATGTTTGTATTCAACTCACAGAGTTGAACCTTCCTTTGATAGTTCAGGTTTGCAACACCCTTGTAGTAGAATCTGCAAGTGTATATTTTGACCACTTTGTAGCCTTCGTTTGAAACGTCTATATCTTCACATCAAACCTAGACAGAAGCATTCTCAGAAAGTTTTCTGCGATGACTGCATTCAACTCACAGAGTTGAACAATCCTTCTGATGGAGCAGTTTTGAAACCCTCTTTCTTTGGAATCTGCAAGGGGATATGTGGACCTCTTTGAAGATTTCACTGGAAACGGGATCATCTTCACATAAAAACTAAACAGAAGCATTCTCGGAAACTACTTTGTGATGTTTGTATTCAACTCCCAGAGTTGAACTTTCCTTTTGAAAGAGCAGCTATGAAACACTCTTTTTCGAGAATCTGCAAGTGGACGTTTTGAGGGCTTTGAGGCCTGTGGTGGAAAAGGAAATATCTTCACATAAAAACTAGATAGAAGCATTCTCAGAAACTACTTTGTGAGGATGGCATTCAACTCATGGAGTTGAACAATCCTATTGATAGAGCAGATTGGAATCACTCTTTTTGTAGAATCTGCAAATGGAGATTTGGACTGCTTTGAGGCCTACGGTAGTATAGGAAGGAACTTCATATAAAAGGCAAACGGAAGCATTCTCAGAATATTCTTTGTGATGACGGAGTTTCACTCACGGAGCTGAACATGCCTTTTCATGGAGCAGTTTCCAAATACACTTTTGGTAGAATCTGCAGGTGGATATTTGGAGCTCTCTGAGGATTTCGTTGGAAACGGGAATAATTTCCCATAACTAAACACAAACACGCTGAGAAAGTTCTTCATGATGAATGCATTTAACTCGCAGAGATGAACCTGCCTTTGAGAGTTCAGGTTCAAAACACTCTTTCTGTAGAATCTGCAAGTGGATATTTGGACCACTGGCTGGCCTTCATTCGAAACGGGTATATGTTCACGTAAAAACTAAAGAGAAGCGTTCTCAGAAACTTCTGAGTGATGATTGCATTCAAGTCACACAGTTGAACCCTCCTTTTGATTGAGCAGTTTTGAAACTGTCTTTTTGTAGAATCTGTAAGTGGATGCGTGGACCTCTTTGAAGATTTCTTTGGAAACGGGAATATTTCCACAGAAAAACTAAACTGAAACATTCTCAGAAACCGCTTTGTGATGTTTGTGTTCCAGCCACAGAGTTTAACATTGCTTTTCATAGAGCAGTTTTGAAATATTCTTTTCGCAGAATCTGCAAGTGGACATTTGGAGCGCTTTCAGGCCTGTGGTGGAAAAGGCCTGAAAGCCTTTTCCTTTATCTTCACAGAAAGACGAGAGAGAAGCATTGTCAGAAACTTCTTTGTGATGATTGCATTCAACTCACAGAGTTGAAGATTCCTTTTGAAACAGCAGTTTCGAAACACTCTTTCTGTGGGATCCGCAAGGGGATATTTGCACCTCTTTGAAGGTTTCGTTGGAAACGGGATAATCTTCACCTAAAAGCTAAACGGAAGCATTCTCAGAAACTTCTTTAGGATGTTTGCATTCACCTCACAGAGTTGAACTTTCCCTTTGATAGCGCAGCTTTGACACACTTTTTCTACAATGTGCAAGTGGCTATTTAGCGGGCTTGGAGGACTGTGTTGGAAAAGGAAATATCTTCTCCTAAAAACGACATAGAAGCATTCTCAGAAACTGCTCTGTGATGATTGCATTCAACTCCCAGAGTTGAACATTCCTTTTGATAGAGCAGTTTGCAAACACTCTTTTTGTAGAATCTGCAAGTGGAGATTTGGACCGCTTTGAGGCCTGTGGTAGTGAAGGAAAGAACTTCATATAAAAACCAGACGGTAGCACTCTCAGAAAATTCTTTGTGACGATGGAGTTTAACTCAGGGAGCTGAACATTCGTTATGATGGAGCAGTTTCCAAACACACGTTTTGTAGAATCTGCAAGGGGATATTTGGACCTCTCTGAGGATTTCGTTGGAAACGGGATCAACTTCCCATAACTGAACGGAAGCAAACTCAGAACATTCTTTGTGATGTTTGTATTCAACTCACAGAGTTGAACCATCCTTTGATAGTTCAGGTTTGTAACACCCTTGTAGTAGAATCTGCAAGTGTATATTTTGACCACTTTGTAGCCTTCGTTTGAAACGTCTATATCTTCACATCAAACCTAGACAGAAGCATTCTCAGAAAGTTTTCTGCGATGACTGCATTCAACTCACAGAGTTGAACAATCCTTCTGATGGAGCAGTTTTGAAACCCTCTTTCTTTGGAATCTGCAAGGGGATATGTGGACCTCTTTGAAGATTTCACTGGAAACGGGATCATCTTCACATAAAAACTAAACAGAAGCATTCTCGGAAACTACTTTGTGATGTTTGTATTCAACTCCCAGAGTTGAACTTTCCTTTTGAAAGAGCAGCTATGAAACACTCTTTTTCGAGAATCTGAAAGTGGACGTTTGGAGGGCTTTGAGGCCTGTGGTGGAAAAGGAAATATCTTCACATAAAAACTAGATAGAAGCATTCTCAGAAACGACATTGAGGATGGCATTCAACACATGGAGTTGAACAATCCTATTGATAGAGCAGATTGGAATCACTCTTTTTGTAGAATCTGCAAATGGAGATTTGGACTGCTTTGAGGCCTACGGTAGTATAGGAAGGAACTTCATATAAACGGCAAACGGAAGCATTCTCAGAATATTCTTTGTGATGATGGAGTTTCACTCACAGAGCTGAACATGCCTTTTGATGGAGCAGTTTCCAAATACACTTTTGGTAGAATCTGCAGGTGGATATTTGGAGCTCTCTGAGGATTTCGTTGGAAACGGGAATAATTTCCCATAACTAAACACAAACACTCTGAGAAAGTTCTTCATGATGAATGCATTTAACTCGCAGAGATGAACCTGCCTTTGAGAGTTCAGGTTCGAAACACTCTTTCTGTAGAATCTGCAAGTGGATATTTGGACCACTGGGTGGCCTTCGTTCGAAACGGGTATATGTTCACGTAAAAACTAAAGAGAAGCATTCTCAGAAACTTCTGAGTGATGATTGCATTCAAGTCACACAGTTGAACCCTCCTTTTGATGGAGCAGTTTTGAAACTGTCTTTTTGTAGAATCTGTAAGTGGATACGTGGACCTCTTTGAAGATTTCTTTGGAAACGGGAATATTTCCACAGAAAAACTAAACTGAAGCATTCTCAGAAACCGCTTTGTGATGTTTGTGTTCGAGCCACAGAGTTTAACATTGCTTTTCATAGAGCAGTTTTGAAATATTCTTTTCGCAGAATCTGCAAGTGGACATTTGGAGCGCTTTCAGGCCTGTGGTGGAAAAGGCCTGAAAGCCTTTTCCTTTATCTTCACAGAAAGACGAGAGAGAAGCATTGTCAGAAACTTCTTTGTGATGATTGCATTCAACTCACAGAGTTGAAGATTCCTTTTGAAACAGCAGTTTCGAAACACTCTTTCTGTGGGATCCGCAAGGGGATATTTGGACCTCTTTGAAGGTTTCGTTGGAAACGGGATAATCTTCACCTAAAAGCTAAACGGAAGCATTCTCAGAAACTTCTTTGGGATGTTTGCATTCACCTCACAGAGTTGAACTTTCCCTTTGATAGCGCAGCTTTGACACACTTTTTCTACAATGTGCAAGGGGCTATTTAGCGGGCTTGGAGGACTGTGTTGGAAAAGGAAATATCTTCTCCTAAAAACGACATAGAAGCATTCTCAGAAACTGCTCTGTGATGATTGCATTCAACTCCCAGTGTTGAACATTCCTTTTGATAGAGCAGTTTGCAAACACTCTTTTTGTAGAATCTGCAAGTGGAGATTTGGACCGCTTTGAGGCCTGTGGTAGTGAAGGAAAGAACTTCATATAAAAACCAGACGGTAGCACTCTCAGAAAATTCTTTGTGACGATGGAGTTTAACTCAGGGAGCTGAACATTCGTTATGATGGAGCAGTTTCCAAACACACGTTTTGTAGAATCTGCAAGGGGATATTTGGACCTCTCTGAGGATTTCGTTGGAAACGGGATCAACTTCCCATAACTGAACGGAAGCAAACTCAGAACATTCTTTGTGATGTTTGTATTCAACTCACAGAGTTGAACCTTCCTTTGATAGTTCAGGTTTGCAACACCCTTGTAGTAGAATCTGCAAGTGTATATTTTGACCACTTTGTAGCCTTCGTTTGAAACGTCTATATCTTCACATCAAACCTAGACAGAAGCATTCTCAGAAAGTTTTCTGCGATGACTGCATTCAACTCACAGAGTTGAACAATCCTTCTGATGGAGCAGTTTTGAAACCCTCTTTCTTTGGAATCTGCAAGGGGATATGTGGACCTCTTTGAAGATTTCACTGGAAACGGGATCATCTTCACATAAAAACTAAACAGAAGCATTCTCGGAAACTATTTTGTGATGTTTGTATTCAACTCCCAGAGTTGAACTTTCCTTTTGAAAGAGCAGCTATGAAACACTCTTTTTCGAGAATCTGCAAGTGGACGTTTGGAGGGCTTTGAGGCCTGTGGTGGAAAAGGAAATATCTTCACACAAAAACCAGATAGAAGCATTCTCAGAAACGACTTTGTGAGGATGGCATTCAACTCATGGAGTTGAACAATCCTATTGATAGAGCAGATTGGAATCACTCTTTTTGTAGAATCTGCAAATGGAGATTTGGACTGCTTTGAGGCCTACGGTAGTACAGGAAGGAACTTCATATAAAAGGCAAACGGAAGCATTCTCAGAATATTCTTTGTGATGATGGAGTTTCACTCACAGAGCTGAACATGCCTGTTGATGGAGCAGTTTCCAAATACACTTTTGGTAGAATCTGCAGGTGGACATTTGGACCTCTCTGAGGATTTCTTTGGGAAAGGGAATAATTTCCCATAACTAAACACAAACACTCTGAGAAAGTTCTTCATGATGAATGCATTTAACTCGCAGAGATGAACCTGCCTTTGAGAGTTCAGGTTCGAAACACTCTTTCTGTAGAATCTGCAAGTGGATATTTGGACCACTGGCTGGCCTTCGTTCGAAACGGGTATATGTTCACGTAAAAACTAAAGAGAAGCGTTCTCAGAAACTTCTGAGTGATGATTGCATTCAAGTCACACAGTTGAACCCTCCTTTTGATTGAGCAGTTTTGAAACTGTCTTTTTGTAGAATCTGTAAGTGGATGCGTGGACCTCTTTGAAGATTTCTTTGGAAACGGGAATATTTCCACAGAAAAACTTAACCGAAGCATTCTCAGAAACCGCTTTGTGATGTTTGTGTTCGAGCCACAGAGTTTAACATTGCTTTTCATAGAGCAGTTTTGAAATATTCTTTTCGCAGAATCTGCAAGTGGACATTTGGAGCGCTTTCAGGCCTGTGGTGGAAAAGGCCTGAAAGCCTTTTCCTTTATCTTCACAGAAAGACGAGAGAGAAGTATTGTCAGAAACTTCTTTGTGATGATTGCATTCAACTCACAGAGTTGAAGATTCCTTTTGAAACAGCAGTTTCGAAACACTCTTTCTGTGGGATCCGCAAGGGGATATTTGGACCTCTTTGAAGGTTTTGTTGGAAACGGGATAATCTTCACCTAAAAGCTAAACGGAAGCATTCTCAGAAACTTCTTTGGGATGTTTGCATTCACCTCACAGAGTTGAACTTTCCCTTTGATAGCGCAGCTTTGACACACTTTTTCTACAATGTGCAAGTGGCTATTTAGCGGGCTTGGAGGACTGTGTTGGAAAAGGAAATATCTTCTCCTAAAAACGACATAGAAGCATTCTCAGAAACTGCTCTGTGATGATTGCATTCAACTCCCAGAGTTGAACATTCCTTTTGATAGAGCAGTTTGCAAACACTCTTTTTGTAGAATCTGCAAGTGGAGATTTGGACCGCTTTGAGGCCTGTGGTAGTGAAGGAAAGAACTTCATATAAAAACCAGACGGTAGCACTCTCAGAAAATTCTTTGTGACGATGGAGTTTAACTCAGAGAGCTGAACATTCGTTATGATGGAGCAGTTTCCAAACACACGTTTTGCAGAATCTGCAAGGGGATATTTGGACCTCTCTGAGGATTTCGTTGGAAACGGGATCAACTTCCCATAAGTGAACGGAAGCAAACTCAGAACATTCTTTGTGATGTTTGTATTCAACTCACAGAGTTGAACCTTCCTTTGATAGTTCAGGTTTGCAACACCCTTGTAGTAGAATCTGCAAGTGTATATTTTGACCACTTTGTAGCCTTCGTTTGAAACGTCTATATCTTCACATCAAACCTAGACAGAAGCATTCTCAGAAAGTTTTCTGCGATGACTGCATTCTACTCACAGAGTTGAGCAATCCTTTTGATGGAGCAGTTTTGAAACCCACTTTCTTTGGAATCTGCAAGGGCATATGTGGACCTCTTTGAAGATTTCACTGGAAACGGGATCATCTTCACATAAGAACTAAACAGAAGCATTCTCGGAAACTATTTTGTGATGTTTGTATTCAACTCCCAGAGTTGAACTTTCCTTTTGAAAGAGCAGCTATGAAACACTCTTTTTCGAGAATCTGCAAGTGGACGTTTGGAGGGCTTTGAGGCCTGTGGTGGAAAAGGAAATATCTTCACACAAAAACCAGATAGAAGCATTCTCAGAAACTACTTTGTGAGGATGGCATTCAACTCATGGAGTTGAACAATCCTATTGATAGAGCAGATTGGAATCACTCTTTTTGTAGAATCTGCAAATGGAGATTTGGACTGCTTTGAGGCCTACGGTCGTATAGGAAGGAACTTCATATAAAAGGCAAACGGAAGCATTCTCAGAATATTCTTTGTGATGATGGAGTTTCACTCACAGAGCTGAACATGCCTTTTGATGGAGCAGTTTCCAAATACACTTTTGGTAGAATCTGCAGGTGGATATTTGGAGCTCTCTGAGGATTTCGTTGGAAACGGGAATAATTTCCCATAACTAAACACAAACACGCTGAGAAAGTTCTTCATGATGAATGCATTTAACTCGCAGAGATGAACCTGCCTTTGAGAGTTCAGGTTCGAAACACTCTTTCTGTAGAATCTGCAAGTGGATATTTGGACCACTGGCTGGCCTTCATTCGAAACGGGTATATGTTCACGTAAAAACTAAAGAGAAGCATTCTCAGAAACTTCTGAGTGATGATTGCATTCAAGTCACACAGTTGAACCCTCCTTTTGATGGAGCAGTTTTGAAACTGTCCTTTTGTAGAATCTGTAAGTGGATACGTGGACCTCTTTGAAGATTTCTTTGGAAACGGGAATATTTCCACAGAAAAACTAAACTGAAGCATTCTCAGAAACCGCTTTGTGATGTTTGTGTTCGAGCCACAGAGTTTAACATTGCTTTTCATAGAGCAGTTTTGAAATATTCTTTTGGCAGAATCTGCAAGTGGACATTTGGAGCGCTTTCAGGCCTGTGGTGGAAAAGGCCTGAAAGCCTTTTCCTTTATCTTCACAGAAAGACGAGAGAGAAGCATTGTCAGAAACTTCTTTGTGATGATTGCATTCAACTCACAGAGTTGAAGATTCCTTTTGAAACAGCAGTTTCGAAACACTCTTTCTGTGGGATCCGCAAGGGGATATTTGCACCTCTTTGAAGGTTTCGTTGGAAACGGGATAATCTTCACCTAAAAGCTAAACGGAAACATTCTCAGAAACTTCTTTGGGATGTTTGCATTCACCTCACAGAGTTGAACTTTCCCTTTGATAGCGCAGCTTTGACACACTTTTTCTACAATGTGCAAGTGGCTATTTAGCGGGCTTGGAGGACTGTGTTGGAAAACGAAATATCTTCTCCTAAAAACGACATAGAAGCATTCTCAGAAACTGCTCTGTGATGATTGCATTCAACTCCCAGAGTTGAACATTCCTTTTGATAGAGCAGTTTGCAAACACTCTTTTTGTAGAATCTGCAAGTGGAGATTTGGACCGCTTTGAGGCCTGTGGTAGGGAAGGAAAGAACTTCATATAAAAACCAGACGGTAGCACTCTCAGAAAATTCTTTGTGACGATGGAGTTTAACTCAGGGAGCTGAACATTCCTTATGATGGAGCAGTTTCCAAACACACGTTTTGTAGAATCTGCGAGGGGATATTTGGACCTCTCTGAGGATTTCGTTGGAAACGGGATCAACTTCCCATAACTGAACGGAAGCAAACTCAGAACATTCTTTGTGATGTTTGTATTCAACTCACAGAGTTGAACCTTCCTTTGATAGTTCAGGTTTGCAACACCCTTGTAGTAGAATCTGCAAGTGTATATTTTGACCACTTTGTAGCCTTCGTTTGAAACGTCTATATCTTCACATCAAACCTAGACAGAAGCATTCTCAGAAAGTTTTCTGCGATGACTGCATTCAACTCACAGAGTTGAACAATCCTTCTGATGGAGCAGTTTTGAAACCCTCTTTCTTTGGAATCTGCAAGGGGATATGTGGACCTCTTTGAAGATTTCACTGGAAACGGGATCATCTTCACATAAAAACTAAACAGAAGCATTCTCGGAAACTACTTTGTGATGTTTGTATTCAACTCCCAGAGTTGAACTTTCCTTGTGAAAGAGCAGCTATGAAACACTCTTTTTCGAGAATCTGCAAGTGGACGTTTGGAGGGCTTTGAGGCCTGTGGGGAAAAGGAAATATCTTCACATAAAAACTAGATAGAAGCATTCTCAGAAACGACTTTGTGAGGATGGCATTCAACTCATGGAGTTGAACAATCCTATTGATAGAGCAGATTGGAATCACTCTTTTGGTAGAATCTGCAAATGGAGATTTGAACTGCTTTGAGGCCTACGGTCGTATAGGAAGGAACTTCATATAAAAGGCAAACGGAAGCATTCTCAGAATATTCTTTGTGATGATGGAGTTTCACTCACAGAGCTGAACATGCCTTTTGATGGAGCAGTTTCCAAATACACTTTTGGTAGAATCTGCAGGTGGATATTTGGACCTCTCTGAGGATTTCGTTGGAAACGGGAATAATTTCCTATACCTAAACACAAACACTCTGAGAAAGTTCTTCATGATGAATGCATTTAACTCGCAGAGATGAACCTGCCTTTGAGAGTTCAGGTTCGAAACACTCTTTCTGTAGAATCTGCAAGTGGATATTTGGACCACTGGCTGGCCTTCGTTCGAAACGGGTATATGTTCACGTAAAAACTAAAGAGAAGCATTCTCAGAAACTTCTGAGTGATGATTGCATTCAAGTCACACAGTTGAACCCTCCTTTTGATGGAGCAGTTTTGAAACTGTCTTTTTGTAGAATCTGTAAGTGGATACAGTGGACCTCTTTGAAGATTTCTTTGGAAACGGGAATATTTCCACAGAAAAACTAAACTGAAGCATTCTCAGAAACCGCTTTGTGATGTTTGTGTTCGAGCCACAGAGTTTAACATTGCTTTTCATAGAGCAGTTTTGAAATATTCTTTTCGCAGAATCTGCAAGTGGACATTTGGAGCGCTTTCAGGCCTGTGGTGGAAAAGGCCTGAAAGCCTTTTCCTTTATCTTCACAGAAAGACGAGAGAGAAGCATTGTCAGAAACTTCTTTGTGATGATTGCATTCAACTCACAGAGTTGAAGATTCCTTTTGAAACAGCAGTTTCGAAACACTCTTTCTGTGGGATCCGCAAGGTGATATTTGGACCTCTTTGAAGGTTTCATTGGAAACGGGATAATCTTCACCTAAAAGCTAAACGGAAGCATTCTCAGAAACTTCTTTGGGATGTTTGCATTCACCTCACAGAGTTGAACTTTCCCTTTGATAGCGCAGCTTTGACACACTTTTTCTACAATGTGCAAGTGGCTATTTAGCGGGCTTGGAGGACTGTGTTGGAAAAGGAAATATCTTCTCCTAAAAACGACATAGAAGCATTCTCAGAAACTGCTCTGTGATGATTGCATTCAACTCCCAGAGTTGAACATTCCTTTTGATAGAGCAGTTTGCAAACACTCTTTTTGTAGAATCTGCAAGTGGAGATTTGGACCGCTTTGAGGCCTGTGGTAATAAAGGAAAGAACTTCATATAAAAACCAGACGGTAGCACTCTCAGAAAATTCTTTGTGACGATGGAGTTTAACTCAGAGAGCTGAACATTCGTTATGATGGAGCAGTTTCCAAACACACGTTTTGTAGAATCTGCAAGGGGATATTTGGAACTCTCTGAGGATTTCGTTGGAAACGGGATCAACTTCCCATAACTGAACGGAAGCAAACTCAGAACATTCTTTGTGATGTTTGTATTCAATTCACAGAGTTGAACCTTCCTTTGATAGTTCAGGTTTGCAACACCCTTGTAGTAGAATCTGCAAGTGTATATTTTGACCACTTTGTAGCCTTCGTTTGAAACGTCTATATCTTCACATCAAACCTAGACAGAAGCATTCTTAGAAAGTTTTCTGCGATGACTGCATTCAACTCACAGAGTTGAACAATCCTTCTGATGGAGCAGTTTTGAAACCCTCTTTCTTTGGAATCTGCAAGGGAATATGTGGACCTCTTTGAAGATTTCACTGGAAACGGGATCATCTTCACATAAAAACTAAATATAAGCATTCTCGGAAACTACTTTGGGATGTTTGTATTCAACTCCCAGAGTTGAACTTTCCTTTTGGAAGAGCAGCTATGAAACACTCTTTTTCGAGAATCTGCAAGTGGACGTTTGGAGGGCTTTGAGGCCTGTGGTGGAAAAGGAAATATCTTCACATAAAAACTAGATAGAAGCATTCTCAGAAACGACTTTGTGAGGATGGCATTCAACTCATGGAGTTGAACAATCCTATTGATAGAGCAGATTGGAATCACTCTTTTTGTGGAATCTGCAAATGGAGATTTGGACTGCTTTGAGGCCTACGGTCGTATAGGAAGGAACTTCAGATAAAAGGCAAACGGAAGCATTCTCAGAATATTCTTTGTGATGATGGAGTTTCACTCACAGAGCTGAACATGCCTTTTGATGGAGCAGTTTCCAAATACACTTTTGGTAGAATCTGCAGGTGGATATTTGGACCACTCTGAGGATTTCGTTGGAAACGGGAATAATTTCCCATAACTAAGCACAAACACTCTGAGAAAGTTCTTCATGATGAATGCATTTAACTCGCAGAGATGAACCTGCCTTTGAGAGTTCAGGTTCGAAACACTCTTTCTGTAGAATCTGCAAGTGGATATTTGGACCACTGGGTGGCCTTCGTTCGAAACGGGTATATGTTCACGTAAAAACTAAAGAGAAGCATTCTCAGAAACTTCTGAGTGATGATTGCATTCAAGTCACACAGTTGAACCCTCCTTTTGATGGAGCAGTTTTGAAACTGTCTTTTTGTAGAATCTGTAAGTGGATACGTGGACCTCTTTGAAGATTTCTTTGGAAACGGGAATATTTCCACAGAAAAACTAAACTGAAGCATTCTCAGAAACTGCTTTGTGATGTTTGTGTTCGAGCCACAGAGTTTAACATTGCTTTTCATAGAGCAGTTTTGAAATATTCTTTTGGCAGAATCTGCAAGTGGACATTTGGAGCGCTTTCAGGCCTGTGGTGGAAAAGGCCTGAAAGCCTTTTCCTTTATCTTCACAGAAAGACGAGAGAGAAGCATTGTCAGAAACTTCTTTGTGATCATTGCATTCAACTCACAGAGTTGAAGATTCCTTTTGAAACAGCAGTTTCGAAACACTCTTTCTGTGGGATCCGCAAGGGGATATTTGGACCTCTTTGAAGATTTCGTTGGAAACGGGATAATCTTCACCTAAAAGCTAAACGGAAGCATTCTCAGAAACTTCTTTGGGATGTTTGCATTCACCTCACAGAGTTGAACTTTCCCTTTGATAGCGCAGCTTTGACACACTTTTTCTACAATGTGCAAGTGGCTATTTAGCGGGCTTGGAGGACTGTGTTGGAAAAGGAAATATCTTCTCCTAAAAACGACATAGAAGCATTCTCAGAAACTGCTCTGTGATGATTGCATTCAACTCCCAGAGTTGAACATTCCTTTTGATAGAGCAGTTTGCAAACACTCTTTTTGTAGAATCTGCAAGTGGAGATTTGGACCGCTTTGAGGCCTGTGGTAGTGAAGGAAAGAACTTCATATAAAAACCAGACGGTAGCACTCTCAGAAAATTCTTTGTGACGATGGAGTTTAACTCAGGGAGCTGAACATTCGTTATGATGGAGCAGTTTCCAAACACACGTTTTGTAGAATCTGCAAGGGGATATTTGGACCTCTCTGAGGATTTCGTTGGAAACGGGATCAACTTCCCATAACTGAACGGAAGCAAACTCAGAACATTCTTTGTGATGTTTGTATTCAACTCACAGAGTTGAACCTTCCTTTGATAGTTCAGGTTTGCAACACCCTTGTAGTAGAATCTGCAAGTGTATATTTTGACCACTTTGTAGCCTTCGTTTGAAACGTCTATATCTTCACATCAAACCTAGAAAGAAGCATTCTCAGAAAGTTTGCTGTGATGACTGCATTCAACTCACAGAGTTGAACAATCCTTTTGATGGAGCAGTTTTGAAACCATCTTTCTTTGGAATCTGCAAGGGGATATGTGGACCTCTTTGAAGAATTCACTGGAAACGGGATCATCTTCACATAAAAACTAAACAGAAGCATTCTCGGAAACTACTTTGTGATGTTTGTATTCAACTCCCAGAGTTGAACTTTCCTTTTGAAAGAGCAGCTATGAAACACTCTTTTTCGAGAATCTGCAAGTGGACGTTTGGAGGGCTTTGAGGCCTGTGGTGGAAAAGGATATATCTTCACATAAAAACTAGATAGAAGCATTCTCAGAAACTACTTTGTGAGGATGGCATTCAACTCATGGAGTTGAACAATCCTATTGATAGAGCAGATTGGAATCACTCTTTTTGTAGAATCTGCAAATGGAGATTTGGACTGCTTTGAGGCCTACGGTCGTATAGGAAGGAACTTCAGATAAAAGGCAAACGGAAGCATTCTCAGAATATTCTTTGTGATGATGGAGTTTCACTCACAGAGCTGAACATGCCTTTTGATGGAGCAGTTTCCAAATACACTTTTGGTAGAATCTGCAGGTGGATATTTGGACCACTCTGAGGATTTCGTTGGAAACGGGAATAATTTCCCATAACTAAACACAAACACTCTGAGAAAGTTCTTCATGATGAATGCATTTAACTCGCAGAGATGAACCTGCCTTTGAGAGTTCAGGTTCGAAACACTCTTTCTGTAGAATCTGCAAGTGGATATTTGGACCACTGGCTGGCCTTCGTTCGAAACGGGTATATGTTCACGTAAAAACTAAAGAGAAGCATTCTCAGAAACTTCTGAGTGATGATTGCATTCAAGTCACACAGTTGAACCCGCCTTTTGATTGAGCAGTTTTGAAACTGTCTTTTTGTAGAATCTGTAAGTGGATACGTGGACCTCTTGGAAGATGTCTTTGGAAACGGGAATATTTCCACAGAAAAACTAAACTGAAGCATTCTCAGAAACTGCTTTGTGATGTTGGTGTTCGAGCCGCAGAGTTTAACATTGCTTTTCATAGAGCAGTTTTGAAATATTCTTTTGGCAGAATCTGCAAGTGGACATTTAGAGCGTTTTCAGGCCTGTGGTGGAAAAGGCCTGAAAGCCTTTTCCTTTATCTTCACAGAAAGACGAGAGAGAAGCATTGTCAGAAACTTCTTTGTGATGATTGCATTCAACTCACAGAGTTGAAGATTCCTTTTGAAACAGCAGTTTCGAAACACTCTTTCTGTGGGATCCGCAAGGGGATATTTGGACCTCTTTGAAGGTTTCGTTGGAAACGGGATAATCTTCACCTAAAAGCTAAACGGAAGCATTCTCAGAAACTTCTTTGGGATGTTTGCATTCACCTCACAGAGTTGAACTTTCCCTTTGATAGCGCAGCTTTGACACACTTTTTCTACAATGTGCAAGTGGCTATTTAGCGGGCTTGGAGGACTGTGTTGGAAAAGGAAATATCTTCTCCTAAAAACGACATAGAAGCATTCTCAGAAACTGCTCTGTGATGATTGCATTCAACTCCCAGAGTTGAACATTCCTTTTGATAGAGCAGTTTGCAAACACTCTTTTTGTAGAATCTGCAAGTGGAGATTTGGACCGCTTTGAGGCCTGTGGTAGTGAAGGAAAGAACTTCATATAAAAACCAGACGGTAGCACTCTCAGAAAATTCTTTGTGACGATGGAGTTTAACTCAGGGAGCTGAACATTCGTTATGATGGAGCAGTTTCCAAACACACGTTTTGTAGAATCTGCAAGGGGATATTTGGACCTCTCTGAGGATTTCGTTGGAAACGGGATCAACTTCCCATAACTGAACGGAAGCAAACTCAGAACATTCTTTGTGATGTTTGTATTCAACTCACAGAGTTGAACCTTCCTTTGATAGTTCAGGTTTGCAACACCCTTGTAGTAGAATCTGCAAGTGTATATTTTGACCACTTTGTAGCCTTCGTTTGAAACGTCTATATCTTCACATCAAACCTAGACAGAAGCATTCTCAGAAAGTTTTCTGCGATGACTGCATTCAACTCACAGAGTTGAACAATCCTTCTGATGGAGCAGTTTTGAAACCCTCTTTCTTTGGAATCTGCAAGGGGATATGTGGACCTCTTTGAAGATTTCACTGGAAACGGGATCATCTTCACATAAAAACTAAACAGAAGCATTCTCGGAAACTATTTTGTGATGTTTGCATTCAACTCCCAGAGTTGAACTTTCCTTTTGAAAGAGCAGCTATGAAACACTCTTTTTCGAGAATCTGCAAGTGGACGTTTGGAGGGCTTTGAGGCCTGTGGTGGAAAAGGAAATATCTTCACACAAAAACCAGATAGAAGCATTCTCAGAAACTACTTTGTGAGGATGGCATTCAACTCATGGAGTTGAACAATCCTATTGATAGAGCAGATTGGAATCACTCTTTTTGTAGAATCTGCAAATGGAGATTTGGTCTGCTTTGAGGCCTACGGTAGTACAGGAAGGAACTTCATATAAAAGGCAAACGGAAGCATTCTCAGAATATTCTTTGTGATGATGGAGTTTTACTCACAGAGCTGAACATGCCTTTTGATGGAGCAGTTTCCAAATACACTTTTGGTAGAATCTGCAGGTGGATATTTGGAGCTCTCTGAGGATTTCGTTGGAAACGGGAATAATTTCCCATAACTAAACACAAACACTCTGAGAAAGTTCTTCATGATGAATGCATTTAACTCGCAGAGATGAACCTGCCTTTGAGAGTTCAGGTTCGAAACACTCTTTCTGTAGAATCTGCAAGTGGATATTTGGAACACTGGCTGGCCTTCGTTTGAAACGGGTATATGTTCACGTAAAAACTAAAGAGAAGCATTCTCAGAAACTTCTGAGTGATGATTGCATTCAAGTCACACAGTTGAACCCTCCTTTTGATGGAGCAGTTTTGAAACTGTCTTTTTGTAGAATCTGTAAGTGGATACGTGGACCTCTTTGAAGATTTCTTTGGAAACGGGAATATTTCCACAGAAAAACTAAACTGAAGCATTCTCAGAAACTGCTTTGTGATGTTTGTGTTCGAGCCGCAGAGTTTAACATTGCTTTTCATAGAGCAGTTTTGAAATATTCTTTTGGCAGAATCTGCAAGTGGACATTTGGAGCGCTTTCAGGCCTGTGGTGGAAATGGCCTGAAAGCCTTTTCCTTTATCTTCACAGAAAGACGAGAGAGAAGCATTGTCAGAAACTTCTTTGTGATGATTGCATTCAACTCACAGAGTTGAAGATTCCTTTTGAAACAGCAGTTTCGAAACACTCTTTCTGTGGGATCCGCAAGGGGATATTTGGACCTCTTTGAAGGTTTCGTTGGAAACGGGATAATCTTCACCTAAAAGCTAAACGGAAGCATTCTCAGAAACTTCTTTGGGATGTTTGCATTCACCTCACAGAGTTGAACTTTCCCTTTGATAGCGCAGCTTCGACACACTTTTTCTACAATGTGCAAGTGGCTATTTAGCGGGCTTGGAGGACTGTGTTGGAAAAGGAAATATCTTCTCCTAAAAACGACATAGAAGCATTCTCAGAAACTGCTCTGTGATGATTGCATTCAACTCCCAGAGTTGAACATTCCTTTTGATAGAGCAGTTTGCAAACACTCTTTTTGTAGAATCTGCAAGTGGAGATTTGGACCGCTTTGAGGCCTGTGGTAGTGAAGGAAAGAACTTCATATAAAAACCAGACGGTAGCACTCTCAGAAAATTCTTTGTGACGATGGAGTTTAACTCAGGGAGCTGAACATTCGTTATGATGGAGCAGTTTCCAAACACACGTTTTGTAGAATCTGCAAGGGGATATTTGGACCTCTCTGAGGATTTCGTTGGAAACGGGATCAACTTCCCATAACTGAACGGAAGCAAACTCAGAACATTCTTTGTGATGTTTGTATTCAACTCACAGAGTTGAACCTTCCTTTGATAGTTCAGGTTTGCAACACCCTTGTAGTAGAATCTGCAACTGTATATTTTGACCACTTTGTAGCCTTCGTTTGAAACGTCTATATCTTCACATCAAACCTAGACAGAAGCATTCTCAGAAAGTTTTCTGCGATGACTGCATTCAACTCACAGAGCTGAACAATCCTTCTGATGGAGCAGTTTTGAAACCCTCTTTCTTTGGAATCTGCAAGGGGATATGTGGACCTCTTTGAAGATTTCACTGGAAACGGGATCATCTTCACATAAAAACTAAACAGAAGCATTCTCGGAAACTACTTTGTGATGTTTGTATTCAACTCCCAGAGTTGAACTTTCCTTTTGAAAGAGCAGCTATGAAACACTCTTTTTCGAGAATCTGCAAGTGGACGTTTGGAGGGCTTTGAGGCCTGTGGTGGAAAAGGAAATATCTTCACATAAAAACTAGATAGAAGCATTCTCAGAAACTACTTTGTGAGGATGGCATTCAACTCATGGAGTTGAACAATCCTATTGATAGAGCAGATTGGAATCACTCTTTTTGTAGAATCTGCAAATGGAGATTTGGACTGCTTTGAGGCCTACAGTCGTATAGGAAGGAACTTCATATAAAAGGCAAACGGAAGCATTCTCAGAATATTCTTTTTGATGATGGAGTTTCACTCACAGAGCTGAACATGCCTTTTGATGGAGCAGTTTCCAAATACACTTTTGGTAGAATCTGCAGGTGGATATTTGGAGCTCTCTGAGGATTTCGTTGGAAACGGGAATAATTTCCCATAACTAAACACAAACACGCTGAGAAAGTTCTTCATGATGAATGCATTGAACTCGCAGAGATGAACCTGCCTTTGAGAGTTCAGGTTCGAAACACTCTTTCTGTAGAATCTGCAAGTGGATATTTGGACCACTGGGTGGCCTTCTTTCGAAACGGGTATATGTTCACGTAAAAACTAAAGAGAAGCGTTCTCAGAAACTTCTGAGTGATGATTGCATTCAAGTCACACAGTTGAACCCTCCTTTTGATTGAGCAGTTTTGAAACTGTCTTTTTGTAGAATCTGTAAGTGGATGCGTGGACCTCTTTTGAAGATTTCTTTGGAAACGGGAATATTTCCACAGAAAAACTAAACTGAAGCATTCTCAGAAACCGCTTTGTGATGTTTGTGTTCGAGCCACAGAGTTTAACATTGCTTTTCATAGAGCAGTTTTGAAATATTCTTTTCGCAGAATCTGCAAGTGGACATTTGGAGCGCTTTCAGGCCTGTGGTGGAAAAGGCCTGAAAGCCTTTTCCTTTATCTTCACAGAAAGACGAGAGAGAAGCATTGTCAGAAACTTCTTTGTGATGATTGCATTCAACTCACAGAGTTGAAGATTCCTTTTGAAACAGCAGTTTCGAAACACTCTTTCTGTGGGATCCGCAAGGGGATATTTGGACCTCTTTGAAGGTTTCGTTGGAAACGGGATAATCTTCACCTAAAAGCTAAACGGAAGCATTCTCAGAAACTTCTTTGGGATGTTTGCATTCACCTGACAGAGTTGAACTTTCCCTTTGATAGCGCAGCTTTGACACACTTTTTCTACAATGTGCAAGTGGCTATTTAGCGGGCTTGGAGGACTGTGTTGGAAAAGGAAATATCTTCTCCTAAAAACGACATAGAAGCATTCTCAGAAACTGCTCTGTGATGATTGCATTCAACTCCCAGAGTTGAACATTCCTTTTGATAGAGCAGTTTGCAAACACTCTTTTTGTAGAATCTGCAAGTGGAGATTTGGACCGCTTTGAGGCCTGTGGTAGTGAAGGAAAGAACTTCATATAAAAACCAGACGGTAGCACTCTCAGAAAATTCTTTGTGACGATGGAGTTTAACTCAGGGAGCTGAACATTCGTTATGATGGAGCAGTTTCCAAACACACGTTTTGTAGAATCTGCAAGGGGATATTTGGACCTCTCTGAGGATTTCGTTGGAAACGGGATCAACTTCCCATAACTGAACGGAAGCAAACTCAGAACATTCTTTGTGATGTTTGTATTCAACTCAGAGAGTTGAACCTTCCTTTGATAGTTCAGGTTTGCAACACCCTTGTAGTAGAATCTGCAAGTGTATATTTTGACCACTTTGTAGCCTTCGTTTGAAACGTCTATATCTTCACATCAAACCTAGACAGAAGCATTCTCAGAAAGTTTTCTGCGATGACTGCATTCAACTCACAGAGTTGAACAATCCTTTTGATGGAGCAGTTTTGAAACCCTCTTTCTTTGGAATCTGCAAGGGGATATGTGGACCTCTTTGAAGATTTCACTGGAAACGGGATCATCTTCACATAAGAACAAAAGAGAAAGCATTCTCGGAAACTACTTTGTGATGTTTGTATTCAACTCCCAGAGTTGAACTTTCCTTTTGAAAGAGCAGCTATGAAACACTCTTTTTCGAGAATCTGAAAGTGGACGTTTGGAGGGCTTTGAGGCCTGTGGTGGAAAAGGAAATATCTTCACATAAAAACTAGATAGAAGCATTCTCAGAAACGACTTTGTGAGGATGGCATTCAACTCATGGAGTTGAACAATCCTATTGATAGAGCAGATTGGAATCACTCTTTTTGTAGAATCTGCAAATGGAGATTTGGACTGCTTTGAGGCCTACGGTAGTATAGGAAGGAACTTCATATAAAAGGCAAACGGAAGCATTCTCAGAATATCTTTGTGATGATGGAGTTTCACTCACAGAGCTGAACATGCCTTTTGATGGAGCAGTTTCCAAATACACTTTTGGTAGAATCTACAGGTGGATATTTGGACCTCTCTGAGGATTTCATTGGAAAGGGCAATAATTTCCCTTAACTATACACAAACACGCTGAGAAAGTTCTTCATGTTGAATGCATTGAACTCGCAGAGATCAACCTGCCTTTGAGAGTTCAGGTTCGAAACACTCTTTCTGTAGAATCTGCAAGTGGATATTTGGACCACTGGGTGGCCTTCGTTCGAAACGGGTATATGTTCACGTAAAAACTAAACAGAAGCGTGCTCAGAAACTTCTGAGTGATGATTGCATTCAAGTCACACGGTTGAACCCTCCTTTTGATTGAGCAGTTTTGAAACTGTCTTTTTGTAGAATCTGTAAGTGGATACGTGGACCTCTTTGAAGATTTCTTTGGAAACGGGAATATTTCCACAGAAAAACTAAACTGAAGCATTCTCAGAAACCGCTTTGTGATGTTTGTGTTCGAGCCACAGAGTTTAACATTGCTTTTCATAGAGCAGTTTTGAAATATTCTTTTGGCAGAATCTGCAAGTGGACATTTGGAGTGCTTTCAGGCCTGTGGTGGAAAAGGCCTGAAAGCCTTTTCCTTTATCTTCACAGAAAGACGAGAGAGAAGCATTGTCAGAAACTTCTTTGTGATGATTGCATTCAACTCACAGAGTTGAAGATTCCTTTTGAAACAGCAGTTTCGAAACACTCTTTCTGTGGGATCCGCAAGGGGATATTTGGACCTCTTTGAAGGTTTCGTTGGAAACGGGATAATCTTCACCTAAAAGCTAAACGGAAGCATTCTCAGAAACTTCTTTGGGATGTTTGCATTCACCTCACAGAGTTGAACTTTCCCTTTGATAGCGCAGCTTTGACACACTTTTTCTACAATGTGCAAGTGGCTATTTAGCGGGCTAGGAGGACTGTGTTGGAAAAGGAAATATCTTCTCCTAAAAACGACATAGAAGCATTCTCAGAAACTGCTCTGTGATGATTGCATTCAACTCCCAGAGTTGAACATTCCTTTTGATAGAGCAGTTTGCAAACACTCTTTTTGTAGAATCTGCAAGTGGAGATTTGGACCGCTTTGAGGCCTGTGGTAGTGAAGGAAAGAACTTCATATAAAAACCAGACGGTAGCACTCTCAGAAAATTCTTTGTGACGATGGAGTTTAACTCAGGGAGCTGAACATTCGTTATGATGGAGCAGTTTCCAAACACACGTTTTGTAGAATCTGCGAGGGGATATTTGGACCTCTCTGAGGATTTCGTTGGAAACGGGATCAACTTCCCATAACTGAACGGAAGCAAACTCAGAACATTACTTTGTGATGTTTGTATTCAACTCACAGAGTTGAACCTTCCTTTGATAGTTCAGGTTTGCAACACCCTTGTAGTAGAATCTGCAAGTGTATATTTTGACCACTTTGTAGCCTTCGTTTGAAACGTCTATATCTTCACATCAAACCTAGACAGAAGCATTCTCAGAAAGTTTTCTGCGATGACTGCATTCAACTCACAGAGTTGAACAATCCTTCTGATGGAGCAGTTTTGAAACCCTCTTTCTTTGGAATCTGCAAGGGGATATGTGGACCTCTTTGAAGATTTCACTGGAAACGGGATCATCTTCACATAAAAACTAAACAGAAGCATTCTCGGAAACTACTTTGTGATGTTTGTATTCAACTCCCAGAGTTGAACTTTCCTTTGGAAAGAGCAGCTATGAAACACTCTTTTTCGAGAATCTGCAAGTGGACGTTTGGAGGGCTTTGAGGCCTGTGGTGGAAAAGGAAATATCTTCACACAAAAACCAGATAGAAGCATTCTCAGAAACGACTTTGTGAGGATGGCATTCAACTCATGGAGTTGAACAATCCTATTGATAGAGCAGATTGGAATCACTCTTTTTGTAGAATCTGCAAATGGAGATTTGGACTGCTTTGAGGCCTATGGTAGTATAGGAAGGAACTTCATATAAAAGGCAAACGGAAGCATTCTCAGAATATTCTTTGTGATGATGGAGTTTCACTCACAGCAGCTGAACATGCCTTTTGATGGAGCAGTTTCCAAATACACTTTTGGTAGAATCTGCAGGTGGATATTTGGACCTCTCTGAGGATTTCGTTGGAAACGGGAATAATTTCCCATAACTAAACACAAACACTCTGAGAAAGTTCTTCATGATGAATGCATTTAACTCGCAGAGATGAACCTGCCTTTGAGAGTTCAGGTTCGAAACACTCTTTCTGTAGAATCTGCAAGTGGATATTTGGACCACTGGCTGGCCTTCGTTCGAAACGGGTATATGTTCACGTAAAAACTAAAGAGAAGCATTCTCAGAAACTTCTGAGTGATGATTGCATTCAAGTCACACAGTTGAACCCTCCTTTTGATGGAGCAGTTTTGAAACTGTCTTTTTGTAGAATCTGTAAGTGGATACGTGGACCTCTTTGAAGATTTCTTTGGAAACGGGAATATTTCCACAGAAAAACTAAACTGAAACATTCTCAGAAACCGCTTTGTGATGTTTGTGTTCCAGCCACAGAGTTTAACATTGCTTTTCATAGAGCAGTTTTGAAATATTCTTTTCGCAGAATCTGCAAGTGGACATTTGGAGCGCTTTCAGGCCTGTGGTGGAAAAGGCCTGAAAGCCTTTTCCTTTATCTTCACAGAAAGACGAGAGAGAAGCATTGTCAGAAACTTCTTTGTGATGATTGCATTCAACTCACAGAGTTGAAGATTCCTTTTGAAACAGCAGTTTCGAAACACTCTTTCTGTGGGATCCGCAAGGGGATATTTGGACCTCTTTGAAGGTTTCGTTGGAAACGGGATAATCTTCACCTAAAAGCTAAACGGAAGCATTCTCAGAAACTTCTTTGGGATGTTTGCATTCACCTCACAGAGTTGAACTTTCCCTTTGATAGCGCAGCTTTGACACACTTTTTCTACAATGTGCAAGTGGCTATTTAGCGGGCTTGGAGGATTGTGTTGGAAAAGGAAATATCTTCTCCTAAAAACGACATAGAAGCATTCTCAGAAACTGCTCTGTGATGATTGCATTCAACTCCCAGAGTTGAACATTCCTTTTGATAGAGCAGTTTGCAAACACTCTTTTTGTAGAATCTGCAAGTGGAGATTTGGACCGCTTTGAGGCCTGTGGTAGTGAAGGAAAGAACTTCATATAAAAACCAGACGGTAGCACTCTCAGAAAATTCCTTGTGACGATGGAGTTTAACTCAGAGAGCTGAACATTCGTTATGATGGGGCAGTTTCCAAACACACGTTTTGTAGAATCTGCAAGGGGATATTTGGACCTCTCTGAGGATTTCGTTGGAAACGGGATCAACTTCCCATAACTGAACGGAAGCAAACTCAGAACATTCTTTGTGATGTTTGTATTCAACTCACAGAGTTGAACCTTCCTTTGATAGTTCAGGTTTGCATCACCCTTGTAGTAGAATCTGCAAGTGTATATGTTGACCACTATGTAGCCTTCGTTTGAAACGTCTATATCTTCACATCAAACCTAGACAGAAGCATTCTCAGAAAGTTTTCTGCGATGACTGCATTCAACTCACAGAGTTGAACAATCCTTTTGATGGAGCAGTTTTGAAACCCTCTTTCTTTGGAATCTGCAAGGGGATATGTGGACCTCTTTGAAGATTTCACTGGAAACGGGATCATCTTCACATAAGAACTAAACAGAAGCATTCTCAGAAACTACTTTGTGATGTTTGTATTCAGCTCCCAGAGTTGAACTTTCCTTTTGAAAGAGCAGCTATGAAACACCCTTTTTCGAGAATCTGCAAGTGGACGTTTGGAGGGCTTTGAGGCCTGTGGGGGAAAAGGAAATATCTTCACATAAAAACTAGATAGAAGCATTCTCAGAAACTACTTTGTGAGGATGGCATTCAACTCATGGAGTTGAACAGTCCTATTGATAGAGCAGATTGGAATCACTCTTTTTGTAGAATCTGCAAATGGAGATTTGGACTGCTTTGAGGCCTACGGTAGTATAGGAAGGAACTTCATATAAAAGGCAAACGGAAGCATTCTCAGAATATTCTTTGTGATGATGGAGTTTCACTCACAGAGCTGAACATGCCTTTTGATGGAGCAGTTTCCAAATACACTTTTGGTAGAATCTGCAGGTGGATATTTGGAGCTCTCTGAGGATTTCGTTGGAAACGGGAATAATTTCCCATAACTAAACACAAACACGCTGAGAAAGTTCTTCATGATGAATGCATTGAACTCGGAGAGATGAACCTGCCTTTGAGAGTTCAGGTTCGAAACACTCTTTCTGTAGAATCTGCAAGTGGATATTTGGACCACTGTGTGGCCTTCGTTCGAAACGGGTATATGTTCACGTAAAAACTAAAGAGAAGCATTCTCAGAAACTTCTGAGTGATGATTGCATTCAAGTCACACGGTTGAACCCTCCTTTTGATTGAGCAGTTTTGAAACTGTCTTTTTGTAGAATCTGTAAGTGGATACGTGGACCTCTTTTAAGATTTCTTTCGAAACGGGAATATTTCCACAGAAAAACTAAACTGAAGCATTCTCAGAAACTGCTTTGTGATGTTTGTGTTCGAGCCACAGAGTTTAACATTGCTTTTCATAGAGCAGTTTTGAAATATTCTTTTGGCAGAATCTGCAAGTGGACATTTGGAGCGCTTTCAGGCCTGTGGTGGAAAAGGCCTGAAAGCCTTTTCCTTTATCTTCACAGAAAGACGAGAGAGAAGCATTGTCAGAAACTTCTTTGTGATGATTGCATTCAACTCACAGAGTTGAAGATTCCTTTTGAAACAGCAGTTTCGAAACACTCTTTCTGTGGGATCCGCAAGGGGATATTTGGACCTCTTTGAAGATTTCGTTGGAAACGGGATAATCTTCACCTAAAAGCTAAACGGAAGCATTCTCAGAAACTTCTTTGGGATGTTTGCATTCACCTCACAGAGTTGAACTTTCCCTTTGATAGCGCAGCTTTGACACACTTTTTCTACAATGTGCAAGTGGCTATTTAGCGGGCTAGGAGGACTGTGTTGGAAAAGGAAATATCTTCTCCTAAAAACGACATAGAAGCATTCTCAGAAACTGCTCTGTGATGATTGCATTCAACTCCCAGGAGTTGAACATTCCTTTTGATAGAGCAGTTTGCAAACACTCTTTTTGTAGAATCTGCAAGTGGAGATTTGGACCGCTTTGAGGCCTGTGGTAGTGAAGGAAAGAACTTCATATAAAAACCAGACGGTAGCACTCTCAGAAAATTCTTTGTGACGATGGAGTTTAACTCAGGGAGCTGAACATTCGTTATGATGGAGCAGTTTCCAAACACACGTTTTGTAGAATCTGCAAGGGGATATTTGGACCTCTCTGAGGATTTCGTTGGAAACGGGATCAACTTCCCATAACTGAACGGAAGCAAACTCAGAACATTCTTTGTGATGTTTGTATTCAATTCACAGAGTTGAACCTTCCTTTGATAGTTCACGTTTGCAACACCCTTGTAGTAGAATCTGCAAGTGTATATTTTGACCACTTTGTAGCCTTCGTTTGAAACGTCTATATCTTCACATCAAACCTAGACAGAA
Organism: Homo sapiens; assembly: GCF_000001405.40. Classification (NCBI taxonomy): domain Eukaryota; kingdom Metazoa; phylum Chordata; class Mammalia; order Primates; family Hominidae; genus Homo; species Homo sapiens. The sequence goes on from NC_000023.11 coordinate 62,284,312, forward strand.
GCATTCTCAGCAAAGTTTTCTGCGATGACTGCATTCAACTCACAGAGTTGAACAATCCTTCTGATGGAGCAGTTTTGAAACCCTCTTTCTTTGGAATCTGCAAGGGGATATGTGGACCTCTTTGAAGATTTCACTGGAAACGGGATCATCTTCACATAAAAACTAAACAGAAGCATTCTCGGAAACTACTTTGTGATGTTTGTATTCAACTCCCAGAGTTGAACTTTCCTTTTGAAAGAGCAGCTATGAAACACTCTTTTTCGAGAATCTGCAAGTGGACGTTTGGAGGGCTTTGAGGCCTGTGGTGGAAAAGGAAATATCTTCACATAAAAACTAGATAGAAGCATTCTCAGAAACGACTTTGTGAGGATGGCATTCAACTCATGGAGTTGAACAATCCTATTGATAGAGCAGATTGGAATCACTCTTTTTGTAGAATCTGCAAATGGAGATTTGGACTGCTTTGAGGCCTACGGTAGTATAGGAAGGAACTTCATATAAAAGGCAAACGGAAGCATTCTCAGAATATTCTTTGTGATGATGGAGTTTCACTGACAGAGCTGAACATGCCTTTTGATGGAGCAGTTTCCAAATACACTTTTGGTAGAATCTGCAGGTGGATATTTGGAGCTCTCTGAGGATTTCGTTGGAAAAGGGAATAATTTCCCATAACTAAACACAAACACTCTGAGAAAGTTCTTCATGATGAATGCATTTAACTCGCAGAGATGAACCTGCCTTTGAGAGTTCAGGTTCGAAACACTCTTTCTGTAGAATCTGCAAGTGGATATTTGGACCACTGGCTGGCCTTCGTTCGAAACGGGTATATGTTCACGTAAAAACTAAAGAGAAGCATTCTCAGAAACTTCTGAGTGATGATTACATTCAAGTCACACAGTTGAACCCTCCTTTTGATGGAGCAGTTTTGAAACTGTCTTTTTGTAGAATCTGTAAGTGGATACGTGGACCTCTTTGAATATTTCTTTGGAAACGGGAATATTTCCACAGAAAAACTAAACTGAAGCATTCTCAGAAACTGCTTTGTGATGTTTGTGTTCGAGCCGCAGAGTTTAACATTGCTTTTCATAGAGCAGTTTTGAAATATTCTTTTGGCAGAATCTGCAAGTGGACATTTGGAGCGCTTTCAGGCCTGTGGTGGAAAAGGCCTGAAAGCCTTTTCCTTTATCTTCACAGAAAGACGAGAGAGAAGCATTGTCAGAAACTTCTTTGTGATGATTGCATTCAACTCACAGAGTTGAAGATTCCTTTTGAAACAGCAGTTTCGAAACACTCTTTCTGTGGGATCCGCAAGGGGATATTTGGACTTCTTTGAAGGTTTCGTTGGAAACGGGATAATCTTCACCTAAAAGCTAAACGGAAGCATTCTCAGAAACTTCTTTGGGATGTTTGCATTCACCTCACAGAGTTGAACTTTCCCTTTGATAGCGCAGCTTCGACACACTTTTTCTACAATGTGCAAGTGGCTATTTAGCGGGCTTGGAGGACTGTGTTGGAAAAGGAAATATCTTCTCCTAAAAACGACATAGAAGCATTCTCAGAAACTGCTCTGTGATGATTGCATTCAACTCCCAGAGTTGAACATTCCTTTTGATAGAGCAGTTTGCAAACACTCTTTTTGTAGAATCTGCAAGTGGAGATTTGGACCGCTTTGAGGCCTGTGGTAGTGAAGGAAAGAACTTCATATAAAAACCAGACGGTAGCACTCTCAGAAAATTCTTTGTGACGATGGAGTTTAACTCAGGGAGCTGAACATTCGTTATGATGGAGCAGTTTCCAAACACACGTTTTGTAGAATCTGCAAGGGGATATTTGGACCTCTCTGAGGATTTCGTTGGAAACGGGATCAACTTCCCATAACTGAACGGAAGCAAACTCAGAACATTCTTTGTGATGTTTGTATTCAACTCACAGAGTTGAACCTTCCTTTGATAGTTCAGGTTTGCAACACCCTTGTAGTAGAATCTGCAAGTGTATATTTTGACCACTTTGTAGCCTTCGTTTGAAACGTCTATATCTTCACATCAAACCTGGACAGAAGCATTCTCAGAAAGTTTTCTGCGATGACTGCATTCAACTCACAGAGTTGAACAATCCTTTTGATGGAGCAGTTTTGAAACCCTCTTTCTTTGGAATCTGCAAGGGGATATGTGGACCTCTTTGAAGATTTCACTGGAAACGGGATCATCTTCACATAAGAACTAAACAGAAGCATTCTCGGAAACTACTTTGTGATGTTTGTATTCAACTCCCAGAGTTGAACTTTCCTTTTGAAAGAGCAGCTATGAAACACTCTTTTTCGAGAATCTGCAAGTGGACGTTTGGAGGGCTTTGAGGCCTGTGGTGGAAAAGGAAATATCTTCACATAAAAACTAGATAGAAGCATTCTCAGAAACGACTTTGTGAGGATGGCATTCAACTCATGGAGTTGAACAATCCTATTGATAGAGCAGATTGGAATCACTCTTTTTGTAGAATCTGCAAATGGAGATTTGGACTGCTTTGAGGCCTAAGGTCGTATAGGAAGGAACTTCATATAAAAGGCAAACGGAAGCATTCTCAGAATATTCTTTGTGATGATGGAGTTTCACTCACAGAGCTGAACATGCCTCTTGATGGAGCAGTTTCCAAATACACTTTTGGTAGAATCTGCAGGTGGATATTTGGAGCTCTCTGAGGATTTCGTTGGAAACGGGAATAATTTCCCATAACTAAACACAAACACGCTGAGAACGTTCTTCATGATGAATGCATTGAACTCGCAGAGATGAACCTGCCTTTGAGAGTTCAGGTTCGAAACACTCTTTCTGTAGAATCTGCAAGTGGATATTTGGACCACTGGCTGGCCTTCGTTCGAAACGGGTATATGTTCACGTAAAAACTAAAGAGAAGCGTTCTCATAAACTTCTGAGTGATGATTGCATTCAAGTCACACAGTTGAACCCTCCTTTTGATTGAGCAGTTTTGAAACTGTCTTTTTGTAGAATCTGTAAGTGGATGCGTGGACCTCTTTGAAGATTTCTTTGGAAACGGGAATATTTCCACAGAAAAACTAAACTGAAAGCATTCTCAGAAACTGCTTTGTGATGTTTGTGTTCGAGCCGCAGAGTTTAACATTGCTTTTCATAGAGCAGTTTTGAAATATTCTTTTGGCAGAATCTGCAAGTGGACATTTGGAGCGCTTTCAGGCCTGTGGTGGAAAAGGCCTGAAAGCCTTTTCCTTTATCTTCACAGAAAGACGAGAGAGAGCATTGTCAGAAACTTCTTTGTGATGATTGCATTCAACTCACAGAGTTGAAGATTCCTTTTGAAACAGCAGTTTCGAAACACTCTTTCTGTGGGATCCGCAAGGGGATATTTGGACCTCTTTGAAGGTTTCGTTGGAAACGGGATAATCTTCACCTAAAAGCTAAACGGAAGCACTCTCAGAAACTTCTTTGGGATGTTTGCATTCACCTCTCAGAGTTGAACTTTCCCTTTGATAGCGCAGCTTTGACACACTTTTTCTACAATGTGCAAGTGGCTATTTAGCGGGCTTGGAGGACTGTGTTGGAAAAGGAAATATCTTCTCCTAAAAACGACATAGAAGCATTCTCAGAAACTGCTCTGTGATGATTGCATTCAACTCCCAGAGTTGAACATTCCTTTTGATAGAGCAGTTTGCAAACACTCTTTTTGTAGAATCTGCAAGTGGAGATTTGGACCGCTTTGAGGCCTGTGGTAGTAAAGGAAAGAACTTCATATAAAAACTAGACGGTAGCACTCTCAGAAAATTCTTTGTGACGATGGAGTTTAACTCAGAGAGCTGAATATTCGTTATGATGGAGCAGTTTCCAAACACACGTTTTGTAGAATCTGCAAGGGGATATTTGGACCTCTCTGAGGATTTCGTTGGAAACGGGATCAACTTCCCATAACTGAACGGAAGCAAACTCAGAACATTCTTTGTGATGTTTGTATTCAACTCACAGAGTTGAACCTTCCTTTGATAGTTCAGGTTTGCAACACCCTTGTAGTAGAATCTGCAAGTTTATATTTTGACCACTTTGTAGCCTTCGTTTGAAACGTCTATATCTTCACATCAAACCCAGACAGAAGCATTCTCAGAAAGTTTTCTGCGATGACTGCATTCAACTCACAGAGTTGAACAATCCTTTTGATGGAGCAGTTTTGAAACCCTCTTTCTTTGGAATCTGCAAGGGGATATGTGGACCTCTTTGAAGATTTCACTGGAAACGGGATCATCTTCACATAAGAACTAAACAGAAGCATTCTCGGAAACTACTTTGTGATGTTTGTATTCACCTCCCAGAGTTGAACTTTCCTTTTGAAAGAGCAGCTATGAAACACTCTTTTTCGAGAATCTGCAAGTGGACGTTTGGAGGGCTTTGAGGCCTGTGGTGGAAAAGGAAATATCTTCACATAAAAACTAGATAGAAGCATTCTCACAAACGACTTTGTGAGGATGGCATTCAACTCATGGAGTTGAACAATCCTATTGATAGAGCAGATTGGAATCACTCTTTTTGTAGAATCTGCAAATGGAGATTTGGACTGCTTTGAGGCCTACGGTAGTATAGGAAGGAACTTCATATAAAAGGCAAACGGAAGCATTCTCAGAATATTCTTTGTGATGATGGAGTTTCACTCACAGAGCTGAACATGCCTTTTGATGGAGCAGTTTCCAAATACACTTTTGGTAGAATCTGCAGGTGGATATTTGGAGCTCTCTGAGGATTTCGTTGGAAACGGGAATAATTTCCCATAACTAAACACAAACACGCTGAGAAAGTTCTTCATGATGAATGCATTTAACTCACAGAGATGAACCTGCCTTTGAGAGTTCAGGTTCGAAACACTCTTTCTGTAGAATCTGCAAGTGGATATTTGGACCACTGGCTGGCCTTCGTTCGAAACGGGTATATGTTCACGTAAAAACTAAAGAGAAGCGTTCTCAGAAACTTCTGAGTGATGATTGCATTCAAGTCACACAGTTGAACCCTCCTTTTGATTGAGCAGTTTTGAAACTGTCTTTTTGTAGAATCTGTAAGTGGATGCGTGGACCTCTTTGAAGATTTCTTTGGAAACGGGAATATTTCCACAGAAAAACTAAACTGAAGCATTCTCAGAAACTGCTTTGTGATGTTTGTGTTCGAGCCACAGAGTTTAACATTGCTTTTCATAGAGCAGTTTTGAAATATTCTTTTGGCAGAATCTGCAAGTGGACATTTGGAGCGCTTTCAGGCCTGTGGTGGAAAAGGCCTGAAAGCCTTTTCCTTTATTTTCACAGAAAGACGAGAGAGAAGCATTGTCAGAAACTTCTTTGTGATGATTGCATTCAACTCACAGAGTTGAAGATTCCTTTTGAAACAGCAGTTTCGAAACACTCTTTCTGTGGGATCCGCAAGGGGATATTTGGACCTCTTTGAAGATTTCGTTGGAAACGGGATAATCTTCACTTAAAGCTAAACGGAAGCATTCTCAGAAACTTCTTTGGGATGTTTGCATTCACCTCACAGAGTTGAACTTTCCCTTTGATAGCGCAGCTTCGACACACTTTTTCTACAATGTGCAAGTGGCTATTTAGCGGGCTTGGAGGACTGTGTTGGAAAAGGAAATATCTTCTCCTAAAAACGACATAGAAGCATTCTCAGAAACTGCTCTGTGATGATTGCATTCAACTCCCAGAGTTGAACATTCCTTTTGATAGAGCAGTTTGCAAACACTCTTTTTGTAGAATCTGCAAGTGGAGATTTGGACCGCTTTGAGGCCTGTGGTAGTAAAGGAAAGAACTTCATATAAAAACCAGACGGTAGCACTCTCAGAAAATTCTTTGTGACGATGGAGTTTAACTCAGGGAGCTGAACATTCGTTATGATGGAGCAGTTTCCAAACACACGTTTTGTAGAATCTGCAAGGGGATATTTGGACCTCTCTGAGGATTTCGTTGGAAACGGGATCAACTTCCCATAACTGAACGGAAGCAAACTCAGAACATTCTTTGTGATGTTTGTATTCAATTCACAGAGTTGAACCTTCCTTTGATAGTTCAGGTTTGCAACACCCTTGTAGTAGAATCTGCAAGTGTATATTTTGACCACTTTGTAGCCTTCGTTTGAAACGTCTATATCTTCACATCAAACCTAGACAGAAGCATTCTCAGAAAGTTTTCTGCGATGACTGCATTCAACTCACAGAGTTGAACAATCCTTCTGATGGAGCAGTTTTGAAACCCTCTTTCTTTGGAATCTGCAAGGGGATATGTGGACCTCTTTGAAGATTTCACTGGAAACGGGATCATCTTCACATAAAAACTAAACAGAAGCATTCTCGGAAACTACTTTGTGATGTTTGTATTCAACTCCCAGAGTTGAACTTTCCTTTTGAAAGAGCAGCTATGAAACACTGTTTTTCGAGAATCTGCAGGTGGACGTTTGGAGGGCTTTGAGGCCTGTGGTGGAAAAGGAAATATCTTCACATAAAAACTAGATAGAAGCATTCTCAGAAACTACTTTGTGAGGATGGCATTCAACTCATGGAGTTGAACAATCCTATTGATAGAGCAGATTGGAATCACTCTTTTTGTAGAATCTGCAAATGGAGATTTGGACTGCTTTGAGGCCTACGGTAGTATAGGAAGGAACTTCATATAAAAGGCAAACGGAAGCATTCTCAGAATATTCTTTGTGATCATGGAGTTTCACTCACAGAGCTGAACATGCCTTTTGATGGAGCAGTTTCCAAATACACTTTTGGTAGAATCTGCAGGTGGATATTTGGAGCTCTCTGAGGATTTAGTTGGAAAAGGGAATAATTTCCCATAACTAAACACAAACACGCTGAGAAAGTTCTTCATGATGAATGCATTTAACTCGCAGAGATGAACCTGCCTTTGAGAGTTCAGGTTCGAAACACTCTTTCTGTAGAATCTGCAAGTGGATATTTGGACCACTGGCTGGCCTTCGTTCGAAACGGGTATATGTTCACGTAAAAACTAAAGAGAAGCGTTCACAGAAACTTCTGAGTGATGATTGCATTCAAGTCACACAGTTGAACCCTCGTTTTGATTGAGCAGTTTTGAAACTGTCTTTTTGTAGAATCTGTAAGTGGATGCGTGGACCTCTTTGAAGATTTCTTTGGAAACGGGAATATTTCCACAGAAAAACTAAACTGAAACATTCTCAGAAACCGCTTTGTGATGTTTGTGTTCCAGCCACAGAGTTTAACATTGCTTTTCATAGAGCAGTTTTGAAATATTCTTTTGGCAGAATCTGCAAGTGGACATTTGGAGCGCTTTCAGGCCTGTGGTGGAAAAGGCCTGAAAGCCTTTTCCTTTATCTTCACAGAAAGACGAGAGAGAAGCATTGTCAGAAACTTCTTTTTGATGATTGCATTCAACTCACAGAGTTGAAGATTCCTTTTGAAACAGCAGTTTCGAAACACTCTTTCTGTGGGATCCGCAAGGGGATATTTGGACCTCTTTGAAGGTTTCGTTGGAAACGGGATAATCTTCACCTAAAAGCTAAACGGAAGCATTCTCAGAAACTTCTTTGGGATGTTTGCATTCACCTCACAGAGTTGAACTTTCCCTTTGATAGCGCAGCTTTGACACACTGTTTCTACAATGTGCAAGTGGCTATTTAGCGGGCTTGGAGGACTGTGTTGGAAAAGGAAATATCTTCTCCTAAAAACGACATAGAAGCATTCTCAGAAACTGCTCTGTGATGATTGCATTCAACTCCCAGAGTTGAACATTCCTTTTGATAGAGCAGTTTGCAAACACTCTTTTTGTAGAATCTGCAAGTGGAGATTTGGACCGCTTTGAGGTCTGTGGTAGTGAAGGAAAGAACTTCATATAAAAACCACACGGTAGCACTCTCAGAAAATTCTTTGTGACGATGGAGTTTAACTCAGAGAGCTGAACATTCGTTATGATGGAGCAGTTTCCAAACACACGTTTTGTAGAATCTGCAAGGGGATATTTGGACCTCTCTGAGGATTTCGTTGGAAACGGGATCAACTTCCCATAACTGAACGGAAGCAAACTCAGAACATTCTTTGTGATGTTTGTATTCAACTCACAGAGTTGAACCTTCCTTTGATAGTTCAGGTTTGCAACACCCTTGTAGTAGAATCTGCAAGTGTATATTTTGACCACTTTGTAGCCTTCGTTTGAAACGTCTATATCTTCACATCAAACCTAGACAGAAGCATTCTCAGAAAGTTTTCTGCGATGACTGCATTCAACTCACAGAGTTGAACAATCCTTCTGATGGAGCAGTTTTGAAACCCTCTTTCTTTGGAATCTGCAAGGGGATATGTGGACCTCTTTGAAGATTTCACTGGAAACGGGATCATCTTCACATAAAAACTAAACAGAAGCATTCTCGGAAACTACTTTGTGATGTTTGTATTCAACTCCCAGAGTTGAACTTTCCTTTTGAAAGAGCAGCTATGAAACACTCTTTTTCGAAAATCTGCAAGTGGACGTTTGGAGGGCTTTGAGGCCTGTGGTGGAAAAGGAAATATCTTCACATAAAAACTAGATAGAAGCATTCTCAGAAACTACTTTGTGAGGATGGCATTCAACTCATGGAGTTGAACAATCCTATTGATAGAGCAGATTGGAATCACTCTTTTTGTAGAATCTGCAAATGGAGATTTGGACTGCTTTGAGGCCTACGGTAGTATAGGAAGGAACTTCATATAAAAGGCAAACGGAAGCATTCTCAGAATATTCTTTGTGATGATGGAGTTTCACTCACAGAGCTTAACATGCCTTTTGTTGGAGCAGTTTCCAAATACACTTTTGGTAGAATCTGCAGGTGGATATTTGGAGCTCTCTGAGGATTTCGTTGGAAACGGGAATAATTTCCCATAACTAAACACAAACACTCTGAGAAAGTTCTTCATGATGAATGCATTTAACTCGCAGAGATGAACCTGCCTTTGAGAGTTCAGGTTCGAAACACTCTTTCTGTAGAATCTGCAAGTGGATATTTGGACCACTGGGTGGCCTTCGTTCGAAACGGGTATATGTTCACGTAAAAACTAAAGAGAAGCATTCTCAGAAACTTCTGAGTGATGATTGCATTCAAGTCACACAGTTGAACCCTCCTTTTGATGGAGCAGTTTTGAAACTGTCTTTTTGTAGAATCTGTAAGTGGATACGTGGACCTCTTTGAAGATTTCTTTGGAAACGGGAATATTTCCACAGAAAAACTAAACTGAAACATTCTCAGAAACCGCTTTGTGATGTTTGTGTTCCAGCCACAGAGTTTAACATTGCTTTTCATAGAGCAGTTTTGAAATATTCTTTTGGCAGAATCTGCAAGTGGACATTTGGAGCGCTTTCAGGCCTGTGGTGGAAAAGGCCTGAAAGCCTTTTCCTTTATCTTCACAGAAAGACGAGAGAGAAGCATTGTCAGAAACTTCTTTGTGATGATTGCATTCAACTCACAGAGTTGAAGATTCCTTTTGAAACAGCAGTTTCGAAACACTCTTTCTGTGGGATCCGCAAGGGGATATTTGGACCTCTTTGAAGGTTTCGTTGGAAACGGGATAATCTTCACCTAAAAGCTAAACGGAAGCATTCTCAGAAACTTCTTTGGGATGTTTGCATTCACCTCACAGAGTTGAACTTTCCCTTTGATAGCGCAGCTTTGACACACTTTTTCTACAATGTGCAAGTGGCTATTTAGCGGGCTTGGAGGATTGTGTTGGAAAAGGAAATATCTTCTCCTAAAAACGACATAGAAGCATTCTCAGAAACTGCTCTGTGATGATTGCATTCAACTCCCAGAGTTGAACATTCCTTTTGATAGAGCAGTTTGCAAACACTCTTTTTGTACAATCTGCAAGTGGAGATTTGGACCGCTTTGAGGCCTGTGGTAGTGAAGGAAAGAACTTCATATAAAAACCAGACGGTAGCACTCTCAGAAAATTCTTTGTGACGATGGAGTTTAACTCAGGGAGCTGAACATTCGTTATGATGGAGCAGTTTCCAAACACACGTTTTGTAGAATCTGCAAGGGGATATTTGGACCTCTCTGAGGATTTCGTTGGAAACGGGATCAACTTCCCATAACTGAACGGAAGCAAACTCAGAACATTCTTTGTGATGTTTGTATTCAACTCACAGAGTTGAACCTTCCTTTGATAGTTCAGGTTTGCAACACCCTTGTAGTAGAATCTGCAAGTGTATATTTTGACCACTTTGTAGCCTTCGTTTGAAACGTCTATATCTTCACATCAAACCTAGACAGAAGCATTCTCAGAAAGTTTTCTGCGATGACTGCATTCAACTCACAGAGTTGAACAATCCTTCTGATGGAGCAGTTTTGAAACCCTCTTTCTTTGGAATCTGCAAGGGGATATGTGGACCTCTTTGAAGATTTCACTGGAAACGGGATCATCTTCACATAAAAACTAAACAGAAGCATTCTCGGAAACTACTTTGTGATGTTTGTATTCAACTTCCAGAGTTGAACTTTCCTTTTGAAAGAGCAGCTATGAAACACTCTTTTTCGAGAATCTGCAAGTGGACGTTTGGAGGGCTTTGAGGCCTGTGGTGGAAAAGGAAATATCTTCACATAAAAACTAGATAGAAGCATTCTCAGAAACTACTTTGTGAGGATGGCATTCAACTCATGGAGTTGAACAATCCTATTGATAGAGCAGATTGGAATCACTCTTTTTGTAGAATCTGCAAATGGAGATTTGGACTGCTTTGAGGCCTACGGTCGTATAGGAAGGAACTTCATATAAAAGGCAAACGGAAGCATTCTCAGAATATTCTTTGTGATGATGGAGTTTCACTCACAGAGCTGAACGTGCCTTTTGATGGAGCAGTTTCCAAATACACTTTTGGTAGAATCTGCAGGTGGATATTTGGAGCTCTCTGAGGATTTCGTTGGAAACGGGAATAATTTCCCATAACTAAACACAAACACTCTGAGAAAGTTCTTCATGATGAATGCATTTAACTCGCAGAGATGAACCTGCCTTTGAGAGTTCAGGTTCGAAACACTCTTTCTGTAGAATCTGCAAGTGGATATTTGGACCACTGGGTGGCCTTCGTTCGAAACGGGTATATGTTCACGTAAAAACTAAAGAGAAGCATTCTCAGAAACTTCTGAGTGATGATTGCATTCAAGTCACACAGTTGAACCCTCCTATTGATGGAGCAGTTTTGAAACTGTCTTTTTGTAGAATCTGTAAGTGGATACGTGGACCTCTTTGAAGATTTCTTTGGAAACGGGAATATTTCCACAGAAAAACTAAACTGAAGCATTCTCAGAAACCGCTTTGTGATGTTTGTGTTCGAGCCGCAGAGTTTAACATTGCTTTTCATAGAGCAGTTTTGAAATATTCTTTTCGCAGAATCTGCAAGTGGACATTTGGAGCGCTTTCAGGCCTGTGGTGGCAAAGGCCTGAAAGCCTTTTCCTTTATCTTCACAGAAAGACGAGAGAGAAGCATTGTCAGAAACTTCTTTGTGATGATTGCATTCAACTCACAGAGTTGAAGATTCCTTTTGAAACAGCAGTTTCGGAACACTCTTTCTGTGGGATCCGCAAGGGGATATTTGGACCTCTTTGAAGGTTTCGTTGGAAACGGGATAATCTTCACCTAAAAGCTAAACGGAAGCATTCTCAGAAACTTCTTTGGGATGTTTGCATTCACCTCACAGAGTTGAACTTTCCCTTTGATAGCGCAGCTTTGACACACTTTTTCTACAATGTGCAAGTGGCTATTTAGCGGGCTTGGAGGACTGTGTTGGAAAAGGAAATATCTTCTCCTAAAAACGACATAGAAGCATTCTCAGAAACTGCTCTGTGATGATTGCATTCAACTCCCAGAGTTGAACATTCCTTTTGATAGAGCAGTTTGCAAACACTCTTTTTGTAGAATCTGCAAGTGGAGATTTGGACCGCTTTGAGGCCTGTGGTAGTGAAGGAAAGAACTTCATATAAAAACCAGACGGTAGCACTCTCAGAAAATTCTTTGTGACGATGGAGTTTAACTCAGGGAGCTGAACATTCGTTATGATGGAGCAGTTTCCAAACACACGTTTTGTAGAATCTGCGAGGGGATATTTGGACCTCTCTGAGGATTTCGTTGGAAAAGGGATCAACTTCCCATAACTGAACGGAAGCAAACTCAGAACATTCTTTGTGATGTTTGTATTCAACTCACAGAGTTGAACCTTCCTTTGATAGTTCAGGTTTGCAACACCCTTGTAGTAGAATCTGCAAGTGTATATTTTGACCACTTTGTAGCCTTCGTTTGAAACGTCTATATCTTCACATCAAACCTAGACAGAAGCATTCTCAGAAAGTTTTCTGCGATGACTGCATTCAACTCACAGAGTTGAACAATCCTTCTGATGGAGCAGTTTTGAAACCCTCTTTCTTTGGAATCTGCAAGGGGATATGTGGACCTCTTTGAAGATTTCACTGGAAACGGGATCATCTTCACATAAAAACTAAACAGAAGCATTCTCGGAAACTACTTTGTGATGTTTGTATTCAACTCCCAGAGTTGAACTTTCCTTTTGAAACAGCGGCTATGAAACACTCTTTTTCGAGAATCTGCAAGTGGACGTTTGGAGGGCTTTGAGGCCTGTGGTGGAAAAGGAAATATCTTCACATAAAAACTAGATAGAAGCATTCTCAGAAACGACTTTGTGAGGATGGCATTCAACTCATGGAGTTGAACAATCCTATTGATAGAGCAGATTGGAATCACTCTTTTGGTAGAATCTGCAAATGGAGATTTGGACTGCTTTGAGGCCTACGGTAGTATAGGAAGGAACTTCATATAAAAGGCAAACGGAAGCATTCTCAGAATATTCTTTGTGATGATGGAGTTTGACTCACAGAGTTGAACATGCCTTTTGATGGAGCAGTTTCCAAATACACTTTTGGTAGAATCTGCAGGTGGATATTTGGACCTCTCTGAGGATTTCGTTGGAAACGGGAATAATTTCCCATACCTAAACACAAACACTCTGAGAAAGTTCTTCATGATGAATGCATTGAACTCGCAGAGATGAACCTGCCTTTGAGAGTTCAGGTTCGAAACACTCTTTCTGTAGAATCTGCAAGTGGATATTTGGACCACTGGCTGGCCTTCGTTCGAAACGGGTATATGTTCACGTAAAAACTAAAGAGAAGCATTCTCAGAAACTTCTGAGTGATGATTGCATTCAAGTCACACGGTTGAACCCTCCTTTTGATTGAGCAGTTTTGAAACTGTCTTTTTGTAGAATCTGTAAGAGGACACGTGGACATCTTTGAAGATTTCTTTGGAAACGGGAATATTTCCACAGAAAAACTAAACTGAAGCATTCTCAGAAACTGCTTTGTGATGTTTGTGTTCGAGCCACAGAGTTTAACATTGCTTTTCATAGAGCAGTTTTGAAATATTCTTTTCGCAGAATCTGCAAGTGGACATTTGGAGCGCTTTCAGGCCTGTGGTGGAAAAGGCCTGAAAGCCTTTTCCTTTATCTTCACAGAAAGACGAGAGAGAAGCATTGTCAGAAACTTCTTTGTGATGATTGCATTCAACTCACAGACTTGAAGATTCCTTTTGAAACAGCAGTTTCGAAACACTCTTTCTGTGGGATCCGCAAGGGGATATTTGGACCTTTTGAAGGTTTCGTTGGAAACGGGATAATCTTCACCTAAAAGCTAAACGGAAGCATTCTCAGAAACTTCTTTGGGATGTTTGCATTCACCTCACAGAGTTGAACTTTCCCTTTGATAGCGCAGCTTTGACACACTTTTTCTACAATGTGCAAGTGGCTATTTAGCGGGCTTGGAGGACTGTGTTGGAAAAGGAAATATCTTCTCCTAAAAACGACATAGAAGCATTCTCAGAAACTGCTCTGTGATGATTGCATTCAACTCCCAGAGTTGAACATTCCTTTTGATAGAGCAGTTTGCAAACACTCTTTTTGTAGAATCTGCAAGTGGAGATTTGGACCGCTTTGAGGCCTGTGGTAGTGAAGGAAAGAACTTCATATAAAAACCAGACGGTAGCACTCTCAGAAAATTCTTTGTGACGATGGAGTTTAACTCAGGGAGCTGAACATTCGTTATGATGGAGCAGTTTCCAAACACACGTTTTGTAGAATCTGCGAGGGGATATTTGGACCTCTCTGAGGATTTCGTTGGAAACGGGATCAACTTCCCATAACTGAACGGAAGCAAACTCAGAACATTCTTTGTGATGTTTGTATTCAACTCACAGAGTTGAACCTTCCTTTGATAGTTCAGGTTTGCAACACCCTTGTAGTAGAATCTGCAAGTGTATATTTTGACCACTTTGTAGCCTTCGTTTGAAACGTCTATATCTTCACATCAAACCTAGACAGAAGCATTCTCAGAAAGTTTTCTGCGATGACTGCATTCAACTCACAGAGTTGAACAATCCTTCTGATGGAGCAGTTTTGAAACCCTCTTTCTTTGGAATCTGCAAGGGGATATGTGGACCTCTTTGAAGATTTCACTGGAAACGGGATCATCTTCACATAAAAACTAAACAGAAGCATTCTCGGAAACTACTTTGTGATGTTTGTATTCAACTCCCAGAGTTGAGCTTTCCTTTTGAAAGAGCAGCTATAAAACACTCTTTTTCGAGAATCTGCAAGTGGACGTTTGGAGGGCTTTGAGGCCTGTGGTGGAAAAGGAAATATCTTCACACAAAAACTAGATAGAAGCATTCTCAGAAACTACTTTGTGAGGATGGCATTCAACTCATGGAGTTGAACAATCCTATTGATAGAGCAGATTGGAATCACTCTTTTTGTAGAATCTGCAAATGGAGATTTGGACTGCTTTGAGGCCTACGGTAGTATAGGAAGGAACTTCATATAAAAGGCAAACGGAAGCATTCTCAGAATATTCTTTTTGATGATGGAGTTTCACTCACAGAGCTGAACATGCCTTTTGATGGAGCAGTTTCCAAATACACTTTTGGTAGAATCTGCAGGTGGATATTTGGAGCTCTCTGAGGATTTCGTTGGAAACGGGAATAATTTCCCATAACTAAACACAAACACGCTGAGAACGTTCTTCATGATGAATGCATTGAACTCGCAGAGATGAACCTGCCTTTGAGAGTTCAGGTTCGAAACACTCTTTCTGTAGAATCTGCAAGTGGATATTTGGACCACTGGCTGGCCTTCGTTCGAAACGGGTATATGTTCACGTAAAAACTAAAGAGAAGCATTCTCAGAAACTTGTGAGTGATGATTGCATTCAAGTCACACAGTTGAACCCTCCTTTTGATGGAGCAGTTTTGAAACTGTCTTTTTGTAGAATCTGTAAGTGGATACGTGGACCTCTTTGAAGATTTCTTTGGAAACGGGAATATTTCCACAGAAAAACTAAACTGAAGCATTCTCAGAAACCGCTTTGTGATGTTTGTGTTCGAGCCACAGAGTTTAACATTGCTTTTCATAGAGCAGTTTTGAAATATTCTTTTGGCAGAATCTGCAAGTGGACATTTGGAGCGCTTTCAGGCCTGTGGTGGAAAAGGCCTGAAAGCCTTTTCCTTTATCTTCACAGAAAGACGAGAGAGAAGCATTGTCAGAAACTTCTTTGTGATGATTGCATTCAACTCACAGAGTTGAAGATTCCTTTTGAAACAGCAGTTTCGAAACACTCTTTCTGTGGGATCCGCAAGGGGATATTTGGACCTCTTTGAAGATTTCATTGGAAACGGGATAATCTTCACCTAAAAGCTAAACGGAAGCATTCTCAGAAACTTCTTTGGGATGTTTGCATTCACCTCACAGAGTTGAACTTTCCCTTTGATAGCGCAGCTTTGACACACTTTTTCTACAATGTGCAAGTGGCTATTTAGCGGGCTTGGAGGACTGTGTTGGAAAAGGAAATATCTTCTCCTAAAAACGACATAGAAGCATTCTCAGAAACTGCTCTGTGATGATTGCATTCAACTCCCAGAGTTGAACATTCCTTTTGATAGAGCAGTTTGCAAACACTCTTTTTGTAGAATCTGCAAGTGGAGATTTGGACCGCTTTGAGGTCTGTGGTAGTGAAGGAAAGAGCTTCATATAAAAACCAGACGGTAGCACTCTCAGAAAATTCTTTGTGACGATGGAGTTTAACTCAGGGAGCTGAACATTCGTTATGATGGAGCAGTTTCCAAACACACGTTTTGTAGAATCTGCAAGGGGATATTTGGACCTCTCTGAGGATTTCGTTGGAAACGGGATCAACTTCCCATAACTGAACGGAAGCAAACTCAGAACATTCTTTGTGATGTTTGTATTCAACTCACAGAGTTGAACCTTCCTTTGATAGTTCAGGTTTGCAACACCCTTGTAGTAGAATCTGCAAGTGTATATTTTGACCACTTTGTAGCCTTCGTTTGAAACGTCTATATCTTCACATCAAACCTAGACAGAAGCATTCTCAGAAAGTTTTCTGCGATGACTGCATTCAACTCACAGAGTTGAACAATCCTTTTGATGGAGCAGTTTTGAAACCCTCTTTTTTTGGAATCTGCAAGGGGATATGTGGACCTCTTTGAAGATTTCACTGGAAACGGGATCATCTTCACATAAGAACTAAACAGAAGCATTCTCGGAAACTACTTTGTGATGTTTGTATTCAACTCCCAGAGTTGAACTTTCCTTTTGAAAGAGCAGCTATGAAACACTCTTTTTCGGGAATCTGCAAGTGGACGTTTGGAGGGCTTTGAGGCCTGTGGTGGAAAAGGAAATATCTTCACATAAAAACTACATAGAAGCATTCTCAGAAACTACTTTGTGAGGATGGCATTCAACTCATGGAGTTGAACAATCCTATTGATAGAGCAGATTGGAATCACTCTTTTTGTAGAATCTGCAAATGGAGATTTGGACTGCTTTGAGGCCTACGGTAGTATAGGAAGGAACTTCATATAAAAGGCAAACGGAAGCATTCTCAGAATATTCTTTGTGATGACGGAGTTTCACTCACAGAGCTGAACATGCCTTTTCATGGAGCAGTTTCCAAATACACTTTTGGTACAATCTGCAGGTGGATATTTGGAGCTCTCTGAGGATTTCGTTGGAAACGGGAATAATTTCCCATAACTAAACACAAACACTCTGAGAAAGTTCTTCATGATGAATGCATTTAACTCGCAGAGATGAACCTGCCTTTGAGAGTTCAGGTTCGAAACACTCTTTCTGTAGAATCTGCAAGTGGATATTTGGACCACTGGGTGGCCTTCGTTCGAAACGGGTATATGTTCACGTAAAAACTAAAGAGAAGCATTCTCAGAAACTTCTGAGTGATGATTGCATTCAAGTCACACAGTTGAACCCTCCTTTTGATGGAGCAGTTTTGAAACTGTCTTTTTATAGAATCTGTAAGTGGATACGTGGACCTCTTTGAAGATTTCTTTGGAAACGGGAATATTTCCACAGAAAAACTAAACTGAAGCATTCTCAGAAACCGCTTTGTGATGTTTGTGTTCGAGCCACAGTAGTTTAACATTGCTTTTCATAGCAGCAGTTTTGAAATATTCTTTTCGCAGAATCTGCAAGTGGACATTTGGAGCGCTTTCAGGCCTGTGGTGGCAAAGGCCTGAAAGCCTTTTCCTTTATCTTCACAGAAAGACGAGAGAGAAGCATTGTCAGAAACTTCTTTGTGATGATTGCATTCAACTCACAGAGTTGAAGATTCCTTTTGAAACAGCAGTTTCGAAACACTCTTTCTGTGGGATCCGCAAGGGGATATTTGGACCTCTTTGAAGGTTTCGTTGGAAACGGGATAATCTTCACCTAAAAGCTAAACGGAAGCATTCTCAGAAACTTCTTTGGGATGTTTGCATTCACCTCACAGAGTTGAACTTTCCCTTTGATAGCGCAGCTTCGACACACTTTTTCTACAATGTGCAAGTGGATATTTAGCGGGCTTGGAGGACTGTGTTGGAAAAGGAAATATCTTCTCCTAAAAACGACATAGAAGCATTCTCAGAAACTGCTCTGTGATGATTGCATTCAACTCCCAGAGTTGAACATTCCTTTTGATAGAGCAGTTTGCAAACACTCTTTTTGTAGAATCTGCAAGTGGAGATTTGGACCGCTTTGAGGCCTGTGGTAGTGAAGGAAAGAACTTCATATAAAAACCAGACGGTAGCACTCTCAGAAAATTCTTTGTGACGATGGAGTTTAACTCAGGGAGCTGAACATTCGTTATGATGGAGCAGTTTCCAAACACACGTTTTGTAGAATCTGCGAGGGGATATTTGGACCTCTCTGAGGATTTCGTTGGAAACGGGATCAACTTCCCATAACTGAACGGAAGCAAACTCAGAACATTCTTTGTGATGTTTGTATTCAACTCACAGAGTTGAACCTTCCTTTGATAGTTCAGGTTTGCAACACCCTTGTAGTAGAATCTGCAAGTGTATATTTTGACCACTTTGTAGCCTTCGTTTGAAACGTCTATATCTTCACATCAAACCTAGACAGAAGCATTCTCAGAAAGTTTTCTGCGATGACTGCATTCAACTCACAGAGTTGAACAATCCTTCTGATGGAGCAGTTTTGAAACCCTCTTTCTTTGGAATCTGCAAGGGAATATGTGGACCTCTTTGAAGATTTCACTGGAAACGGGATCATCTTCACATAAAAACTAAACAGAAGCATTCTCGGAAACTACTTTGTGATGTTTGTATTCAACTCCCAGAGTTGAACTTTCCTTTTGAAAGAGCAGCTATGAAACACTCTTTTTCGAGAATCTGCAAGTGGACGTTTGGAGGGCTTTGAGGCCTGTGGTGGAAAAGGAAATATCTTCACACAAAAACCAGATAGAAGCATTCTCAGAAACTACTTTGTGAGGATGGCATTCAACTCATGGAGTTGAACAATCCTATTGATAGAGCAGATTGGAATCACTCTTTTTATAGAATCTGCAAATGGAGATTTGGACTGCTTTGAGGCCTACGGTAGTACAGGAAGGAACTTCATATAAAAGGCAAACGGAAGCATTCTCAGAATATTCTTTGTGATGATGGAGTTTCACTCACAGAGCTGAACATGCCTTTTGATGGAGCAGTTTCCAAATACACTTTTGGTAGAATCTGCAGGTGGATATTTGGAGCTCTCTGAGGATTTCGTTGGAAACGGGAATAATTTCCCATAACTAAACACAAACACGCTGAGAAAGTTCTTCATGATGAATGCATTGAACTCGCAGAGATGAACCTGCCTTTGAGAGTTCAGGTTCGAAACACTCTTTCTGTAGAATCTGCAAGTGGATATTTGGACCACTGGCTGGCCTTCGTTCGAAACGGGTATATGTTCACGTAAAAACTAAAGAGAAGCATTCTCAGAAACTTCTGAGTGATGATTGCATTCAAGTCACACAGTTGAACCCTCCTTTTGATGGAGCAGTTTTGAAACTGTCTTTTTGTAGAATCTGTAAGTGGATACGTGGACCTCTTTGAAGATTTCTTTGGAAACGGGAATATTTCCACAGAAAAACTAAACTGAAGCATTCTCAGAAACTGCTTTGTGATGTTTGTGTTCGAGCCACAGAGTTTAACATTGCTTTTCATAGAGCAGTTTTGAAATATTCTTTTGGCAGAATCTGCAAGTGGACATTTGGAGCGCTTTCAGGCCTGTGGTGGAAAAGGCCTGAAAGCCTTTTCCTTTATCTTCACAGAAAGACGAGAGAGAAGCATTGTCAGAAACTTCTTTGGGATGATTGCATTCAACTCACAGAGTTGAAGATTCCTTTTGAAACAGCAGTTTCGAAACACTCTTTCTGTGGGATCCGCAAGGGGATATTTGGACCTCTTTGAAGGTTTCGTTGGAAACGGGATAATCTTCACCTAAAAGCTAAACGGAAGCATTCTCAGAAACTTCTTTGGGATGTTTGCATTCACCTCACAGAGTTGAACTTTCCCTTTGATAGCGCAGCTTCGACACACTTTTTCTACAATGTGCAAGTGGATATTTAGCGGGCTTGGAGGACTGTGTTGGAAAAGGAAATATCTTCTCCTAAAAACGACATAGAAGCATTCTCAGAAACTGCTCTGTGATGATTGCATTCAACTCCCAGAGTTGAACATTCCTTTTGATAGAGCAGTTTGCAAACACTCTTTTTGTAGAATCTGCAAGTGGAGATTTGGACCGCTTTGAGGCCTGTGGTAGTGAAGGAAAGAGCTTCATATAAAAACCAGACGGTAGCACTCTCAGAAAATTCTTTGTGACGATGGAGTTTAACTCAGAGAGCTGAACATTCGTTATGATGGAGCAGTTTCCAAACACACGTTTTGTAGAATCTGCAAGGGGATATTTGGACCTCTCTGAGGATTTCGTTGGAAACGGGATCAACTTCCCATAACTGAACGGAAGCAAACTCAGAACATTCTTTGTGATGTTTGTATTCAACTCACAGAGTTGAACCTTCCTTTGATAGTTCAGGTTTGCAACACCCTTGTAGTAGAATCTGCAAGTGTATATTTTGACCACTTTGTAGCCTTCGTTTGAAACGTCTATATCTTCACATCAAACCTAGACAGAAGCATTCTCAGAAAGTTTTCTGCGATGACTGCATTCAACTCACAGAGTTGAACAATCCTTCTGATGGAGCAGTTTTGAAACCCTCTTTCTTTGGAATCTGCAAGGGGATATGTGGACCTCTTTGAAGATTTCACTGGAAACGGGATCATCTTCACATAAAAACTAAACAGAAGCATTCTCGGAAACTACTTTGTGATGTTTGTATTCAACTCCCAGAGTTGAACTTTCCTTTTGAAAGAGCAGCTACGAAACACTCTTTTTCGAGAATCTGCAAGTGGACGTTTGGAGGGCTTTGAGGCCTGTGGTGGAAAAGGAAATATCTTCACACAAAAACCAGATAGAAGCATTCTCAGAAACTACTTTGTGAGGATGGCATTCAACTCATGGAGTTGAACAATCCTATTGATAGAGCAGATTGGAATCACTCTTTTTGTAGAATCTGCAAATGGAGATTTGGACTGCTTTGAGGCCTACGGTAGTACAGGAAGGAACTTCATATAAAAGGCAAACGGAAGCATTCTCAGAATATTCTTTGTGATGATGGAGTTTCACTCACAGAGCTGAACATGCCTTTTGATGGAGCAGTTTCCAAATACACTTTTGGTAGAATCTGCAGGTGGATATTTGGAGCTCTCTGAGGATTTCGTTGGAAACGGGAATAATTTCCCATAACTAAACACAAACACGCTGAGAAAGTTCTTCATGATGAATGCATTTAACTCGCAGAGATGAACCTGCCTTTGAGAGTTCAGGTTCGAAACACTCTTTCTGTAGAATCTGCAAGTGGATATTTGGACCACTGGCTGGCCTTCATTCGAAACGGGTATATGTTCACGTAAAAACTAAAGAGAAGCATTCTCAGAAACTTCTGAGTGATGATTGCATTCAAGTCACACAGTTGAACCCTCCTTTTGATGGAGCAGTTTTGAAACTGTCCTTTTGTAGAATCTGTAAGTGGATACGTGGACCTCTTTGAAGATTTCTTTGGAAACGGGAATATTTCCACAGAAAAACTAAACTGAAGCATTCTCAGAAACCGCTTTGTGATGTTTGTGTTCGAGCCACAGAGTTTAACATTGCTTTTCATAGAGCAGTTTTGAAATATTCTTTTGGCAGAATCTGCAAGTGGACATTTGGAGCGCTTTCAGGCCTGTGGTGGCAAAGGCCTGAAAGCCTTTTCCTTTATCTTCACAGAAAGACGAGAGAGAAGCATTGTCAGAAACTTCTTTGTGATGATTGCATTCAACTCACAGAGTTGAAGATTCCTTTTGAAACAGCAGTTTCGAAACACTCTTTCTGTGGGATCCGCAAGGGGATATTTGGACCTCTTTGAAGGTTTCGTTGGAAACGGGATAATCTTCACCTAAAAGCTAAACGGAAGCATTCTCAGAAACTTCTTTGGGATGTTTGCATTCACCTCACAGAGTTGAACTTTCCCTTTGATAGCGCAGCTTTGACTCACTTTTTCTACAATGTGCAAGTGGCTATTTAGCGGGCTTGGAGGACTGTGTTGGAAAAGGAAATATCTTCTCCTAAAAACGACATAGAAGCATTCTCAGAAACTGCTCTGTGATGATTGCATTCAACTCCCAGAGTTGAACATTCCTTTTGATAGAGCAGTTTGCAAACACTCTTTTTGTAGAATCTGCAAGTGGAGATTTGGACCGCTTTGAGGCCTGTGGTAGTGAAGGAAAGAACTTCATATAAAAACCAGACGGTAGCACTCTCAGAAAATTCTTTGTGACGATGGAGTTTAACTCAGGGAGCTGAACATTCGTTATGATGGAGCAGTTTCCAAACACACGTTTTGTAGAATCTGCGAGGGGATATTTGGACCTCTCTGAGGATTTCGTTGGAAACGGGATCAACTTCCCATAACTGAACGGAAGCATTCTCAGAAAGTTTTCTGCGATGACTGCATTCAACTCACAGAGTTGAACAATCCTTCTGATGGAGCAGTTTTTAAACCCTCTTTCTTTGGAATCTGCAAGGGGATATGTGGACCTCTTTGAAGATTTCACTGGAAACGGGATCATCTTCACATAAAAACTAAACAGAAGCATTCTCGGAAACTACTTTGTGATGTTTGTATTCAACTCCCAGAGTTGAACTTTCCTTTTGAAAGAGCAGCTATGAAACACTCTTTTTCGAGAATCTGCAAGTGGACGTTTGGAGGGCTTGGAGGCCTGTGGTGGAAAAGGAAATACCTTCACATAAAAACTAGATAGAAGCATTCTCAGAAACTACTTTGTGAGGATGGCATTCAACTCATGGAGTTGAGCAATCCTATTGATAGAGCAGATTGGAATCACTCTTTTTGTAGAATCTGCAAATGGAGATTTGGACTGCTTTGAGGCCTACGGTCGTATAGGAAGGAACTTCAGATAAAAGGCAAACGGAAGCATTCTCAGAATATTCTTTGTGATGATGGAGTTTCACTCACAGAGCTGAACATGCCTTTTGATGGAGCAGTTTCCAAATACACTTTTGGTAGAATCTGCAGGTGGATATTTGGAGCTCTCTGAGGATTTCGTTGGAAACGGGAATAATTTCCCATAACTAAACACAAACACGCTGAGAAAGTTCTTCATGATGAATGCATTGAACTCGCAGAGATGAACCTGCCTTTGAGAGTTCAGGTTCGAAACACTCTTTCTGTAGAATCTGCAAGTGGATATTTGGACCACTGTCTGGCCTTCGTTCGAAACGGGTATATGTTCACGTAAAAACTAAAGAGAAGCGTTCTCAGAAACTTCTGAGTGATGATTGCATTCAAGTCACACAGTTGAACCCTCCTTTTGATTGAGCAGTTTTGAAACTGTCTTTTTGTAGAATCTGTAAGTGGATACGTGGACCTCTTTGAAGATTTCTTTGGAAACGGGAATATTTCCACAGAAAAACTAAACTGAAGCATTCTCAGAAACTGCTTTGTGATGTTTGTGTTCGAGCCACAGAGTTTAACATTGCTTTTCATAGAGCAGTTTTGAAATATTCTTTTGGCAGAATCTGCAAGTGGACATTTGGAGCGCTTTCAGGCCTGTGATGGGAAAGGCCTGAAAGCCTTTTCCTTTATCTTCACAGAAAGACGAGAGAGAAGCATTGTCAGAAACTTCTTTGTGATGATTGCATTCAACTCACAGAGTTGAAGATTCCTTTTGAAACAGCAGTTTCGAAACACTCTTTCTGTGGGATCCGCAAGGGGATATTTGGACCTCTTTGAAGGTTTCGTTGGAAACGGGATAATCTTCACCTAAAAGCTAAACGGAAGCATTCTCAGAAACTTCTTTGGGATGTTTGCATTCACCTCACAGAGTTGAACTTTCCCTTTGATAGCGCAGCTTTGACACACTTTTTCTACAATGTGCAAGTGGCTATTTAGCGGGCTTGGAGGACTGTGTTGGAAAAGGAAATATCTTCTCCTAAAAACGACATAGAAGCATTCTCAGAAACTGCTCTGTGATGATTGCATTCAACTCCCAGAGTTGAACATTCCTTTTGATAGAGCAGTTTGCAAACACTCTTTTTGTAGAATCTGCAAGTGGAGATTTGGACCGCTTTGAGGCCTGTGGTAGTGAAGGAAAGAACTTCATATAAAAACCAGACGGTAGCACTCTCAGAAAATTCTTTGTGACGATGGAGTTTAACTCAGGGAGCTGAACATTCGTTATGATGGAGCAGTTTCCAAACACACGTTTTGTAGAATCTGCGAGGGGATATTTGGACCTCTCTGAGGATTTCGTTGGAAACGGGATCAACTTCCCATAACTGAACGGAAGCAAACTCAGAACATTCTTTGTGATGTTTGTATTCAACTCACAGAGTTGAACCTTCCTTTGATAGTTCAGGTTTGCAACACCCTTGTAGTAGAATCTGCAAGTGTATATTTTGACCACTTTGTAGCCTTCGTTTGAAACGTCTATATCTTCACATCAAACCTAGACAGAAGCATTCTCAGAAAGTTTTCTGCGATGACTGCATTCAACTCACAGAATTGAACAATCCTTTTGATGGAGCAGTTTTGAAACCCTCTTTCTTTGGAATCGGCAAGGGGATATGTGGACCTCTTTGAAGATTTCACTGGAAACGGGATCATCTTCACATAAGAACTAAACAGAAGCATTCTCGGAAACTACTTTGTGATGTTTGTATTCACCTCCCAGAGTTGAACTTTCCTTTTGAAGGGCAGGTATGAAACACTCTTTTTCGAGAATCTGCAAGTGGACGTTTGGAGGGCTTTGAGGCCTGTGGTGGAAAAGGAAATATCTTCACATAAAAACTAGATAGAAGCATTCTCAGAAACGACTTTGTGAGGATGGCATTCAACTCATGGAGTTGAACAATCCTATTGATAGAGCAGATTGGAATCACTCTTTTTGTAGAATCTGCAAATGGAGATTTGGACTGCTTTGAGGCCTACGGTAGTATAGGAAGGAACTTCATATAAAAGGCAAACGGAAGCATTCTCAGAATATTCTTTGTGATGATGGAGTTTCACTCACAGAGCTGAACATGCCTTTTGATGGAGCAGTTTCCAAATACACTTTTGGTAGAATCTGCAGGTGGATATTTGGAGCTCTCTGAGGATTTCGTTGGAAAAGGGAATAATTTCCCATAACTAAACACAAACACTCTGAGAAAGTTCTTCATGATGAATGCATTTAACTCGCAGAGATGAACCTGCCTTTGAGAGTTCAGGTTCGAAACACTCTTTCTGTATAATCTGCAAGTGGATATTTGGACCACTGGGTGGCCTTCGTTCGAAACGGGTATATGTTCACGTAAAAACTAAAGAGAAGCATTCTCAGAAACTTCTGAGTGATGATTGCATTCAAGTCACACAGTTGAACCCTCCTTTTGATGGAGCAGTTTTGAAACTGTCTTTTTGTAGAATCTGTAAGTGGATACGTGGACCTCTTTGAAGATTTCTTTGGAAACGGGAATATTTCCACAGAAAAACTAAACTGAAACATTCTCAGAAACCGCTTTGTGATGTTTGTGTTCCAGCCACAGAGTTTAACATTGCTTTTCATAGAGCAGTTTTGAAATATTCTTTTGGCAGAATCTGCAAGTGGACATTTGGAGCGCTTTCAGGCCTGTGGTGGAAAAGGCCTGAAAGCCTTTTCCTTTATCTTCACAGAAAGACGAGAGAGAAGCATTGTCAGAAACTTCTTTGTGATGATTGCATTCAGCTCACAGAGTTGAAGATTCCTTTTGAAACAGCAGTTTCGAAACACTCTTTCTGTGGGATCCGCAAGGGGATATTTGGACCTCTTTGCAGGTTTCGTTGGAAACGGGATAATCTTCACCTAAAAGCTAAACGGAAGCATTCTCAGAAACTTCTTTGGGATGTTTGCATTCACCTCACAGAGTTGAACTTTCCCTTTGATAGCGCAGCTTTGACACACTTTTTCTACAATGTGCAAGTGGCTATTTAGCGGGCTTGGAGGACTGTGTTGGAAAAGGAAATATCTTCTCCTAAAAACGACATAGAAGCATTCTCAGAAACTGCTCTGTGATGATTGCATTCAACTCCCAGAGTTGAACATTCCTTTTGATAGAGCAGTTTGCAAACACTCTTTTTGTAGAATCTGCAAGTGGAGATTTGGACCGCTTTCAGGCCTGTGGTAGTGAAGGAAAGAACTTCATATAAAAACCAGACGGTAGCACTCTCAGAAAATTCTTTGTGACGATGGAGTTTAACTCAGGGAGCTGAACATTCGTTATGATGGAGCAGTTTCCAAACACACGTTTTGTAGAATCTGCGAGGGGATATTTGGACCTCTCTGAGGATTTCGTTGGAAACGGGATCAACTTCCCATAACTGAACGGAAGCAAACTCAGAACATTCTTTGTGATGTTTGTATTCAACTCACAGAGTTGAACCTTCCTTTGATAGTTCAGGTTTGCAACACCCTTGTAGTAGAATCTGCAAGTGTATATTTTGACCACTTTGTAGCCTTCGTTTGAAACGTCTATATCTTCACATCAAACCTAGACAGAAGCATTCTCAGAAAGTTTTCTGCGATGACTGCATTCAACTCACAGAGTTGAACAATCCTTCTGATGGAGCAGTTTTGAAACCCTCTTTCTTTGGAATCTGCAAGGGGATATGTGGACCTCTTTGAAGATTTCACTGGAAACGGGATCATCTTCACATAAAAACTAAACAGAAGCATTCTCGGAAACTACTTTGTGATGTTTGTATTCAACTCCCAGAGTTGAACTTTCCTTTTGAAACAGCGGCTATGAAACACTCTTTTTCGAGAATCTGCAAGTGGACGTTTGGAGGGCTTTGAGGCCTGTGGTGGAAAAGGAAATATCTTCACATAAAAACTAGATAGAAGCATTCTCAGAAACGACTTTGTGAGGATGGCATTCAACTCATGGAGTTGAACAATCCTATTGATAGAGCAGATTGGAATCACTCTTTTGGTAGAATCTGCAAATGGAGATTTGGACTGCTTTGAGGCCTACGGTAGTATAGGAAGGAACTTCATATAAAAGGCAAACGGAAGCATTCTCAGAATATTCTTTGTGATGATGGAGTTTCACTCACAGAGCTGAACATGCCTTTTGATGGAGCAGTTTCCAAATACACTTTTGGTAGAATCTGCAGGTGGATATTTGGACCTCTCTGAGGATTTCGTTGGAAACGGGAATAATTTCCCATAACTAAACACAAACACTCTGAGAAAGTTCTTCATGATGAATGCATTTAACTCGCAGAGATGAACCTGCCTTTGAGAGTTCAGGTTCGAAACACTCTTTCTGTAGAATCTGCAAGTGGATATTTGGACCACTGGCTGGCCTTCGTTCGAAACGGGTATATGTTCACGTAAAAACTAAAGAGAAGCATTCTCAGAAACTTCTGAGTGATGATTGCATTCAAGTCACACAGTTGAACCCTCGTTTTGATGGAGCAGTTTTGAAACTGTCTTTTTGTAGAATCTGTAAGTGGATACGTGGACCTCTTTGAAGATTTCTTTGGAAACGGGAATATTTCCACAGAAAAACTAAACTGAAGCATTCTCAGAAACCGCTTTGTGATGTTTGTGTTTGAGCCGCAGAGTTTAACATTGCTTTTCATAGAGCAGTTTTGAAATATTCTTTTGGCAGAATCTGCAAGTGGACATTTGGAGCGCTTTCAGGCCTGTGGTGGAAAAGGCCTGAAAGCCTTTTCCTTTATCTTCACAGAAAGACGAGAGAGAAGCATTGTCAGAAACTTCTTTTTGATGATTGCATTCAACTCACAGAGTTGAAGATTCCTTTTGAAACAGCAGTTTCGAAACACTCTTTCTGTGGGATCCGCAAGGGGATATTTGGACCTCTTTGAAGGTTTCGTTGGAAACGGGATAATCTTCACCTAAAAGCTAAACGGAAGCATTCTCAGAAACTTCTTTGGGATGTTTGCATTCACCTCACAGAGTTGAACTTTCCCTTTGATAGCGCAGCTTCGACACACTTTTTCTACAATGTGCAAGTGGCTATTTAGCGGGCTTGGAGGACTGTGTTGGAAAAGGAAATATCTTCTCCTAAAAACGACATAGAAGCATTCTCAGAAACTGCTCTGTGATGATTGCATTCAACTCCCAGAGTTGAACATTCCTTTTGATAGAGCAGTTTGCAAACACTCTTTTTGTAGAATCTGCAAGTGGAGATTTGGACCGCTTTGAGGCCTGTGGTAGTGAAGGAAAGAACTTCATATAAAAACCAGACGGTAGCACTCTCAGAAAATTCTTTGTGACGATGGAGTTTAACTCAGGGAGCTGAACATTCGTTATGATGGAGCAGTTTCCAAAAACACGTTTTGTAGAATCTGCAAGGGGATATTTGGACCTGTCTGAGGATTTCGTTGGAAACGGGATCAACTTCCCATAACTGAACGGAAGCAAACTCAGAACATTCTTTGTGATGTTTGTATTCAACTCACAGAGTTGAACCTTCCTTTGATAGTTCAGGTTTGCAACACCCTTGTAGTAGTATCTGCAAGTGTATATTTTGACCACTTTGTAGCCTTCGTTTGAAACGTCTATATCTTCACATCAAACCTAGACAGAAGCATTCTCAGAAAGTTTTCTGCGATGACTGCATTCAACTCACAGAGTTGAACAATCCTATTGATGGAGCAGTTTTGAAACCCTCTTTCTTTGGAATCTGCAAGGGGATATGTGGACCTCTTTGAAGATTTCACTGGAAACGGGATCATCTTCACATAAAAACTAAACAGAAGCATTCTCGGAAACTACTTTGTGATGTTTGTATTCAACTCCCAGAGTTGAACTTTCCTTTTGAAAGAGCAGCTATGAAACACTCTTTTTCGAGAATCTACAAGTGGACGTTTGGAGGGCTTTGAGGCCTGTGGTGGAAAAGGAAATATCTTCACATAAAAACTAGATAGAAGCATTCTCAGAAACGACTTTGTGAGGATGGCATTCAACTCATGGAGTTGAACAATCCTATTGATAGAGCAGATTGGAATCACTCTTTTTGTAGAATCTGCAAATGGAGATTTGCACTGCTTTGAGGCCTACGGTCGTATAGGAAGGAACTTCATATAAAAGGCAAACGGAAGCATTCTCAGAATATTCTTTGTGATGATGGAGTTTCACTCACAGAGCTGAACATGCCTTTTGATGGAGCAGTTTCCAAATACGCTTTTGGTAGAATCTGCAGGTGGATATTTGGAGCTCTCTGAGGATTTCGTTGGAAACGGGAATAATTTCCCATAACTAAACACAAACACTCTGAGAAAGTTCTTCATGATGAATGCATTTAACTCGCAGAGATGAACCTGCCTTTGAGAGTTCAGGTTCGAAACACTCTTTCTGTATAATCTGCAAGTGGATATTTGGACCACTGGGTGGCCTTCGTTCGAAACGGGTATATGTTCACGTAAAAACTAAAGAGAAGCATTCTCAGAAACTTCTGAGTGATGATTGCATTCAAGTCACACAGTTGAACCCGCCTTTTGATTGAGCAGCTTTGAAACTGTCTTTTTGTAGAATCTGGAAGTGGATACGTGGACCTCTTTGAAGATTTCTTTGGAAATGGGAATATTTCCACAGAAAAACTAAACTGAAGCATTCTCAGAAACTGCTTTGTGATGTTTGTGTTCGAGCCACAGAGTTTAACATTGCTTTTCATAGAGCAGTTTTGAAATATTCTTTTGGCAGAATCTGCAAGTGGACATTTGGAGCGCTTTCAGGCCTGTGGTGGAAAAGGCCTGAAAGCCTTTTCCTTTATCTTCACAGAAAGACGAGAGAGAAGCATTGTCAGAAACTTCTTTGTGATGATTGCATTCAACTCACAGAGTTGAAGATTCCTTTTGAAACAGCAGTTTCGA
Source organism: Homo sapiens (assembly GCF_000001405.40). Classification (NCBI taxonomy): domain Eukaryota; kingdom Metazoa; phylum Chordata; class Mammalia; order Primates; family Hominidae; genus Homo; species Homo sapiens. The sequence goes on from NC_000023.11 coordinate 62,314,225, forward strand.
AACACTCTTTCTGTGGGATCCGCAAGGGGATATTTGGACCTCTGTGAAGATTTCGTTGGAAACGGGATAATCTTCACCTAAAAGCTAAACGGAAGCATTCTCAGAAACTTCTTTGGGATGTTTGCATTCACCTCACAGAGTTGAACTTTCCCTTTGATAGCGCAGCTTCGACACACTTTTTCTACAATGTGCAAGTGGATATTTAGCGGGCTTGGAGGACTGTGTTGGAAAAGGAAATATCTTCTCCTAAAAACGACATAGAAGCATTCTCAGAAACTGCTCTGTGATGATTGCATTCAACTCCCAGAGTTGAACATTCCTTTTGATAGAGCAGTTTGCAAACACTCTTTTTGTAGAATCTGCAAGTGGAGATTTGGACCGCTTTGAGGCCTGTGGTAGTGAAGGAAAGAACTTCATATAAAAACCAGACGGTAGCACTCTCAGAAAATTCTTTGTGACGATGGAGTTTAACTCAGAGAGCTGAACATTCGTTATGATGGAGCAGTTTCCAAACACACGTTTTGTAGAATCTGCAAGGGGATATTTGGACCTCTCTGAGGATTTCGTTGGAAACGGGATCAACTTCCCATAACTGAACGGAAGCAAACTCAGAACATACTTTGTGATGTTTGTATTCAACTCACAGAGTTGAACCTTCCTTTGATAGTTCAGGTTTGCAACACCCTTGTAGTAGAATCTGCAAGTGTATATTTTGACCACTTTGTAGCCTTCGTTTGAAACGTCTATATCTTCACATCAAACCTAGACAGAAGCATTCTCAGAAAGTTTTCTGCGATGACTGCATTCAACTCACAGAGTTGAACAATCCTTTTGATGGAGCAGTTTTGAAACCCTCTTTCTTTGGAATCTGCAAGGGGATATGTGGACCTCTTTGAAGATTTCACTGGAAACGGGATCATCTTCACATAAGAACTAAACAGAAGCATTCTCGGAAACTAATTTGTGATGTTTGTATTCAACTCCCAGAGTTGAACTTTCCTTTTGAAAGAGCAGCTATGAAACACTCTTTTTCGAGAATCTGCAAGTGGACGTTTGGAGGGCTTTGAGGCCTGTGGTGGAAAAGGAAATATCTTCACATAAAAACTAGATAGAAGCATTCTCAGAAACGACTTTGTGAGGATGGCATTCAACTCATGGAGTTGAACAGTCCTATTGATAGAGGAGATTGGAATCACTCTTTTTGTAGAATCTGCAAATGGAGATTTGGACTGCTTTGAGGCCTACGGTAGTATAGGAAGGAACTTCATATAAAAGGCAAACGGAAGCATTCTCAGAATATTCTTTGTGATGATGGAGTTTCACTCACAGACCTGAACATGCCTTTTGATGGAGCAGTTTCCAAATACACTTTTGGTAGAATCAGCAGGTGGATATTTGGAGCTCTCTGAGGATTTCGTTGGAAACGGGAATAATTTCCCATAACTAAACACAAAACACTCTGAGAAAGTTCTTCATGATGAATGCATTTAACTCGCAGAGATGAACCTGCCTTTGAGAGTTCAGGTTCGAAACACTCTTTCTGTAGAATCTGCAAGTGGATATTTGGACCACTGGCTGGCCTTCGTTCGAAACGGGTATATGTTCACGTAAAAACTAAAGAGAAGCATTCTCAGAAACTTCTGAGTGATGATTGCATTCAAGTCACACAGTTGAACCCTCCTTTTGATGGAGCAGTTTTGAAACTGTCTTTTTGTAGAATCTGTAAGTGGATACGTGGACCTCTTTGAAGATTTCCTTTGGAAACGGGAATATTTCCACAGAAAAACTAAACTGAAGCATTCTCAGAAACCGCTTTGTGATGTTTGTGTTCGAGCCACAGAGTTTAACATTGCTTTTCATAGAGCAGTTTTGAAATATTCTTTTCGCAGAATCTGCAAGTGGACATTTGGAGCGCTTTCAGGCCTGTGGTGGAAAAGGCCTGAAAGCCTTTTCCTTTATCTTCACAGAAAGACGAGAGAGAAGCATTGTCAGAAACTTCTTTGTGATGATTGCATTCAACTCACAGAGTTGAAGATTCCTTTTGAAACAGCAGTTTCGAAACACTCTTTCTGTGGGATCCGCAAGGGGATATTTGGACCTCTTTGAAGGTTTCGTTGGAAACGGGATAATCTTCACCTAAAAGCTAAACGGAAGCATTCTCAGAAACTTCTTTGGGATGTTTGCATTCACCTCACAGAGTTGAACTTTCCCTTTGATAGCGCAGCTTTGACACACTTTTTCTACAATGTGCAAGTGGCTATTTAGCGGGCTTGGAGGACTGTGTTGGAAAAGGAAATATCTTCTCCTAAAAACGACATAGAAGCATTCTCAGAAACTGCTCTGTGATGATTGCATTCAACTCCCAGAGTTGAACATTCCTTTTGATAGAGCAGTTTGCAAACACTCTTTTTGTAGAATCTGCAAGTGGAGATTTGGACCGCTTTGAGGCCTGTGGTAGTGAAGGAAAGAACTTCATATAAAAACCAGACGGTAGCACTCTCAGAAAATTCTTTGTGACGATGGAGTTTAACTCAGGGAGCTGAACATTCGTTATGATGGAGCAGTTTCCAAACACACGTTTTGTAGAATCTGCAAGGGGATATTTGGACCTCTCTGAGGATTTCGTTGGAAACGGGATCAACTTCCCATAACTGAACGGAAGCAAACTCAGAACATTCTTTGTGATGTTTGTATTCAACTCACAGAGTTGAACCTTCCTTTGATAGTTCAGGTTTGCAACACCCTTGTAGTAGAATCTGCAAGTGTATATTTTGACCACTTTGTAGCCTTCATTTGAAACGTCTATATCTTCACATCAATCCTAGACAGAAGCATTCTCAGAAAGTTTTCTGCGATGACTGCATTCAACTCACAGAGTTGAACAATCCTTCTGATGGAGCAGTTTTGAAACCCTCTTTCTTTGGAATCTGCAAGGGGATATGTGGACCTCTTTGAAGATTTCACTGGAAACGGGATCATCTTCACATAAAAACTAAACAGAAGCATTCTCGGAAACTACTTTGTGATGTTTGTATTCAACTCCCAGAGTTGAACTTTCCTTTTGAAAGAGCAGCTATGAAACACTCTTTTTCGAGAATCTGCAAGTGGACGTTTGGAGGGCTTTGAGGCCTGTGGTGGAAAAGGAAATATCTTCACATAAAAACCAGATAGAAGCATTCTCAGAAACTACTTTGTGAGGATGGCATTCAACTCATGGAGTTGAACAATCCTATTGATAGAGCAGATTGGAATCACTCTTTTTGTAGAATCTGCAAATGGAGATTTGGACTGCTTTGAGGCCTACGGTCGTATAGGAAGGAACTTCATATAAAAGGCAAACGGAAGCATTCTCAGAATATTCTTTGTGATGATGGAGTTTCACTCACAGAGCTGAACATGCCTTTTGATGGAGCAGTTTCCAAATACACTTTTGGTAGAATCTGCAGGTGGATATTTGGAGCTCTTTGAGGATTTCGTTGGAAACGGGAATAATTTCCCATAACTAAACACAAACACTCTGAGAAAGTTCTTCATGATGAATGCATTTAACTCGCAGAGATGAACCTGCCTTTGAGAGTTCAGGTTCGAAACACTCTTTCTGTAGAATCTGCAAGTGGATATTTGGACCACTGGGTGGCCTTCGTTCGAAACGGGTATATGTTCACGTAAAAACTAAAGAGAAGCATTCTCAGAAACTTCTGAGTGATGATTGCATTCAAGTCACACAGTAGAACCCTCCTTTTGATGGAGCAGTTTTGAAACTGTCTTTTTGTAGAATCTGTAAGTGGATACGTGGACCTCTTTGAAGATTTCTTTGGAAACGGGAATATTTCCACAGAAAAACTAAACTGAAGCATTCTCAGAAACCGCTTTGTGATGTTTGTGTTCGAGCCACAGAGTTTAACATTGCTTTTCATAGAGCAGTTTTGAAATATTCTTTTGGCAGAATCTGCAAGTGGACATTTGGAGCGCTTTCAGGCCTGTGGTGGAAAAGGCCTGAAAGCCTTTTCCTTTATCTTCACAGAAAGACGAGAGAGAAGCATTGTCAGAAACTTCTTTGTGATGATTGCATTCAACTCACAGAGTTGAAGATTCCTTTTGAAACAGCAGTTTCGAAACACTCTTTCTGTGGGATCCGCAAGGGGATATTTGGACCTCTTTGAAGGTTTCGTTGGAAACGGGATAATCTTCACCTAAAAGCTAAACGGAAGCATTCTCAGAAACTTCTTTGGGATGTTTGCATTCACCTCACAGAGTTGAACTTTCCCTTTGATAGCGCAGCTTTGACACACTTTTTCTACAATGTGCAAGTGGCTATTTAGCGGGCTTGGAGGACTGTGTTGGAAAAGGAAATATCTTCTCCTAAAAACGACATAGAAGCATTCTCAGAAACTGCTCTGTGATGATTGCATTCAACTCCCAGGGTTGAACATTCCTTTTGATAGAGCAGTTTGCAAACACTCTTTTTGTAGAATCTGCAAGTGGAGGTTTGGACCGCTTTGAGGCCTATGGTAGTAAAGGAAAGAACTTCATATAAAAACCAGACGGTAGCACTCTCAGAAAATTCTTTGTGACGATGGAGTTTAACTCAGGGAGCTGAACATTCGTTATGATGGAGCAGTTTCCAAACACACGTTTTGTAGAATCTGCGAGGGGATATTTGGACCTCTCTGAGGATTTCGTTGGAAACGGGATCAACTTCCCATAACTGAACGGAAGCAAACTCAGAACATTCTTTGTGATGTTTGTATTCAACTCACAGAGTTGAACCTTCCTTTGATAGTTCAGGTTTGCAACACCCTTGTAGTAGAATCTGCAAGTGTATATTTTGACCACTTTGTAGCCTTCGTTTGAAACATGCTATATCTTCACATCAAACCTAGACAGAAGCATTCTCAGAAAGTTTTCTGCGATGACTGCATTCAACTCACAGAGTTGAACAATCCTTCTGATGGAGCAGTTTTGAAACCCTCTTTCTTTGGAATCTGCAAGGGGATATGTGGACCTCTTTGAAGATTTCACTGGAAACGGGATCATCTTCACATAAAAACTAAACAGAAGCATTCTCGGAAACTATTTTGTGATGTTTGTATTCAACTCCCAGAGTTGAACTTTCCTTTTGAAAGAGCAGCTATGAAACACTCTTTTTCGAGAATCTGCAAGTGGTCGTTTGGAGGGCTTTGAGGCCTGTGGTGGAAAAGGAAATATCTTCACACAAAAACCAGATAGAAGCATTCTCAGAAACTACTTTGTGAGGATGGCATTCAACTCATGGAGTTGAACAATCCTATTGATAGAGCAGATTGGAATCACTCTTTTTGTAGAATCTGCAAATGGAGATTTGGACTGCTTTGAGGCCTACGGTCGTATAGGAAGGAACTTCATATAAAAGGCAAACGGAAGCATTCTCAGAATATTCTTTGTGATGATGGAGTTTCACTCACAGAGCTGAACATGCCTTTTGATGGAGCAGTTTCCAAATACACTTTTGGTAGAATCTGCAGGTGGATATTTGGAGCTCTCTGAGGATTTCGTTGGAAACGGGAATAATTTCCCATAACTAAACACAAACACTCTGAGAAAGTTCTTCATGATGAATGCATTTAACTTGCAGAGATGAACTTGCCTTTGAGAGTTCAGGTTCGAAACACTCTTTCTGTATAATCTGCAAGTGGATATTTGGACCACTGGGTGGCCTTCGTTCGAAACGGGTATATGTTCACGTAAAAACTAAAGAGAAGCATTCTCAGAAACTTCTGAGTGATGATTGCATTCAAGTCACACAGTTGAACCCTCCTTTTGATGGAGCAGTTTTGAAACTGTCTTTTTGTAGAATCTGTAAGTGGATACGTGGACCTCTTTGAAGATTTCTTTGGAAACGGGAATATTTCCACAGAAAAACTAAACTGAAGCATTCTCAGAAACGGCTTTGTGATGTTTGTGTTCGAGCCACAGAGTTTAACATTGCTTTTCGTAGAGCAGTTTTGAAATATTCTTTTGGCAGAATCTGCAAGTGGACATTTGGAGCGCTTTCAGGCCTGTGGTGGAAAAGGCCTGAAAGCCTTTTCCTTTATCTTCACAGAAAGACGAGAGAGAAGCATTGTCAGAAACTTCTTTGTGATGATTGCATTCAACTCACAGAGTTGAAGATTCCTTTTGAAACAGCAGTTTCGAAACACTCTTTCTGTGGGATCCACAAGGGGATATTTGGACCTCTTTGAAGGTTTCGTTGGAAACGGGATAATCTTCACCTAAAAGCTAAACGGAAGCATTCTCAGAAACTTCTTTTGGATGTTTGCATTCACCTCACAGAGTTGAATTTTCCCTTTGATAGCGCAGCTTCGACACACTTTTTCTACAATGTGCAAGTGGATATTTAGCGGGCTTGGAGGACTGTGTTGGAAAAGGAAATATCTTCTCCTAAAAACGACATAGAAGCATTCTCAGAAACTGCTCTGTGATGATTCCATTCAACTCCCAGAGTTGAACATTCCTTTTGATAGAGCAGTTTGCAAACACTCTTTTTGTAGAATCTGCAAGTGGAGATTTGGACCGCTTTGAGGCCTGTGGTAGTAAAGGAAACAACTTCATATAAAAACCAGACGGTAGCACTCTCAGAAAATTCTTTGTGACGATGGAGTTTAACTCAGAGAGCTGAACATCCGTTATGATGGAGCAGTTTCCAAACACACGTTTTGTAGAATCTGCAAGGGGATATTTGGACCTCTCTGAGGATTTCGTTGGAAACGGGATCAACTTCCCATAACTGAACGGAAGCAAACTCAGAACATTCTTTGTGATGTTTGTATTCAACTCACAGAGTTGAACCTTCCTTTGATAGTTGAGGTTTGCATCACCCTTGTAGTAGAATCTGCAAGTGTATATTTTGACCACTTTGTAGCCTTCGTTTGAAACGTCTATATCTTCACATCAAACCTAAACAGAAGCATTCTCAGAAAGTTTTCTGCGATGACTGCATTCAACTCACAGAGTTGAACAATCCTTCTGATGGAGCAGTTTTGAAACCCTCTTTCTTTGGAATCTGCAAGGGGATATGTGGACCTCTTTGAAGATTTCACTGGAAACGGGATCATCTTCACATAGAAACTAAACAGAAGCATTCTCGGAAACTACTTTGTGATGTTTGTATTCAACTCCCAGAGTTGAACTTTCCTTTTGAAAGAGCAGCTATGAAACACTCTTTTTCGAGAATCTGCAAGTGGACGTTTGGAAGGCTTTGAGGCCTGTGGTGGAAAAGGAAATATCTTCACATAAAAACTAGATAGAAGCATTCTCAGAAACGACTTTGTGAGGATGGCATTCAACTCATGGAGTTGAACAATCCTATTGATAGAGCAGATTGGAATCACTCTTTTTGTAGAATCTGCAAATGGAGATTTGGACTGCTTTGAGGCCTACGGTAGTATAGGAAGGAACTTCATATAAAAGGCAAACGGAAGCATTCTCAGAATATTCTTTGTGATGATGGAGTTTCACTCACAGAGCTGAACATGCCTTTTGATGGAGCAGTTTCCAAAAACACTTTTGGTAGAATCTGCAGGTGGATATTTGGAGCTCTCTGAGGATTTCGTTGGAAACGGGAATAATTTCCCATAACTAAACACAAACACTCTGAGAAAGTTCTTCATGATGAATGCATTTAACTCGCAGAGATGAACCTGCCTTTGAGAGTTCAGGTTCGAAACACTCTTTCTGTAGAATCTGCAAGTGGATATTTGGACCACTGGCTGGCCTTCGTTCGAAACGGGTATATGTTCACGTAAAAACTAAAGAGAATCATTCTCAGAAACTTCTGAGTGATGATTGCATTCAAGTCACACAGTTGAACCCTCCTTTTGATGGAGCAGTTTTGAAACTGTCTTTTTGTAGAATCTGTAAGTGGATACGTGGACCTCTTTGAAGATTTCTTTGGAAACGGGAATATTTCCAAAGAAAAACTAAACTGAAGCATTCTCAGAAACCGCTTTGTGATGTTTGTGTTCGAGCCACAGAGTTTAACATTGCTTTTCATAGAGCAGTTTTGAAATATTCTTTTCGCAGAATCTGCAAGTGGACATTTGGAGCGCTTTCAGGCCTGTGGTGGAAAAGGCCTGAAAGCCTTTTCCTTTATCTTCACAGAAAGACGAGAGAGAAGCATTGTCAGAAACTTCTTTGTGATGATTGCATTCAACTCACAGAGTTGAAGATTCCTTTTGAAACAGCAGTTTCGAAACACTCTTTCTGTGGGATCCGCAAGGGGATATTTGGACCTCTTTGAAGATTTCGTTGGAAACGGAATAATCTTCACTTAAAGCTAAACGGAAGCATTCTCAGAAACTTCTTTGGGATGTTTGCATTCACCTCACAGAGTTGAACTTTCCCTTTGATAGCGCAGCTTCGACACACTTTTTCTACAATGTGCAAGTGGATAGTTAGCGGGCTTGGAGGACTGTGTTGGAAAAGGAAATATCTTCTCCTAAAAACGACATAGAAGCATTCTCAGAAACTGCTCTGTGATGATTGCATTCAACTCCCAGAGTTGAACATTCCTTTTGATAGAGCACTTTGCAAACACTCTTTTTGTAGAATCTGCAAGTGGAGATTTGGACCACTTTGAGGCCTGTGGTAGTAAAGGAAAGAACTTCATATAAAAACCAGACGGTAGCACTCTCAGAAAATTCTTTGTGACGATGGAGTTTAACTCAGAGAGCTGAACATTCGTTATGATGGAGCAGTTTCCAAACACACGTTTTGTAGAATCTGCAAGGGGATATTTGGACCTCTCTGAGGATTTCGTTGGAAACGGTATCAATTTCCCATAACTAAACGGAAGCAAACTCAGAACATTCTTTGTGATGTTTGTATTCAACTCACAGAGTTGAACCTTCCTTTGATAGTTCAGGTTTGCAACACCCTTGTAGTAGTATCTGCAAGTGTATATTTTGACCACTTTGTAGCCTTCGTTTGAAACGTCTATATCTTCACATCAAACCTAGACAGAAGCATTCTCAGAAAGTTTTCTGCGATGACTGCATTCAACTCACAGAGTTGAACAATCCTTCTGATGGAGCAGTTTTTAAACCCTCTTTCTTTGGAATCTGCAAGGGGATATGTGGACCTCTTTGAAGATTTCACTGGAAACGGGATCATCTTCACATAAAAACTAAACAGAAGCATTCTCGGAAACTATTTTGTGATGTTTGTATTCAACTCCCAGAGTTGAACTTTCCTTTTGAAAGAGCAGCTATGAAACACTCTTTTTCGAGAATCTGCAAGTGGACGTTTGGAGGGCTTTGAGGCCTGTGGTGGAAAAGGAAATATCTTCACACAAAAACCAGATAGAAGCATTCTCAGAAACTACTTTGTGAGGATGGCATTCAACTCATGGAGTTGAACAATCCTATTGATAGAGCAGATTGGAATCACTCTTTTTGTAGAATCTGCAAATGGAGATTTGGACTGCCTTGAGGCCTACGGTAGTACAGGAAGGAACTTCATATAAAAGGCAAACGGAAGCATTCTCAGAATATTCTTTGTGATGATGGAGTTTCACTCACAGAGCTGAACATGCCTTTTGATGGAGCAGTTTCCAAATACACTTTTGGTAGAATCTGCAGGTGGATATTTGGAGCTCTCTGAGGATTTCGTTGGAAACGGGAATAATTTCCCATAACTAAACACAAACACTCTGAGAAAGTTCTTCATGATGAATGCATTTAACTCGCAGAGATGAACCTTCCTTTGAGAGTTCAGGTTCGAAACACTCTTTCTGTATAATCTGCAAGTGGATATTTGGACCACTGGGTGGCCTTCGTTCGAAACGGGTATATGTTCACGTAAAAACTAAAGAGAAGCATTCTCAGAAACTTCTGAGTGATGATTGCATTCAAGTCACACAGTTGAACCCTCCTTTTGATGGAGCAGTTTTGAAACTGTCTTTTTGTAGAATCTGTAAGTGGATACGTGGACCTCTTTGAAGATTTCTTTGGAAACGGGAATATTTCCACAGAAAAACTAAACTGAAGCATTCTCAGAAACCGCTTTGTGATGTTTGTGTTCGAGCCACAGAGTTTAACATTGCTTTTCATAGAGCAGTTTTGAAATATTCTTTTCGCAGAATCTGCAAGTGGACATTTGGAGCGCTTTCAGGCCTGTGGTGGAAAAGGCCTGAAAGCCTTTTCCTTTATCTTCACAGAAAGACGAGAGAGAAGCATTGTCAGAAACTTCTTTGTGATGATTGCATTCAACTCACAGAGTTGAAGATTCCTTTTGAAACAGCAGTTTCGAAACACTCTTTCTGTGGGATCCGCAAGGGGATATTTGGACCTCTTTGAAGGTTTCGTTGGAAACGGGATAATCTTCACCTAAAAGCTAAACGGAAGCATTCTCAGAAACTTCTTTGGGATGTTTGCATTCACCTCACAGAGTTGAACTTTCCCTTTGATAGCGCAGCTTTGACACACTTTTTCTACAATGTGCAAGTGGCTATTTAGCGGGCTTGGAGGACTGTGTTGGAAAAGGAAATATCTTCTCCTAAAAACGACATAGAAGCATTCTCAGAAACTGCTCTGTGATGATTGCATTCAACTCCCAGAGTTGAACATTCCTTTTGATAGAGCAGTTTGCAAACACTCTTTTTGTAGAATCTGCAAGTGGAGATTTGGACCGCTTTGAGGCCTGTGGTAGTGAAGGAAAGAACTTCATATAAAAACCAGACGGTAGCACTCTCAGAAAATTCTTTGTGACGATGGAGTTTAACTCAGGGAGCTGAACATTCGTTATGATGGAGCAGTTTCCAAACACACGTTTTGTAGAATCTGCAAGGGGATATTTGGACCTCTCTGAGGATTTCGTTGGAAACGGGATCAACTTCCCATAACTGAACGGAAGCAAACTCAGAACATTCTTTGTGATGTTTGTATTCAACTCACAGAGTTGAACCTTCCTTTGATAGTTCAGGTTTGCAACACCCTTGTAGTAGAATCTGCAAGTGTATATTTTGACCACTTTGTAGCCTTCGTTTGAAACGTCTATATCTTCACATCAAACCTAGACAGAAGCATTCTCAGAAAGTTTTCTGCGATGACTGCATTCAACTCACAGAGTTGAACAATCCTTTTGCTGGAGCAGTTTTGAAACCCTCTTTCTTTGGAATCTGCAAGGGCATATGTGGACCTCTTTGAAGATTTCACTGGAAACGGGATCATCTTCACATAAAAACTAAACAGAAGCATTCTCGGAAACTATTTTGTGATGTTTGTATTCAACTCCCAGAGTTGAACTTTCCTTTTGAAAGAGCAGCTATGAAACACTCTTTTTCGAGAATCTGCAAGTGGACGTTTGGAGGGCTTTGAGGCCTGTGGTGGAAAAGGAAATATCTTCACACAAAAACCAGATAGAAGCATTCTCAGAAACTACTTTGTGAGGATGGCATTCAACTCATGGAGTTGAACAATCCTATTGATAGAGCAGATTGGAATCACTCTTTTTGTAGAATCTGCAAATGGAGATTTGGACTGCTTTGAGGCCTACGGTAGTACAGGAAGGAACTTCATATAAAAGGCAAACGGAAGCATTCTCAGAATATTCTTTGTGATGATGGAGTTTCACTGACAGAGCTGAACATGCCTTTTGATGGAGCAGTTTCCAAATACACTTTTGGTAGAATCTGCAGGTGGATATTTGGAGCTCTCTGAGGATTTCGTTGGAAACGGGAATAATTTCCCATAACTAAACACAAAACACGCTGAGAAAGTTCTTCATGATGAATGCATTGAACTCGCAGAGATGAACCTGCCTCTGAGAGTTCAGGTTCGAAACACTCTTTCTGTAGAATCTGCAAGTGGATATTTGGACCACTGGCTGGCCTTCGTTCGAAACAGGTATATGTTCACGTAAAAACTAAAGAGAAGCGTTCTCAGAAACTTCTGAGTGATGATTGCATTCAAGTCACACAGTTGAACCCTCCTTTTGATTGAGCAGTTTTGAAACTGTCTTTTTGTACAATCTGTAAGTGGATGCGTGGACCTCTTTGAAGATTTCTTTGGAAACGGGAATATTTCCACAGAAAAACTAAACTGAAGCATTCTCAGAAACCGCTTTGTGATGTTTGTGTTCGAGCCACAGAGTTTAACATTGCTTTTCATAGAGCAGTTTTGAAATATTCTTTTGGCAGAATCTGCAAGTGGACATTTGGAGCGCTTTCAGGCCTGTGGTGGAAAAGGCCTGAAAGCCTTTTCCTTTATCTTCACAGAAAGACGAGAGAGAAGCATTGTCAGAAACTTCTTTGTGATGATTGCATTCAACTCACAGAGTTGAAGATTCCTTTTGAAACAGCAGTTTCGAAACACTCTTTCTGTGGGATCCGCAAGGGGATATTTGGACCTCTTTGAAGGTTTCGTTGGAAACGGGATAATCTTCACCTAAAAGCTAAACGGAAGCATTCTCAGAAACTTCTTTGGGATGTTTGCATTCACCTCACAGAGTTGAACTTTCCCTTTGATAGCGCAGCTTTGACACACTTTTTCTACAATGTGCAAGTGGCTATTTAGCGGGCTTGGAGGACTGTGTTGGAAAAGGAAATATCTTCTCCTAAAAACGACATAGAAGCATTCTCAGAAACTGCTCTGTGATGATTGCATTCAACTCCCAGAGTTGAACATTCCTTTTGATAGAGCAGTTTGCAAACACTCTTTTTGTAGAATCTGCAAGTGGAGATTTGGACCGCTTTGAGGCCTGTGGTAGTGAAGGAAAGAGCTTCATATAAAAACCAGACGGTAGCACTCTCAGAAAATTCTTCGTGACGATGGAGTTTAACTCAGGGAGCTGAACATTCGTTATGATGGAGCAGTCTCCAAACACACGTTTTGTAGAATCTGCAAGGGGATATTTGGACCTCTCTGAGGATTTCGTTGGAAACGGGATCAACTTCCCATAACTGAACGGAAGCAAACTCAGAACATTCCTTGTGATGTTTGTATTCAACTCACAGAGTTGAACCTTCCTTTGATAGTTCAGGTTTGCAACACCCTTGTAGTAGAATCTGCAAGTGTATATTTTGACCACTTTGTAGCCTTCGTTTGAAACGTCTATATCTTCACATCAAACCTAGACAGAAGCCTTCTCAGAAAGTTTTCTGCGATGACTGCATTCAACTCACAGAGTTGAACAATCCTTCTGATGGAGCAGTTTTGAAACCCTCTTTCTTTGGAATCTGCAAGGGGATATGTGGACCTCTTTGAAGATTTCACTGGAAACGGGATCATCTTCACATAAAAACTAAACAGAAGCATTCTCGGAAACTACTTTGTGATGTTTGTATTCAACTCCCAGAGTTGAACTTTCCTTTTGAAAGAGCAGCTATGAAACACACTTTTTCGAGAATCTGCAAGTGGACGTTTGGAGGGCTTTGAGGCCTGTGGTGGAAAAGGAAATATCTTCACATGAAAACTAGATAGAAGCATTCTCAGAAACTACTTTGTGAGGATGGCATTCAACTCATGGAGTTGAACAATCCTATTGATAGAGCAGATTGGAATCACTCTTTTTGTAGAATCTGCAAATGGAGATTTGGACTGCTTTGAGGCCTACGGTCGTATAGGAAGGAACTTCATATAAAAGGCAAACGGAAGCATTCTCAGAATATTCTTTGTGATGATGGAGTTTCACTGACAGAGCTGAACATGCCTTTTGATGGAGCGGTTTCCAAATACACTTTTGGTAGAATCTGCAGGTGGATATTTGGAGCTCTCTGAGGATTTCGTTGGAAACGGGAATAATTTCCCATAACTAAACACAAACACTCTGAGAAAGTTCTTCATGATGAATGCATTTAACTCGCAGAGATGAACCTGCCTTTGAGAGTTCAGGTTCGAAACACTGTTTCTGTAGAATCTGCAAGTGGATATTTGGACCACTGGCTGGCCTTCTTTCGAAACGGGTATATGTTCACGTAAAAACTAAAGAGAAGCATTCTCAGAAACTTCTGAGTGATGATTGCATTCAAGTCACACAGTTGAACCCTCCTTTTGATGGAGCAGTTTTGAAACTGTCTTTTTGTAGAATCTGTAAGTGGATACGTGGACCTCTTTGAAGATTTCTTTGGAAACGGGAATATTTCCACAGAAAAACTAAACTGAAGCATTCTCAGAAACCGCTTTGTGATGTTTGTGTTCGAGCCACAGAGTTTAACATTGCTTTTCATAGAGCAGTTTTGAAATATTCTTTTCGCAGAATCTGCAAGTGGACATTTGGAGCGCTTTCAGGCCTGTGGTGGAAAAGGCCTGAAAGCCTTTTCCTTTATCTTCACAGAAAGACGAGAGAGAAGCATTGTCAGAAACTTCTTTGTGATGATTGCATTCAACTCACAGAGTTGAAGATTCCTTTTGAAACAGCAGTTTCGAAACACTCTTTCTGTGGGATCCGCAAGGGGATATTTGGACCTCTTTGAAGGTTTCGTTGGAAACGGGATAATCTTCACCTAAAAGCTAAACGGAAGCATTCTCAGAAACTTCTTTGGGATGTTTGCATTCACCTCACAGAGTTGAACTTTCCCTTTGATAGCGCAGCTTTGACACACTTTTTCTACAATGTGCAAGTGGCTATTTAGCGGGCTTGGAGGACTGTGTTGGAAAAGGAAATATCTTCTCCTAAAAACGACATAGAAGCATTCTCAGAAACTGCTCTGTGATGATTGCATTCAACTCCCAGAGTTGAACATTCCTTTTGATAGAGCAGTTTGCAAACACTCTTTTTGTAGAATCTGCAAGTGGAGATTTGGACCGCTTTGAGGCCGGTGGTAGTAAAGGAAAGAACTTCATATAAAACTAGACGGTAGCACTCTCAGTAAAATTCTTTGTGACGATAGAGTTTAACTCAGAGAGCTGAACATTCGTTATGATGGAGCAGTTTCCAAACACACATTTTGTAGAATCTGCAAAGGGATATTTGGACCTCTCTGAGGATTTCGTTGGAAATGGGATCAACTTCCCATAACTGAACGGAAGCAAACTCAGAACATTCTTTGTGATGTTTGTATTCAACTCACAGAGTTGAACCTTCCTTTGATAGTTCAGGTTTGCAACACCCTTGTAGTAGAATCTGCAAGTGTATATTTTGACCACTTTGTAGCCTTCGTTTGAAACGTCTATATCTTCACATCAAACCTAGAAAGAAGCATTCTCAGAAAGTTTTCTGCGATGACTGCATTCAACTCACAGAGTTGAACAATCCTTCTGATGGAGCAGTTTTGAAACCCTCTTTCTTTGGAATCTGCAAGGGGATATGTGGACCTCTTTGAAGATTTCACTGGAAACGGGATCATCTTCACATAAAAACTAAACAGAAGCATTCTCGGAAACTACTTTGTGATGTTTGTATTCAACTCCCAGAGTTGAACTTTCCTTTTGAAAGAGCAGCTATGAAACACTCTTTTTCGAGAATCTGCAAGTGGACGTTTGGAGGGCTTTGAGGCCTGTGGTGGAAAAGGAAATATCTTCACATAAAAACTAGATAGAAGCATACTCAGAAACGACTTTGTGAGGATGGCATTCAACTCATGGAGTTGAACAATCCTATTGATAGAGCAGATTGGAATCACTCTTTTTGTAGAATCTGCAAATGGAGATTTGGACTGCTTTGAGGCCTACGGTAGTATAGGAAGGAACTTCATATAAAAGGCAAACGGAAGCATTCTCAGAATATTCTTTGTGATGATGGAGTTTCACTCACAGAGCTGAACATGCCTTTTGATGGAGCAGTTTCCAAATACACTTTTGGTAGAATCTGCAGGTGGATATTTGGACCTCTCTGAGGATTTCGTTGGAAACGGCAATAATTTCCCATAACTAAACACAAACACGCTGAGAAAGTTCTTCATGTTGAATGCATTGAACTCGCAGAGATGAACCTGCCTTTGAGAGTTCAGGTTCGAAACACTCTTTCTGTAGAATCTGCAAGTGGATATTTGGACCACTGGGTGGCCTTCGTTCGAAACGGGTATATGTTCACGTAAAAACTAAAGAGAAGCGTTCTCAGAAACTTCTGAGTGATGATTGCATTCAAGTCACACAGTTGAACCCTCCTTTTGATTGAGCAGTTTTGAAACTGTCTTTTTGTAGAATCTGTAAGTGGATGCGTGGACCTCTTTGAAGATTTCTTTGGAAACGGGAATATTTCCACAGAAAAACTAAACTGAAGCATTCTCAGAAACCGCTTTGTGATGTTTGTGTTCGAGCCACAGAGTTTAACATTGCTTTTCATAGAGCAGTTTTGAAATATTCTTTTCGCAGAATCTGCAAGTGGACATTTGGAGCGCTTTCAGGCCTGTGGTGGAAAAGGCCTGAAAGCCTTTTCCTTTATCTTCACAGAAAGACGAGAGAGAAGCATTGCCAGAAACTTCTTTGTGATGATTGCATTCAACTCACAGAGTTGAAGATTCCTTTTGAAACAGCAGTTTCGAAACACTCTTTCTGTGGGATCCGCAAGGGGATATTTGGACCTCTTTGAAGGTTTCGTTGGAAACGGGATAATCTTCACCTAAAAGCTAAACGGAAGCATTCTCAGAAACTTCTTTGGGATGTTTGCATTCACCTCACAGAGTTGAACTTTCCCTTTGATAGCGCAGCTTTGACACACTTTTTCTACAATGTGCAAGTGGCTATTTAGCGGGCTTGGAGGACTGTGTTGGAAAAGGAAATATCTTCTCCTAAAAACGACATAGAAGCATTCTCAGAAACTGCTCTGTGATGATTGCATTCAACTCCCAGAGTTGAACATTCCTTTTGATAGAGCAGTTTGCAAACACTCTTTTTGTAGAATCTGCAAGTGGAGATTTGGACCGCTTTGAGGCCTGTGGTAGTGAAGGAAAGAACTTCATATAAAAACCAGACGGTAGCACTCTCAGAAAATTCTTTGTGACGATGGAGTTTAACTCAGGGAGCTGAACATTCGTTATGATGGAGCAGTTTCCAAACACACGTTTTGTAGAATCTGCGAGGGGATATTTGGACCTCTCTGAGGATTTCGTTGGAAACGGGATCAACTTCCCATAACTGAACGGAAGCAAACTCAGAACATTCTTTGTGATGTTTGTATTCAACTCACAGAGTTGAACCTTCCTTTGATAGTTCAGGTTTGCAACACCCTTGTAGTAGAATCTGCAAGTGTATATTTTGACCACTTTGTAGCCTTCGTTTGAAACGTCTATATCTTCACATCAAACCTAGACAGAAGCATTCTCAGAAAGTTTTCTGCGATGACTGCATTCAACTCACAGAGTTGAACAATCCTTTTGATGGAGCAGTTTTGAAACCCTCTTTCTTTGGAATCTGCAAGGGGATATGTGGACCTCTTTGAAGATTTCACTGGAAACGGGATCATCTTCACATAATAACTAAACAGAAGCATTCTCGGAAACTACTTTGTGATGTTTGTATTCAACTCCCAGAGTTGAACTTTCCTTTTGAAAGAGCAGCTATGAAACACTCTTTTTCGAGAATCTGCAAGTGGACGTTTGGAGGGCTTTGAGGCCTGTGGTGGAAAAGGAAATATCTTCACACAAAAACCAGATAGAAGCATTCTCAGAAACTACTTTGTGAGGATGGCATTCAACTCATGGAGTTGAACAATCCTATTGATAGAGCAGATTGGAATCACTCTTTTTATAGAATCTGCAAATGGAGATTTGGACTGCTTTGAGGCCTACGGTAGTACAGGAAGGAACTTCATATAAAAGGCAAACGGAAGCATTCTCAGAATATTCTTTGTGATGATGGAGTTTCACTCACAGAGCTGAACATGCCTTTTGATGGAGCAGTTTCCAAATACACTTTTGGTAGAATCTGCAGGTGGATATTTGGAGCTCTCTGAGGATTTCTTTGGAAACGGGAATAATTTCCCATAACTAAACACAAATACTCTGAGAAAGTTCTTCATGATGAATGCATTTAACTCGCAGAGATGAACCTGCCTTTGAGAGTTCAGGTTCGAAACACTCTTTCTGTAGAATCTGCAAGTGGATATTTGGACCACTGGGTGGCCTTCGTTCGAAACGGGTATATGTTCACGTAAAAACTAAAGAGAAGCATTCTCAGAAACTTCTGAGTGATGATTGCATTCAAGTCACACAGTTGAACCCTCCTTTTGATGGAGCAGTTTTGAAACTGTCTTTTTGTAGAATCTGTAAGTGGATACGTGGACCTCTTTGAAGATTTCTTTGGAAACGGGAATATTTCCACAGAAAAACTAAACTGAAGCATTCTCAGAAACTGCTTTGTGATGTTTGTGTTCGAGCCACAGAGTTTAACATTGCTTTTCATAGAGCAGTTTTGAAATATTCTTTTCGCAGAATCTGCAAGTGGACATTTGGAGCGCTTTCAGGCCTGTGGTGGAAAAGGCCTGAAAGCCTTTTCCTTTATCTTCACAGAAAGACGAGAGAGAAGCATTGTCAGAAACTTCTTTGTGATGATTGCATTCAACTCACAGAGTTGAAGATTCCTTTTGAAACAGCAGTTTCGAAACACTCTTTCTGTGGGATCCGCAAGGGGATATTTGGACCTCTTTGAAGATTTCGTTGGAAACGGGATAATTTTCACCTAAAAGCTAAACGGAAGCATTCTCAGAAACTTCTTTGGGATGTTTGCATTCACCTCACAGAGTTGAACTTTCCCTTTGATAGCGCAGCTTCGACACACTTTTTCTACAATGTGCAAGTGGCTATTTAGCGGGCTTGGAGGACTGTGTTGGAAAAGGAAATATCTTCTCCTAAAAACGACATAGAAGCATTCTCAGAAACTGCTCTGTGATGATTGCATTCAACTCCCAGAGTTGAACATTCCTTTTTATAGAGCAGTTTGCAAACACTCTTTTTGTAGAATCTGCAAGTGGAGATTTGGACCGCTTTGAGACCAGTGGTAGTGAAGGAAAGAACTTCATATAAAAACCAGACGGTAGCACTCTCAGAAAATTCTTTGTGACGATGGAGTTTAACTCAGGGAGCTGAACATTCGTTATGATGGAGCAGTTTCCAAACACACGTTTTGTAGAATCTGCAAGGGGATATTTGGACCTCTCTGAGGATTTCGTTGGAAACGGGATCAACTTCCCATAACTGAACGGAAGCAAACTCAGAACATTCTTTGTGATGTTTGTATTCAACTCACAGAGTTGAACCTTCCTTTGATAGTTCAGGTTTGCAACACCCTTGTAGTAGAATCTGCAAGTGTATATTTTGACCACTTTGTAGCCTTCGTTTGAAACGTCTATATCTTCACATCAAACCTAGACAGAAGCATTCTCAGAAAGTTTTCTGCGATGACTGCATTCAACTCACAGAGTTGAACAATCCTTCTGATGGAGCAGTTTTGAAACCCTCTTTCTTTGGAATCTGCAAGGGGATATGTGGACCTCTTTGAAGATTTCACTGGAAACGGGATCATCTTCACATAAAAACTAAACAGAAGCATTCTCGGAAACTATTTTGTGATGTTTGTATTCAACTCCCAGAGTTGAACTTTCCTTTTGAAAGAGCAGCTATGAAACACTCTTTTTCGAGAATCTGCAAGTGGACGTTTGGAGGGCTTTGAGGCCTGTGGTGGAAAAGGAAATATCTTCACACAAAAACCAGATAGAAGCATTCTCAGAAACTGCTTTGTGAGGATGGCATTCAACTCATGGAGTTGAACAATCCTTTTGATAGAGCAGATTGGAATCACTCTTTTTGTAGAATCTGCAAATGGAGATTTGGACTGCTTTGAGGCCTACGGTAGTACAGGAAGGAACTTCATATAAAAGGCAAACGGAAGCATTCTCAGAATATTCTTTGTGATGATGGAGTTTCACTCACAGAGCTGAACATGCCTTTTGATGGAGCAGTTTCCAAATACACTTTTGGTAGAATCTGCAGGTGGATATTTGGAGCTCTCTGAGGATTTCGTTGGAAACGGGAATAATTTCCCATAACTAAACACAAACACTCTGAGAAAGTTCTTCATGATGAATGCATTGAACTCTCAGAGATGAACCTGCCTTTGAGAGTTCAGGTTCAAAACACTCTTTCTGTAGAATCTGCAAGTGGATATTTGGACCACTGGCTGGCCTTCGTTTGAAACGGGTATATGTTCCCGTAAAAACTAAAGAGAAGCATTCTCAGAAACTTCTGAGTGATGATTGCATTCAAGTCACACAGTTGAACCCTCCTTTTGATTGAGCAGTTTTGAAACTGTCTTTTTGTAGAATCTGTAAGTGGATGCGTGGACCTCTTTGAAGATATCTTTGGAAACGGGAATATTTCCACAGAAAAACTAAACTGAAGCATTCTCAGAAACTGCTTTGTGATGTTTGTGTTCGAGCCACAGAGTTTAACATTGCTTTTCATAGAGCAGTTTTGAAATATTCTTTTGGCAGAATCTGCAAGTGGACATTTGGAGCGCTTTCAGGCCTGTGGTGGAAAAGGCCTGAAAGCCTTTTCCTTTATCTTCACAGGAAGACGAGAGAGAAGCATTGTCAGAAACTTCTTTGTGATGATTGCATTCAACTCACAGAGTTGAAGATTCCTTTTGAAACAGCAGTTTCGAAACACTCTTTCTGTGGGATCCGCAAGGGGATATTTGGACCTCTTTGAAGATTTCGTTGGAAACGGGATAATCTTCACCTAAAAGCTAAACGGAAGCATTCTCAGAAACTTCTTTGGGATGTTTGCATTCACCTCACAGAGTTGAACTTTCCCTTTGATAGCGCAGCTTTGACACACTTTTTCTACAATGTGCAAGTGGCTATTTAGCGGGCTTGGAGGACTGTGTTGGAAAAGGAAATATCTTCTCCTAAAAACGACATAGAAGCATTCTCAGAAACTGCTCTGTGATGATTGCATTCAACTCCCAGAGTTGAACATTCCTTTTGATAGAGCAGTTTGCAAACACTCTTTTTGTAGAATCTGCAAGTGGAGATTTGGACCGCTTTGAGGCCTGTGGTAGTAAAGGAAAGAACTTCATATAAAAACTAGACGGTAGCACTCTCAGAAAATTCTTTGTGACGATGGAGTTTAACTCAGAGAGCTGAACATTCGTTATGATGGAGCAGTTTCCAAACACACGTTTTGTAGAATCTGCAAGGGGATATTTGGACCTCTCTGAGGATTTCGTTGGAAACGGGATCAACTTCCCATAACTGAACAGAAGCAAACTCAGAACATTCTTTGTGATGTTTGTATTCAACTCACAGAGTTGAACCTTCCTTTGATAGTTCAGGTTTGCATCACCCTTGTAGTAGAATCTGCAAGTGTATATTTTGACCACTTTGTAGCCTTCGTTTGAAACGTCTATATCTTCACATCAAACCGAGACAGAAGCATTCTCAGAAAGTTTTCTGCGATGACTGCATTCAACTCACAGAGTTGAACAATCCTTTTGATGGAGCAGTTTTGAAACCCTCTTTCTTTGGAATCTGCAAGGGGATATGTGGACCTCTTTGAAGATTTCACTGGAAACGGGATCATCTTCACATAAGAACTAAACAGAAGCATTCTCGGAAACTACTTTGTGATGTTTGTATTCAGCTCCCAGAGTTGAACTTTCCTTTTGAAAGAGCAGCTATGAAACACTCTTTTTCGAGAATCTGCAAGTGGACGATTGGAGGGCTTTGAGGCCTGTGGTGGAAAAGGAAATATCTTCACATAAAAACTAGATAGAAGCATTCTCAGAAACTGCTTTGTGAGGATGGCATTCAACTCATGGAGTTGAACAATCCTATTGATAGAGCAGATTGGAATCACTCTTTTTGTAGAATCTGCAAATGGAGATTTGGACTGCTTTGAGGCCTACGGTAGTACAGGAAGGAACTTCATATAAAAGGCAAACGGAAGCATTCTCAGAATATTCTTTGTGATGATGGAGTTTCACTCACAGAGCTGAACATGCCTTTTGATGGAGCAGTTTCCAAATACACTTTTGGTAGAATCTGCAGGTGGATATTTGGAGCTCTCTGAGGATTTCGTTGGAAACGGGAATAATTTCCCATAACTAAACACAAACACTCTGAGAAAGTTCTTCATGATGAATGCATTTAACTCGCAGAGATGAACCTGCCTTTGAGAGTTCAGGTTCGAAACACTCTTTCTGTATAATCTGCAAGTGGATATTTGGACCACTGGGTGGCCTTCGTTCGAAACGCGTATATGTTCACGTAAAAACTAAAGAGAAGCATTCTCAGAAACTTCTGAGTGATGATTGCATTCAAGTCACACAGTTGAACCCTCCTTTTGATGGAGCAGTTTTGAAACTGTCTTTTTTAGAATCTGTAAGTGGATACGTGGACCTCTTTGAAGATTTCTTTGGAAACGGGAATACTTCCACAGAAAAACTAAACTGAAGCATTCTCAGAAACCGCTTTGTGATGTTTGTGTTCGAGCCACAGAGTTTAACATTGCTTTTCATAGAGCAGTTTTGAAATATTCTTTTGGCAGAATCTGCAAGTGGACATTTGGAGCGCTTTCAGGCCTGTGGTGGAAAAGGCCTGAAAGCCTTTTCCTTTATCTTCACAGAAAGACGAGAGAGAAGCATTGTCAGAAACTTCTTTGTGATGATTGCATTCAACTCACAGAGTTGAAGATTCCTTTTGAAACAGCAGTTTCGAAACACTCTTTCTGTGGGATCCGCAAGGGGATATTTGGACCTCTTTGAAGGTTTCGTTGGAAACGGGATAATCTTCACCTAAAAGCTAAATGGAAGCATTCTCAGAAACTTCTTTGGGATGTTTGCATTCACCTCACAGAGTTGAACTTTCCCTTTGATAGCGCAGCTTTGACACACTTTTTCTACAATGTGCAAGTGGCTATTTAGCAGGCTTGGAGGACTGTGTTGGAAAAGGAAATATCTTCTAAAAACGACATAGAAGCATTCTCAGAAACTGCTCTGTGATGATTGCATTCAACTCCCAGAGTTGAACATTCCTTTTGATAGAGCAGTTTGCAAACACTCTTTTTGTAGAATCTGCAAGTGGAGATTTGGACCGCTTTGAGGCCTGTGGTAGTGAAGGAAAGAACTTCATATAAAAACCAGACGGTAGCACTCTCAGAAAATTCTTTGTGACGATGGAGTTTAACTCAGGGAGCTGAACATTCGTTATGATGGAGCAGTTTCCAAACACACGTTTTGTAGAATCTGCAAGGGGATATTTGGACCTCTCTGAGGATTTCGTTGGAAACGGGATCAACTTCCCATAACTGAACGGAAGCAAACTCAGAACATTCTTTGTGATGTTTGTATTCAACTCACAGAGTTGAACCTTCCTTTGATAGTTCAGGTTTGCAACACCCTTGTAGTAGAATCTGCAAGTGTATATTTTGACCACTTTGTAGCCTTCGTTTGAAACGTCTATATCTTCACATCAAACCTAGACAGAAGCATTCTCAGAAAGTTTTCTGCGATGACTGCATTCAACTCACAGAGTTGAACAATCCTTCTGATGGAGCAGTTTTGAAACCCTCTTTCTTTGGAATCTGCAAGGGGATATGTGGACCTCTTTGAAGATTTCACTGGAAACGGGATCATCTTCACATAAAAACTAAACAGAAGCATTCTCGGAAACTATTTTGTGATGTTTGCATTCAACTCCCAGAGTTGAACTTTCCTTTTGAAAGAGCAGCTATGAAACACTCTTTTTCGAGAATCTGCAAGTGGACGTTTGGAGGGCTTTGAGGCCTGTGGTGGAAAAGGAAATATCTTCACACAAAAACCAGATAGAAGCATTCTCAGAAACTACTTTGTGAGGATGGCATTCAACTCATGGAGTTGAACAATCCTATTGATAGAGCAGATTGGAATCACTCTTTTTGTAGAATCTGCAAATGGAGATTTGGACTGCTTTGAGGCCTACGGTAGTACAGGAAGGAACTTCATATAAAAGGCAAACGGAAGCATTCTCAGAATATTCTTTGTGATGATGGAGTTTCACTGACAGAGCTGAACATGCCTTTTGATGGAGCAGTTTCCAAATACACTTTTGGTAGAATCTGCAGGTGGATATTTGGAGCTCTCTGAGGATTTCGTTGGAAAAGGGAATAATTTCCCATAACTAAACACAAACACTCTGAGAAAGTTCTTCATGATGAATGCATTTAACTCGCAGAGATGAACCTGCCTTTGAGAGTTCAGGTTCGAAACACTCTTTCTGTAGAATCTGCAAGTGGATATTTGGACCACTGGCTGGCCTTCGTTCGAAACGGGTATATGTTCACGTAAAAACTAAAGAGAAGCATTCTCAGAAACTTCTGAGTGATGATTACATTCAAGTCACACAGTTGAACCCTCCTTTTGATTGAGCAGTTTTGAAACTGTCTTTTTGTAAAATCTGTAAGTGGATACGTGGACCTCTTTGAATATTTCTTTGGAAACGGGAATATTTCCACAGAAAAACTAAACTGAAGCATTCTCAGAAACTGCTATGTGATGTTTGTGTTCGAGCCACAGAGTTTAACATTGCTTTTCATAGAGCAGTTTTGAAATATTCTTTTGGCAGAATCTGCAAGTGGACATTTGGAGCGCTTTCAGGCCTGTGGTTGAAAAGGCCTGAAAGCCTTTTCCTTTATCTTCACAGAAAGACGAGAGAGAAGCATTGTCAGAAACTTCTTTGTGATGATTGCATTCAACTCACAGAGTTGAAGATTCCTTTTGAAACAGCAGTTTCGAAACACTCTTTCTGTGGGATCCGCAAGGGGATATTTGGACCTCTTTGAAGGTTTCGTTGGAAACGGGATAATCTTCACCTAAAAGCTAAACGGAAGCATTCTCAGAAACTTCTTTGGGATGTTTGCATTCACCTCACAGAGTTGAACTTTCCCTTTGATAGCGCAGCTTCGACACACTTTTTCTACAATGTGCAAGTGGCTATTTAGCGGGCTTGGAGGACTGTGTTGGAAAAGGAAATATCTTCTCCTAAAAACGACATAGAAGCATTCTCAGAAACTGCTCTGTGATGATTGCATTCAACTCCCAGAGTTGAACATTCCTTTTGATAGAGCAGTTTGCAAACACTCTTTTTGTAGAATCTGCAAGTGGAGATTTGGACCGCTTTGAGGTCTGTGGTAGTGAAGGAAAGAACTTCATATAAAAACCAGACGGTAGCACTCTCAGAAAATTCTTTGTGACGATGGAGTTTAACTCAGGGAGCTGAACATTCGTTATGATGGAGCAGTTTCCAAACACACGTTTTGTAGAATCTGCAAGGGGATATTTGGACCTCTCTGAGGATTTCGTTGGAAACGGGATCAACTTCCCATAACTGAACGGAAGCAAACTCAGAACATTCTTTGTGATGTTTGTATTCAACTCACAGAGTTGAACCTTCCTTTGATAGTTCAGGTTTGCAACACCCTTGTAGTAGAATCTGCAAGTGTATATTTTGACCACTTTGTAGCCTTCGTTTGAAACGTCTATATCTTCACATCAAACCTAGACAGAAGCATTCTCAGAAAGTTTTCTGCGATGACTGCATTCAACTCACAGAGTTGAACAATCCTTCTGATGGAGCAGTTTTGAAACCCTCTTTCTTTGGAATCTGCAAGGGGATATGTGGACCTCTTTGAAGATTTCACTGGAAACGGGATCATCTTCACATAAAAACTAAACAGAAGCATTCTCGGAAACTAGTTTGAGATGTTTGTATTCAACTCCCAGAGTTGAACTTTCCTTTTGAAAGAGCAGCTATGAAACACTCTTTTTCGAGAATCTGCAAGTGGACGTTTGGAGGGCTTTGAGGCCTGTGGTGGAAAAGGAAATATCTTCACATAGAAACTAGATAGAAGCATTCTCAGAAACTACTTTGTGAGGATGGCATTCAACTCATGGAGTTGAACAATCCTATTGATAGAGCAGATTGGAATCACTCTTTTTGTAGAATCTGCAAATGGAGATTTGGACTGCTTTGAGGCCTACGGTAGTACAGGAAGGAAGTTCATATAAAAGGCAAACGGAAGCATTCTCAGAATATTCTTTGTGATGATGGAGTTTCACTCACAGAGCTGAACATGCCTTTTGATGGAGCAGTTTCCAAATACACTTTTGGTAGAATCTGCAGGTGGATATTTGGACCTCTCTGAGGATTTCGTTGGAAACGGCAATAATTTCCCATACCTAAACACAAACACTCTGAGAAAGTTCTTCATGATGAATGCATTTAACTCGCAGAGATGAACCTGCCTTTGAGAGTTCAGGTTCGAAACACTCTTTCTGTAGAATCTGCAAGTGGATATTTGGACCACTGGCTGGCCTTCGTTCGAAACGGGTATATGTTCACGTAAAAACTAAAGAGAAGCATTCTCAGAAACTTCTGAGTGATGATTGCATTCAAGTCACACAGTTGAACCCTCCTTTTGATGGAGCAGTTTTGAAACTGTCTTTTTGTAGAATCTGTAAGTGGATACGTGGACCTCTTTGAAGATTTCTTTGGAAACGGGAATATTTCCACAGAAAAACTAAACTGAAACATTCTCAGAAACCGCTTTGTGATGTTTGTGTTCGAGCCACAGAGTTTAACATTGCTTTTCATAGAGCAGTTTTGAAATATTCTTTTCGCAGAATCTGCAAGTGGACATTTGGAGCGCTTTCAGGCCTGTGGTGGAAAAGGCCTGAAAGCCTTTTCCTTTATCTTCACAGAAAGACGAGAGAGAAGAATTGTCAGAAACTTCTTTGTGATGATTGCATTCAACTCACAGAGTTGAAGATTCCTTTTGAAACAGCAGTTTCGAAACACTCTTTCTGTGGGATCCGCAAGGGGATATTTGGACCTCTTTGAAGATTTCGTTGGAAACGGGATAATCTTCACCTAAAAGCTAAACGGAAGCATTCTCAGAAACTTCTTTGGGATGTTTGCATTCACCTCACAGAGTTGAACTTTCCCTTTGATAGCGCAGCTTTGACACACTTTTTCTACAATGTGCAAGTGGCTATTTAGCGGGCTTGGAGGACTGTGTTGGAAAAGGAAATATCTTCTCCTAAAAACGACATAGAAGCATTCTCAGAAACTGCTCTGTGATGATTGCATTCAACTCCCAGAGTTGAACATTCCTTTTGATAGAGCAGTTTGCAAACACTCTTTTTGTAGAATCTGCAAGTGGAGATTTGGACCGCTTTGAGGCCTGTGGTAGTGAAGGAAAGAACTTCATATAAAAACCAGACGGTAGCACTCTCAGAAAATTCTTTGTGACGATGGAGTTTAACTCAGGGAGCTGAACATTCGTTATGATGGAGCAGTTTCCAAACACACGTTTTGTAGAATCTGCAAGGGGATATTTGGACCTCTCTGAGGATTTCGTTGGAAACGGGATCAACTTCCCATAACTGAACGGAAGCAAACTCAGAACATTCTTTGTGATGTTTGTATTCAACTCACAGAGTTGAACCTTCCTTTGATAGTTCAGGTTTGCAACACCCTTGTAGTAGAATCTGCAAGTGTATATTTTGACCACTTTGTAGCCTTCGTTTGAAACGTCTATATCTTCACATCAAACCTAGACAGAAGCATTCTCAGAAAGTTTTCTGCGATGACTGCATTCAACTCACAGAGTTGAACAATCCTTCTGATGGAGCAGTTTTGAAACCCTCTTTCTTTGGAATCTGCAAGGGGATATGTGGACCTCTTTGAAGATTTCACTGGAAACGGGATCATCTTCACATAAAAACTAAACAGAAGCATTCTTGGAAACTACTTTGTGATGTTTGTATTCAACTCCCAGAGTTGAACTTTCCTTTTGAAAGAGCAGCTATGAAACACTCTTTTTCGAGAATCTGCAAGTGGACGTTTGGAGGGCTTTGAGGCCTGTGGTGGAAAAGGAAATATCTTCACATAAAACTAGATAGAAGCATTCTCAGAAACTACTTTGTGAGGATGGCATTCAACTCATGGAGTTGAACAATCCTATTGATAGAGCAGATTGGAATCACTCTTTTTGTAGAATCTGCAAATGGAGATTTGGACTGCTTTGAGGCCTACGGTCGTATAGGAAGGAACTTCATATAAAAGGCAAACGGAAGCATTCTCAGAATATTCTTTGTGATGATGGAGTTTCACTCACAGAGCTGAACATGCCTTTTGATGGAGCAGTTTCCAAATACACTTTTGGTAGAATCAGCAGGTGGATATTTGGAGCTCTCTGAGGATTTCGTTGGAAACGGGAATAATTTCCCATAACTAAACACAAACACTCTGAGAAAGTTCTTCATGATGAATGCATTTAACTCGCAGAGATGAACCTGCCTTTGAGAGTTCAGGTTCGAAACACTCTTTCTGTATAATCTGCAAGTGGATATTTGGACCACTGGGTGGCCTTCGTTCGAAACGGGTATATGTTCACGTAAAAACTAAAGAGAAGCATTCTCAGAAACTTCTGAGTGATGATTGCATTCAAGTCACACAGTTGAACCCTCCTTTTGATGGAGCAGTTTTGAAACTGTCTTTTTGTAGAATCTGTAAGTGGATACGTGGACCTCTTTGAAGATTTCTTTGGAAACGGGAATATTTCCACAGAAAAACTAAACTGAAACATTCTCAGAAACCGCTTTGTGATGTTTGTGTTCCAGCCACAGAGTTTAACATTGCTTTTCATAGAGCAGTTTTGAAATATTCTTTTCGCAGAATCTGCAAGTGGACATTTGGAGCGCTTTCAGGCCTGTGGTGGAAAAGGCCTGAAAGCCTTTTCCTTTATCTTCACAGAAAGACGAGAGAGAAGCATTGTCAGAAACTTCTTTGTGATGATTGCATTCAACTCACAGAGTTGAAGATTCCTTTTGAAACAGCAGTTTCGAAACACTCTTTCTGTGGGATCCACAAGGGGATATTTGGACCTCTTTGAAGGTTTCGTTGGAAACGGGATAATCTTCACCTAAAAGCTAAACGGAAGCATTCTCAGAAACTTCTTTGGGATGTTTGCATTCACCTCACAGAGTTGAACTTTCCCTTTGATAGCGCAGCTTTGACACACTTTTTCTACAATGTGCAAGTGGCTATTTAGCGGGCTTGGAGGACTGTGTTGGAAAAGGAAATATCTTCTCCTAAAAACGACATAGAAGCATTCTCAGAAACTGCTCTGTGATGATTGCATTCAACTCCCAGAGTTGAACATTCCTTTTGATAGAGCAGTTTGCAAACACTCTTTTTGTAGAATCTGCAAGTGGAGATTTGGACCGCTTTGAGGACTGGGGTAGTAAAGGAAAGAGCTTCATATAAAAAACAGACGGTAGCACTCTCAGAAAATTCTTTGTGACGATGGAGTTTAACTCAGGGAGCTGAACATTCGTTATGATGGAGCAGTTTCCGAACACACGTTTTGTAGAATCTGCAAGGGGATATTTGGACCTCTCTGAGGATTTCGTTGGAAACGGGATCAACTTCCCATAACTGAACGGAAGCAAACTCAGAACATTCTTTGTGATGTTTGTATTCAACTCCCAGAGTTGAAATTTCCTTTTGAAAGAGCAGCTATGAAACACTCTTTTTCGAGAATCTGCAAGTGGACGTTTGGAGGGCTTTGAGGCCTGTGGTGGAAAAGGAAATATCTTCACATAAAAACTAGATAGAAGCATTCTCAGAAACTACTTTGTGAGGATGGCATTCAACTCATGGAGTTGAACAATCCTATTGATAGAGCAGATTGGAATCACTCTTTTTGTAGAATCTGCAAATGGAGATTTGGACTGCTTTGAGGCCTACGGTCGTATAGGAAGGAACTTCATATAAAAGGCAAACGGAAGCATTCTCAGAATATTCTTTGTGATGATGGAGTTTCACTCACAGAGCTGAACATGCCTTTTGATGGAGCAGTTTCCAAATACACTTTTGGTAGAATCTGCAGGTGGATATTTGGAGCTCTCTGAGGATTTCGTTGGAAACGGGAATAATTTCCCATAACTAAACACAAACACTCTGAGAAAGTTCTTCATGATGAATGCATTTAACTCGCAGAGATGAACCTGCCTTTGAGAGTTCAGGTTCGAAACACTCTTTCTGTAGAATCTGCAAGTGGATATTTGGACCACTGGGTGGCTTCGTTCGAAACGGGTATATGTTCACGTAAAAACTAAAGAGAAGCATTCTCAGAAACTTCTGAGTGATGATTGCATTCAAGTCACACAGTTGAACCCTCCTTTTGATGGAGCAGTTTTGAAACTGTCTTTTTGTAGAATCTGTAAGTGGATACGTGGACCTCTTTGAAGATTTCTTTGGAAACGGGAATATTTCCACAGAAAAACTAAACTGAAGCATTCTCAGAAACCGCTTTGTGATGTTTGTGTTCGAGCCACAGAGTTTAACATTGCTTTTCATAGAGCAGTTTTGAAATATTCTTTTCGCAGAATCTGCAAGTGGACATTTGGAGCGCTTTCAGGCCTGTGGTGGAAAAGGCCTGAAAGCCTTTTCCTTTATCTTCACAGAAAGACGAGAGAGAAGCATTGTCAGAAACTTCTTTGTGATGATTGCATTCAACTCACAGAGTTGAAGATTCCTTTTGAAACAGCAGTTTCGAAACACTCTTTCTGTGGGATCCGCAAGGGGATATTTGGACCTCTTTGAAGGTTTGGTTGGAAACGGGATAATCTTCACCTAAAAGCTAAACGGAAGCATTCTCAGAAACTTCTTTGGGATGTTTGCATTCACCTCACAGAGTTGAACTTTCCCTTTGATAGCGCAGCTTTGACACACTTTTTCTACAATGTGCAAGTGGCTATTTAGCGGGCTTGGAGGACTGTGTTGGAAAAGGAAATATCTTCTCCTAAAAACGACATAGAAGCATTCTCAGAAACTGCTCTGTGATGATTGCATTCAACTCCCAGAGTTGAACATTCCTTTTGATAGAGCAGTTTGCAAACACTCTTTTTGTAGAATCTGCAAGTGGAGATTTGGACCGCTTTGAGGCCTGTGGTAGTGAAGGAAAGAACTTCATATAAAAACCAGACGGTAGCACTCTCAGAAAATTCTTTGTGACGATGGAGTTTAACTCAGGGAGCTGAACATTCGTTATGATGGAGCAGTTTCCAAACACACGTTTTGTAGAATCTGCAAGGGGATATTTGGACCTCTCTGAGGATTTCGTTGGAAACGGGATCAACTTCCCATAACTGAACGGAAGCAAACTCAGAACATTCTTTGTGATGTTTGTATTCAACTCACAGAGTTGAACCTTCCTTTGATAGTTCAGGTTTGCATCACCCTTCTAGTAGAATCTGCAAGTGTATATTTTGACCACTTTTTAGCCTTCGTTTGAAACGTCTATATCTTCACATCAAACCTAGACAGAAGCATTCTCAGAAAGTTTTCTGCGATGACTGCATTCAACTCACAGATTTGAACAATCCTTTTGATGGAGCAGTTTTGAAACCCTCTTTCTTTGGAATCTGCAAGGGGATATGTGGACCTCTTTGAAGATTTCACTGGAAACGGGATCATCTTCACATAAGAACTAAACAGAAGCATTCTCGGAAACTACTTTGTGATGTTTGTATTCAACTGCCAGAGTTGAACTTTCCTTTTGAAAGAGCAGCTATGAAACACTCTTTTTCGAGAATCTGCAAGTGGACGTTTGGAGGGCTTTGAGGCCTGTGGTGGAAAAGGAAATATCTTCACACAAAAACCAGATAGAAGCATTCTCAGAAACGACTTTGTGAGGATGGCATTCAACTCATGGAGTTGAACAATCCTATTGATAGAGCAGATTGGAATCACTCTTTTTGTAGAATCTGCAAATGGAGATTTGGACTGCTTTGAGGCCTACGGTAGTATAGGAAGGAACTTCATATAAAAGGCAAACGGAAGCATTCTCAGAATATTCTTTGTGATGATGGAGTTTCACTCACAGAGCTGAACATGCCTTTTGATGGAGCAGTTTCCAAATACACTTTTGGTAGAATCTGCAGGTGGATATTTGGACCTCTCTGAGGATTTCGTTGGAAACGGGAATAATTTCCCATAACTAAACACAAACACTCTGAGAAAGTTCTTCATGATGAATGCATTTAACTCGCAGAGATGAACCTGCCTTTGAGAGTTCAGGTTCGAAACACTCTTTCTGTAGAATCTGCAAGTGGATATTTGGACCACTGGGTGGCCTTCGTTCGAAACGGGTATATGTTCACGTAAAAACTAAAGAGAAGCATTCTCAGAAACTTCTGAGTGATGATTGCATTCAAGTCACACGGTTGAACCCTCCTTTTGATGGAGCAGTTTTGAAACTGTCTTTTTGTAGAATCTGTAAGTGGATACGTGGACCTCTTTGAAGATTTCTTTGGAAACGGGAATATTTCCACAGAAAAACTAAACTGAAGCATTCTCAGAAACTGCTTTGTGATGTTTGTGTTCGAGCCACAGAGTTTAACATTGCTTTTCATAGAGCAGTTTTGAAATATTCTTTTCGCAGAATCTGCAAGTGGACATTTGGAGCGCTTTCAGGCCTGTGGTGGAAAAGGCCTGAAAGCCTTTTCCTTTATCTTCACAGAAAGACGAGAGAGAAGCATTGTCAGAAACTTCTTTGTGATGATTGCATTCAACTCACAGAGTTGAAGATTCCTTTTGAAACAGCAGTTTCGAAACACTCTTTCTGTGGGATCCGCAAGGGGATATTTGGACCTCTTTGAAGGTTTCGTTGGAAACGGGATAATCTTCACCTAAAAGCTAAACGGAAGCATTCTCAGAAACTTCTTTGGGATGTTTGCATTCACCTCACAGAGTTGAACTTTCCCTTTGATAGCGCAGCTTTGACACACTTTTTCTACAATGTGCAAGTGGCTATTTAGCGGGCTTGGAGGACTGTGTTGGAAAAGGAAATATCTTCTCCTAAAAACGACATAGAAGCATTCTCAGAAACTGCTCTGTGATGATTGCATTCAACTCCCAGAGTTGAACATTCCTTTTGATAGAGCAGTTTGCAAACACTCTTTTTGTAGAATCTGCAAGTGGAGATTTGGACCGCTTTGAGGCCTGTGGTAGTGAAGGAAAGAACTTCATATAAAAACCAGACGGTAGCACTCTCAGAAAATTCTTTGTGACGATGGAGTTTAACTCAGGGAGCTGAACATTCGTTATGATGGAGCAGTTTCCAAACACACGTTTTGTAGAATCTGCGAGGGGATATTTGGACCTCTCTGAGGATTTCGTTGGAAACGGGATCAACTTCCCATAACTGAACGGAAGCAAACTCAGAACATTCTTTGTGATGTTTGTATTCAATTCACAGAGTTGAACCTTCCTTTGATAGTTCAGGTTTGCAACACCCTTGTAGTAGAATCTGCAAGTGTATATTTTGACCACTTTGTAGCCTTCGTTTGAAACGTCTATATCTTCACATCAAACCTAGACAGAAGCATTCTCAGAAAGTTTTCTGCGATGACTGCATTCAACTCACAGAGTTGAACAATCCTCTGATGGAGCAGTTTTGAAACCCTCTTTCTTTGGAATCTGCAAGGGGATATGTGGACCTCTTTGAAGATTTCACTGGAAACGGGATCATCTTCACATAAAAACTAAACAGAAGCATTCTCGGAAACTATTTTGTGATGTTTGTATTCAACTCCCAGAGTTGAACTTTCCTTTTGAAAGAGCAGCTATGAAACACTCTTTTTCGAGAATCTGCAAGTGGACGTTTGGAGGGCTTTGAGGCCTGTGGTGGAAAAGGAAATATCTTCACACAAAAACCAGATAGAAGCATTCTCAGAAACTACTTTGTGAGGATGGCATTCAACTCATGGAGTTGAACAATCCTATTGATAGAGCAGATTGGAATCACTCTTTTCATAGAATCTGCAAATGGAGATTTGGACTGCTTTGAGGCCTACGGTAGTACAGGAAGGAACTTCATATAAAAGGCAAACGGAAGCATTCTCAGAATATTCTTTGTGATGATGGAGTTTCACTCACAGAGCTGAACATGCCTTTTGATGGAGCAGTTTCCAAATACACTTTTGGTAGAATCAGCAGGTGGATATTTGGAGCTCTCTGAGGATTTCGTTGGAAACGGGAATAATTTCCCATAACTAAACACAAACACTCTGAGAAAGTTCTTCATGATGAATGCATTTAACTCGCAGAGATGAACCTGCCTTTGAGAGTTCAGGTTCGAAACACTCTTTCTGTAGAATCTGCAAGTGGATATTTGGACCACTGGGTGGCCTTCGTTCGAAACGGGTATATGTTCACGTAAAAACTAAAGAGAAGCATTCTCAGAAACTTCTGAGTGATGATTGCATTCAAGTCACACAGTTGAACCCTCCTTTTGATGGAGCAGTTTTGAAACTGTCTTTTTGTAGAATCTGTAAGTGGATACGTGGACCTCTTTGAAGATTTCTTTGGAAACGGGAATATTTCCACAGAAAAACTAAACTGAAGCATTCTCAGAAACCGCTTTGTGATGTTTGTGTTCGAGCCACAGAGTTTAACATTGCTTTTCATAGAGCAGTTTTGAAATATTCTTTTCGCAGAATCTGCAAGTGGACATTTGGAGCGCTTTCAGGCCTGTGGTGGAAAAGGCCTGAAAGCCTTTTCCTTTATCTTCACAGAAAGACGAGAGAGAAGCATTGTCAGAAACTTCTTTGTGATGATTGCATTCAACTCACAGAGTTGAAGATTCCTTTTGAAACAGCAGTTTCGAAACACTCTTTCTGTGGGATCCACAAGGGGATATTTGGACCTCTTTGAAGGTTTCGTTGGAAACGGGATAATCTTCACCTAAAAGCTAAACGGAAGCATTCTCAGAAACTTCTTTGGGATGTTTGCATTCACCTCACAGAGTTGAACTTTCCCTTTGATAGCGCAGCTTCGACACACTTTTTCTACAATGTGCAAGTGGCTATTAAGCGGGCTTGGAAGACTGTGTTGGAAAAGGAAATATCTTCTCCTAAAAACGACATAGAAGCATTCTCAGAAACTGCTCTGTGATGATTGCATTCAACTCCCAGAGTTGAACATTCCTTTTGATAGAGCAATTTGCAAACACTCTTTTTGTAGAATCTGCAAGTGGAGATTTGGACCGCTTTGAGGCCTGTGGTAGTAAAGGAAAGAACTTCATATAAAAAGTAGACGGTAGCACTCTCAGAAAATTCTTTGTGACGATGGAGTTTAACTCAGAGAGCTGAACATTCGTTATGATGGAGCAGTTTCCAAACACACGTTTTGTAGAATCTGCAAGGGGATATTTGGACCTCTCTGAGGATTTCGTTGGAAACGGTATCAATTTCCCATAACTAAACGGAAGCAAACTCAGAACATTCTTTGTGATGTTTGCATTCATCTCACAGAGTTGAACCTTCCTTTGATAGTTGAGGTTTGCAACACCCTTGTAGTAGAATCTGCAAGTGTATATTTTGACCACATTGTAGCCTTCGTTTGAAACGTCTATATCTTCACATCAAACCTAGACAGAAGCATTCTCAGAAAGTTTTCTGCGATGACTGCATTCAACTCACAGAGTTGAACAATCCTTCTGATGGAGCAGTTTTGAAACCCTCTTTCTTTGGAATCTGCAAGGGGATATGTGGACCTCTTTGAAGATTTCACTGGAAACGGGATCATCTTCACATAAAAACTAAACAGAAGCATTCTCGGAAACTACTTTGTGATGTTTGTATTCAACTCCCAGAGTTGAACTTTCCTTTTGAAAGAGCAGCTATGAAACACTCTTTTTCGAGAATCTGCAAGTGGACGTTTGGAGGGCTTTGAGGCCTGTGGTGGAAAAGGAAATATCTTCACATAAAACTAGATAGAAAGCATTCTCAGAAACGACTTGGTGAGGATGGCATTCAACTCATGGAGTTGAACAATCCTATTGATAGAGCAGATTGGAATCACTCTTTTTGTAGAATCTGCAAATGGAGATTTGGACTGCTTTGAGGCCTACGGTCGTATAGGAAGGAACTTCATATAAAAGGCAAACGGAAGCATTCTAAGAATATTCTTTATGATGATGGAGTTTCACTCACAGAGCTGAACATGCCTTTTGATGGAGCAGTTTCCAAATACACTTTTGGTAGAATCTGCAGGTGGATATTTGGAGCTCTCTGAGGATTTCGTTGGAAACGGGAATAATTTCCCATAACTAAACACAAACACGCTGAGAAAGTTCTTCATGATGAATGCATTTAACTCGCAGAGATGAACCTGCCTTTGAGAGTTCAGGTTCGAAACACTCCTTCTGTAGAATCTGCAAGTGGATATTTGGACCACTGGCTGGCCTTCGTTCGAAACGGGTATATGTTCACGTAAAAACTAAAGAGAAGCATTCTCAGAAACTTCTGAGTGATGATTGCATTCAAGTCACACAGTTGAACCCTCCTTTTGATGGAGCAGTTTTGAAACTGTCTTTTTGTAGAATCTGTAAGTGGATACGTGGACCTCTTTGAAGATTTCTTTGGAAACGGGAATATTTCCACAGAAAAACTAAACTGAAGCATTCTCAGAAACTGCTTTGTGATGTTTGTGTTCGAGCCGCAGAGTTTAACATTGCTTTTCATAGAGCAGTTTTGAAATATTCTTTTGGCAGAATCTGCAAGTGGACATTTGGAGCGCTTTCAGGCCTGTGGTGGAAAAGGCCTGAAAGCCTTTTCCTTTATCTTCACAGAAAGACGAGAGAGAAGCATTGTCAGAAACTTCTTTGTGATGATTGCATTCAACTCACAGAGTTGAAGATTCCTTTTGAAACAGCAGTTTCGAAACACTCTTTCTGTGGGATCCGCAAGGGGATATTTGGACCTCTTTGAAGATTTCGTTGGAAACGGGATAATCTTCACCTAAAAGCTAAACGGAAGCATTCTCAGAAACTTCCTTGGGGTGTTTGCATTCATCTCACAGAGTTGAACTTTCCCTTTGATAGCGCAGCTTCGACACACTTTTTCTACAATGTGCAAGTGGATATTTAGCGGGCTTGGAGGACTGTGTTGGAAAAGGAAATATCTTCTCCTAAAAACGACATGGAAGCATTCTCAGAAACTGCTCTGTGATGATTGCATTCAACTCCCAGAGTTGAACATTCCTTTTGATAGAGCAGTTTGCAAACACTCTTTTTGTAGAATCTGCAAGTGGAGATTTGGACCGCTTTGAGGCCTGTGGTAGTAAAGGAAAGAACTTCATATAAAAACCAGACGGTAGCACTCTCAGAAAATTCTTTGTGACGATGGAGTTTAACTCAGAGAGCTGAACATTCGTTATGATGGAGCAGTTTCCAAACACACGTTTTGTAGAATCTGCAAGGGGATATTTGGACCTCTCTGAGGATTTCGTTGGGAACGGGATCAACTTCCCATAACTGAACGGAAGCAAACTCAGAACATTCTTTGTGATGTTTGTATTCAACTCACAGAGTTGAACCTTCCTTTGATAGTTCAGGTTTGCAACACCCTTGTAGTAGAATCTGCAAGTGTATATTTTGACCACTTTGTAGGCTTCGTTTGAAACGTCTATATCTTCACATCAAACCTAGACAGAAGCATTCTCAGAAAGTTTTCTGCGATGACTGCATTCAACTCACAGAGTTGAACAATCCTTTTGATGGAGCAGTTTTGAAACCCTCTTTCTTTGGAATCTGCAAGGGGATATGTGGACCTCTTTGAAGATTTCACTGGAAACGGGATCATCTTCACATAAGAACTAAGCAGAAGCATTCTCGGAAACTACTTTGTGATGTTTGTATTCAACTCCCAGAGTTGAACTTTCCTTTTGAAAGAGCAGCTATGAAACACTCTTTTTCGAGAATCTGCAAGTGGACGTTTGGAAGGCTTTGAGGCCTGTGGTGGAAAAGGAAATATCTTCACATAAAAACTAGATAGAAGCATTCTCAGAAACGACTTTGTGAGGATGGCATTCAACTCATGGAGTTGAACAATCCTATTGATAGAGCAGATTGGAATCACTCTTTTTGTAGAATCTGCAAATGGAGATTTGGACTGCTTTGAGGCCTACGGTCGTATAGGAAGGAACTTCATATAAAAGGCAAACGGAAGCATTCTCAGAATATTCTTTGTGATGATGGAGTTTCACTCACAGAGCTGAACATGCCTTTTGATGGAGCAGTTTCCAAATACACTTTTGGTAGAATCAGCAGGTGGATATTTGGAGCTCTCTGAGGATTTCGTTGGAAACGGGAATAATTTCCCATAACTAAACACAAACACTCTGAGAAAGTTCTTCATGATGAATGCATTTAACTCGCAGAGATGAACCTGCCTTTGAGAGTTCAGGTTCGAAACACTCTTTCTGTAGAATCTGCAAGTGGATATTTGGACCACTGGGTGGCCTTCGTTCGAAACGGGTATATGTTCACGTAAAAACTAAAGAGAAGCATTCTCAGAAACTTCTGAGTGATGATTGCATTCAAGTCACACAGTTGAACCCTCCTTTTGATGGAGCAGTTTTGAAACTGTCTTTTTGTAGAATCTGTAAGTGGATACGTGGACCTCTTTGAAGATTTCTTTGGAAACGGGAATATTTCCACAGAAAAACTAAACTGAAGCATTCTCAGAAACCGCTTTGTGATGTTTGTGTTCGAGCCACAGAGTTTAACATTGCTTTTCATAGAGCAGTTTTGAAATATTCTTTTGGCAGAATCTGCAAGTGGACATTTGGAGCGCTTTCAGGCCTGTGGTGGAAAAGGCCTGAAAGCCTTTTCCTTTATCTTCACAGAAAGACGAGAGAGAAGCATTGTCAGAAACTTCTTTGTGATGATTGCATTCAACCCACAGAGTTGAAGATTCCTTTTGAAACAGCAGTTTCGAAACACTCTTTCTGTGGGATCCGCAAGGGGATATTTGGACCTCTTTGAAGGTTTCGTTGGAAACGGGATAATCTTCACCTAAAAGCTAAACGGAAGCATTCTCAGAAACTTCTTTGGGATGTTTGCATTCACCTCACAGAGTTGAACTTTCCCTTTGATAGCGCAGCTTTGACACACTTTTTCTACAATGTGCAAGTGGCTATTTAGCGGGCTTGGAGGACTGTGTTGGAAAAGGAAATATCTTCTCCTAAAAACGACATAGAAGCATTCTCAGAAACTGCTCTGTGATGATTGCATTCAACTCCCAGAGTTGAACATTCCTTTTGATAGAGCAGTTTGCAAACACTCTTTTTGTAGAATCTGCAAGTGGAGATTTGGACCGCTTTGAGGCCTGTGGTAGTGAAGGAAAGAACTTCATATAAAAACCAGACGGTAGCACTCTCAGAAAATTCTTTGTGACGATGGAGTTTAACTCAGGGAGCTGAACATTCGTTATGATGGAGCAGTTTCCAAACACACGTTTTGTAGAATCTGCGAGGGGATATTTGGACCTCTCTGAGGATTTCGTTGGAAACGGGATCAACTTCCCATAACTGAACGGAAGCAAACTCAGAACATTCTTTGTGATGTTTGTATTCAATTCACAGAGTTGAACCTTCCTTTGATAGTTCAGGTTTGCAACACCCTTGTAGTAGAATCTGCAAGTGTATATTTTGACCACTTTGTAGCCTTCGTTTGAAACGTCTATATCTTCACATCAAACCTAGACAGAAGCATTCTCAGAAAGTTTTCTGTGATGACTGCATTCAACTCACAGAGTTGAACAATCCTTCTGATGGAGCAGTTTTGAAACCCTCTTTCTTTGGAATCTGCAAGGGGATATGTGGACCTCTTTGAAGATTTCACTGGAAACGGGATCATCTTCACATAAAAACTAAACAGAAGCATTCTCGGAAACTATTTTGTGATGTTTGTATTCAACTCCCAGAGTTGAACTTTCCTTTTGAAAGAGCAGCTATGAAACACTCTTTTTCGAGAATCTGCAAGTGGACGTTTGGAGGGCTTTGAGGCCTGTGGTGGAAAAGGAAATATCTTCACACAAAAACCAGATAGAAGCATTCTCAGAAACGACTTTGTGAGGATGGCATTCAACTCATGGAGTTGAACAATCCTATTGATAGAGCAGATTGGAATCACTCTTTTTGTAGAATCTGCAAATGGAGATTTGGACTGCTTTGAGGCCTACGGTCGTATAGGAAGGAACTTCATATAAAAGGCAAACGGAAGCATTCTCAGAATATTCTTTGTGATGATGGAGTTTCACTCACAGAGCTGAACATGCCTTTTGATGGAGCAGTTTCCAAATACACTTTTGGTAGAATCTGCAGGTGGATATTTGGAGCTCTCTGAGGATTTCGTTGGAAACGGGAATAATTTCCCATAACTAAACACAAACACTCTGAGAAAGTTCTTCATGATGAATGCATTTAACTCGCAGAGATGAACCTGCCTTTGAGAGTTCAGGTTCGAAACACTCTTTCTGTAGAATCTGCAAGTGGATATTTGGACCACTGGGTGGCCTTCGTTCGAAACGGGTATATGTTCATGTAAAAACTAAAGAGAAGCATTCTCAGAAACTTCTGAGTGATGATTGCATTCAAGTCACACAGTTGAACCCTCCTTTTGATGGAGCAGTTTTGAAACTGTCTTTTTGTAGAATCTGTAAGTGGATACGTGGACCTCTTTGAAGATTTCTTTGGAAACGGGAATATTTCCACAGAAAAACTAAACTGAAACATTCTCAGAAACCGCTTTGTGATGTTTGTGTTCCAGCCACAGAGTTTAACATTGCTTTTCATAGAGCAGTTTTGAAATATTCTTTTGGCAGAATCTGCAAGTGGACATTTGGAGCGCTTTCAGGCCTGTGGTGGAAAAGGCCTGAAAGCCTTTTCCTTTATCTTCACAGAAAGACGAGAGAGAAGCATTGTCAGAAACTTCTTTGTGATGATTGCATTCAACTCACAGAGTTGAAGATTCCTTTTGAAACAGCAGTTTCGAAACACTCTTTCTGTGGGATCCGCAAGGGGATATTTGGACCTCTTTGAAGGTTTCGTTGGAAACGGGATAATCCTCACCTAAAAGCTAAACGGAAGCATTCTCAGAAACTTCTTTGGGATGTTTGCATTCACCTCACAGAGTTGAACTTTCCCTTTGATAGCGCAGCTTTGACACACTTTTTCTACAATGTGCAAGTGGCTATTTAGCGGGCTTGGAGGACTGTGTTGGAAAAGGAAATATCTTCTCCTAAAAACGACATAGAAGCATTCTCAGAAACTGCTCTGTGATGATTGCATTCAACTCCCAGAGTTGAACATTCCTTTTGATAGAGCAGTTTGCAAACACTCTTTTTGTAGAATCTGCAAGTGGAGATTTGGACCGCTTTGAGGCCTGTGGTAGTGAAGGAAAGAGCTTCATATAAAAACCAGACGGTAGCACTCTCAGAAAATTCTTTGTGACGATGGAGTTTAACTCAGGGAGCTGAACATTCGTTATGATGGAGCAGTTTCCAAACACACGTTTTGTAGAATCTGCAAGGGG
Organism: Homo sapiens; assembly: GCF_000001405.40. Taxonomy (NCBI): domain Eukaryota; kingdom Metazoa; phylum Chordata; class Mammalia; order Primates; family Hominidae; genus Homo; species Homo sapiens. Next base: position 62,355,560 of record NC_000023.11, read on the forward strand.
ATATTTGGACCTCTCTGAGGATTTCGTTGGAAACGGGATCAACTTCCCATAACTGAACGGAAGCAAACTCAGAACATTCTTTGTGATGTTTGTATTCAATTCACAGAGTTGAACCTTCCTTTGATAGTTCAGGTTTGCAACACCCTTGTAGTAGAATCTGCAAGTGTATATTTTGACCACTTTGTAGCCTTCGTTTGAAACGTCTATATCTTCACATCAAACCTAGACAGAAGCATTCTCAGAAAGTTTTCTGCGATGACTGCATTCAACTCACAGAGTTGAACAATCCTTCTGATGGAGCAGTTTTGAAACCCTCTTTCTTTGGAATCTGCAAGGGGATATGTGGACCTCTTTGAAGATTTCACTGGAAACGGGATCATCTTCACATAAAAACTAAACAGAAGCATTCTCGGAAACTACTTTGTGATGTTTGTATTCAACTCCCAGAGTTGAACTTTCCTTTTGAAAGAGCAGCTATGAAACACTCTTTTTCGAGAATCTGCAAGTGGACGTTTGGAAGGCTTTGAGGCCTGTGGTGGAAAAGGAAATATCTTCACATAAAAACTAGATAGAAGCATTCTCAGAAACTACTTTGTGAGGATGGCATTCAACTCATGGAGTTGAACAGTCCTATTGATAGAGCAGATTGGAATCACTCTTTTTGTAGAATCTGCAAATGGAGATTTGGACTGCTTTGAGGCCTACGGTAGTATAGGAAGGAACTTCATATAAAAGGCAAACGGAAGCATTCTCAGAATATTCTTTGTGATGATGGAGTTTCACTGACAGAGCTGAACATGCCTTTTGATGGAGCAGTTTCCAAATACACTTTTGGTAGAATCTGCAGGTGGATATTTGGAGCTCTCTGAGGATTTCGTTGGAAACGGGAATAATTTCCCATAACTAAACACAAACACTCTGAGAAAGTTCTTCATGATGAATGCATTTAACTCGCAGAGATGAACCTGCCTTTGAGAGTTCAGGTTCGAAACACTCTTTCTGTAGAATCTGCAAGTGGATATTTGGACCACTGGGTGGCCTTCGTTCGAAACGGGTATATGTTCACGTAAAAACTAAAGAGAAGCATTCTCAGAAACTTCTGAGTGATGATTGCATTCAAGTCACACAGTTGAACCCTCCTTTTGATGGAGCAGTTTTGAAACTGTCGTTTTGTAGAATCTGTAAGTGGATACGTGGACCTCTTTGAAGATTTCTTTGGAAACGGGAATATTTCCACAGAAAAACTAAACTGAAGCATTCTCAGAAACCGCTTTGTGATGTTTGTGTTCGAGCCACAGAGTTTAACATTGCTTTTCATAGAGCAGTTTTGAAATATTCTTTTCGCAGAATCTGCAAGTGGACATTTGGAGCGCTTTCAGGCCTGTGGTGGAAAAGGCCTGAAAGCCTTTTCCTTTATCTTCACAGAAAGACGAGAGAGAAGCATTGTCAGAAACTTCTTTGTGATGATTGCATTCAACTCAGAGTTGAAGATTCCTTTTGAAACAGCAGTTTCGAAACACTCTTTCTGTGGGATCCGCAAGGGGATATTTGGACCTCTTTGAAGGTTTCGTTGGAAACGGGATAATCTTCACCTAAAAGCTAAACGGAAGCATTCTCAGAAACTTCTTTGGGATGTTTGCATTCACCTCACAGAGTTGAACTTTCCCTTTGATAGCGCAGCTTCGACACACTTTTTCTACAATGTGCAAGTGGATATTTAGCGGGCTTGGAGGACTGTGTTGGAAAAGGAAATATCTTCTCCTAAAAACGACATAGAAGCATTCTCAGAAACTGCTCTGTGATGATTGCATTCAACTCCCAGAGTTGAACATTCCTTTTGATAGAGCAGTTTGCAAACACTCTTTTTGTAGAATCTGCAAGTGGAGATTTGGACCGCTTTGAGGCCTGTGGTAGTGAAAGAAAGAACTTCATATAAAAACCAGACGGTAGCACTCTCAGAAAATTCTTTGTGACGATGGAGTTTAACTCAGGGAGCTGAACATTCGTTATGATGGAGCAGTTTCCAAACACACGTTTTGTAGAATCTGCGAGGGGATATTTGGACCTCTCTGAGGATTTCGTTGGAAAAGGGATCAACTTCCCATAACTGAACGGAAGCAAACTCAGAACATTCTTTGTGATGTTTGTATTCAACTCACAGAGTTGAACCTTCCTTTGATAGTTCAGGTTTGCAACACCCTTGTAGTAGAATCTGCAAGTGTATATTTTGACCACTTTGTAGCCTTCGTTTGAAACGTCTATATCTTCACATCAAACCTAGACAGAAGCATTCTCAGAAAGTTTTCTGCGATGACTGCATTCAACTCACAGAGTTGAACAATCCTTCTGATGGAGCAGTTTTGAAACCCTCTTTCTTTGGAATCTGCAAGGGGATATGTGGACCTCTTTGAAGATTTCACTGGAAACGGGATCATCTTCACATAAAAACTAAACAGAAGCATTCTCGGAAACTACTTTGTGATGTTTGTATTCAACTCCCAGGAGTTGAACTTTCCTTTTGAAAGAGCAGCTATGAAACACTCTTTTTCGAGAATCTACAAGTGGACGTTTGGAGGGCTTTGAGGCCTGTGGTGGAAAAGGAAATATCTTCACATAAAAACTAGATAGAAGCATTCTCAGAAACGACTTTGTGAGGATGGCATTCAACTCATGGAGTTGAACAATCCTATTGATAGAGCAGATTGGAATCACTCTTTTTGTAGAATCTGCAAATGGAGATTTGCACTGCTTTGAGGCCTACGGTCGTATAGGAAGGAACTTCATATAAAAGGCAAACGGAAGCATTCTCAGAATATTCTTTGTGATGATGGAGTTTCACTCACAGAGCTGAACATGCCTTTTGAGATGGGAGCAGTTTCCAAATACACTTTTGGTAGAATCTGCAGGTGGATATTTGGAGCTCTCTGAGGATTTCGTTGGAAACGGGAATAATTTCCCATAACTAAACACAAACACGCTGAGAAAGTTCTTCATGATGAATGCATTTAACTCGCAGAGATGAACCTGCCTTTGAGAGTTCAGGTTCAAAACACTCTTTCTGTAGAATCTGCAAGTGGATATTTGGACCACTGGCTGGCCTTCGTTCGAAACGGGTATATGTTCACGTAAAAACTAAAGAGAAGCATTCTCAGAAACTTCTGAGTGATGATTGCATTCAAGTCACACAGTTGAACCCTCCTTTTGATGGAGCAGTTTTGAAACTGTCTTTTTGTAGAATCTGTAAGTGGATACGTGGACCTCTTTGAAGATTTCTTTGGAAACGGGAATATTTCCACAGAAAAACTAAACTGAAACATTCTCAGAAACCGCTTTGTGATGTTTGTGTTCCAGCCACAGAGTTTAACATTGCTTTTCATAGAGCAGTTTTGAAATATTCTTTTCGCAGAATCTGCAAGTGGACATTTGGAGCGCTTTCAGGCCTGTGGTGGAAAAGGCCTGAAAGCCTTTTCCTTTATCTTCACAGAAAGACGAGAGAGAAGCATTGTCAGAAACTTCTTTGTGATGATTGCATTCAACTCACAGAGTTGAAGATTCCTTTTGAAACAGCAGTTTCGAAACACTCTTTCTGTGGGATCCGCAAGGGGATATTTGGACCTCTTTGAAGGTTTCGTTGGAAACGGGATAATCTTCACCTAAAAGCTAAACGGAAGCATTCTCAGAAACTTCTTTGGGATGTTTGCATTCACCTCACAGAGTTGAACTTTCCCTTTGATAGCGCAGCTTTGACACACTTTTTCTACAATGTGCAAGTGGCTATTTAGCGGGCTTGGAGGACTGTGTTGGAAAAGGAAATATCTTCTCCTAAAAACGACATAGAAGCATTCTCAGAAACTGCTCTGTGATGATTGCATTCAACTCCCAGAGTTGAACATTCCTTTTGATAGAGCAGTTTGCAAACACTCTTTTTGTAGAATCTGCAAGTGGAGATTTGGACCGCTTTGAGGCCTGTGGTAGTGAAGGAAAGAACTTCATATAAAAACCAGACGGTAGCACTCTCAGAAAATTCTTTGTGACGATGGAGTTTAACTCAGGGAGCTGAACATTCGTTATGATGGAGCAGTTTCCAAACACACGTTTTGTAGAATCTGCGAGGGGATATTTGGACCTCTCTGAGGATTTCGTTGGAAACGGGATCAACTTCCCATAACTGAACGGAAGCAAACTCAGAACATTCTTTGTGATGTTTGTATTCAACTCACAGAGTTGAACCTTCCTTTGATAGTTCAGGTTTGCAACACCCTTGTAGTAGAATCTGCAAGTGTATATTTTGACCACTTTGTAGCCTTCGTTTGAAACGTCTATATCTTCACATCAAACCTAGACAGAAGCATTCTCAGAAAGTTTTCTGCGATGACTGCATTCAACTCACAGAGTTGAACAATCCTTCTGATGGAGCAGTTTTGAAACCCTCTTTCTTTGGAATCTGCAAGGGGATATGTGGACCTCTTTGAAGATTTCACTGGAAACGGGATCATCTTCACATAAAAACTAAACAGAAGCATTCTCGGAAACTACTTTGTGATGTTTGTATTCAACTCCCAGAGTTGAACTTTCCTTTTGAAAGAGCAGCTATGAAACACTCTTTTTCGAGAATCTGCAAGTGGACGTTTGGAGGGCTTTGAGGCCTGTGGTGGAAAAGGAAATATCTTCACACAAAAACCAGATAGAAGCATTCTCAGAAACTGCTTTGTGAGGATGGCATTCAACTCATGGAGTTGAACAATCCTATTGATAGAGCAGATTGGAATCACTCTTTTTGTAGAATCTGCAAATGGAGATTTGGACTGCTTTGAGGCCTACGGTAGTACAGGAAGGAACTTCATATAAAAGGCAAACGGAAGCATTCTCAGAATATTCTTTGTGATGATGGAGTTTCACTCACAGAGCTGAACATGCCTTTTGATGGAGCAGTTTCCAAATACACTTTTGGTAGAATCTGCAGGTGGATATTTGGAGCTCTCTGAGGATTTCGTTGGAAACGGGAATAATTTCCCATAACTAAACACAAACACTCTGAGAAAGTTCTTCATGATGAATGCATTTAACTCGCAGAGATGAACCTGCCTTTGAGAGTTCAGGTTCGAAACACTCTTTCTGTATAATCTGCAAGTGGATATTTGGACCACTGGGTGGCCTTCGTTCGAAACGGGTATATGTTCACGTAAAAACTAAAGAGAAGCATTCTCAGAAACTTCTGAGTGATGATTGCATTCAAGTCACACAGTTGAACCCTCGTTTTGATGGAGCAGTTTTGAAACTGTCTTTTTGTAGAATCTGTAAGTGGATACGTGGACCTCTTTGAAGATTTCTTTGGAAACGGGAATATTTCCACAGAAAAACTAAACTGAAGCATTCTCAGAAACCGCTTTGTGATGTTTGTGTTCGAGCCGCAGAGTTTAACATTGCTTTTCATAGAGCAGTTTTGAAATATTCTTTTGGCAGAATCTGCAAGTGGACATTTGGAGCGCTTTCAGGCCTGTGGTGGAAAAGGCCTGAAAGCCTTTTCCTTTATCTTCACAGAAAGACGAGAGAGAAGCATTGTCAGAAACTTCTTTTTGATGATTGCATTCAACTCACAGAGTTGAAGATTCCTTTTGAAACAGCAGTTTCGAAACACTCTTTCTGTGGGATCCGCAAGGGGATATTTGGACCTCTTTGAAGGTTTCGTTGGAAACGGGATAATCTTCACCTAAAAGCTAAACGGAAGCATTCTCAGAAACTTCTTTGGGATGTTTGCATTCACCTCACAGAGTTGAACTTTCCCTTTGATAGCGCAGCTTTGACACACGTTTTCTACAATGTGCAAGTGGCTATTTAGCGGGCTTGGAGGACTGTGTTGGAAAAGGAAATATCTTCTCCTAAAAACGACATAGAAGCATTCTCAGAAACTGCTCTGTGATGATTGCATTCAACTCCCAGAGTTGAACATTCCTTTTGATAGAGCAGTTTGCAAACACTCTTTTTGTAGAATCTGCAAGTGGAGATTTGGACCGCTTTGAGGCCTGTGGTAGTGAAGGAAAGAACTTCATATAAAAACCAGACGGTAGCACTCTCAGAAAATTCTTTGTGACGATGGAGTTTAACTCAGGGAGCTGAACATTCGTTATGATGGAGCAGTTTCCAAACACACGTTTTGTAGAATCTGCAAGGGGATATTTGGACCTCTCTGAGGATTTCGTTGGAAACGGGATCAACTTCCCATAACTGAACGGAAGCAAACTCAGAACATTCTTTGTGATGTTTGTATTCAACTCACAGAGTTGAACCTTCCTTTGATAGTTCAGGTTTGCAACACCCTTGTAGTAGAATCTGCAAGTGTATATTTTGACCACTTTGTAGCCTTCGTTTGAAACGTCTATATCTTCACATCAAAACTAGACAGAAGCATTCTCAGAAAGTTTTCTGCGATGACTGCATTCAACTCACAGAGTTGAACAATCCTTCTGATGGAGCAGTTTTGAAACCCTCTTTCTTTGGAATCTGCAAGGGGATATGTGGACCTCTTTGAAGATTTCACTGGAAACGGGATCATCTTCACATAAAAACTAAACAGAAGCATTCTCGGAAACTATTTTGTGATGTTTGTATTCAACTCCCAGAGTTGAACTTTCCTTTTGAAAGAGCAGCTATGAAACACTCTTTTTCGAGAATCTGCAAGTGGTCGTTTGGAGGGCTTTGAGGCCTGTGGTGGTAAAGGAAATATCTTCACACAAAAACCAGATAGAAGCATTCTCAGAAACTACTTTGTGAGGATGGCATTCAACTCATGGAGTTGAACAATCCTATTGATAGAGCAGATTGGAATCACTCTTTTTGTAGAATCTGCAAATGGAGATTTGGACTGCTTTGAGGCCTACGGTCGTATAGGAAGGAACTTCATATAAAAGGCAAACGGAAGCATTCTCAGAATATTCTTTGTGATGATGGAGTTTCACTCACAGAGCTGAACATGCCTGTTGATGGAGCAGTTTCCAAATACACTTTTGGTAGAATCTGCAGGTGGACATTTGGACCTCTCTGAGGATTTCTTTGGGAACGGGAATAATTTCCCATAACTAAACACAAACACTCTGAGAAAGTTCTTCATGACGAATGCATTTAACTCGCAGAGATGAACCTGCCTTTGAGAGTTCAGGTTCGAAACACTCTTTCTGTAGAATCTGCAAGTGGATATTTGGACCACTGGGTGGCCTTCGTTCGAAACGGGTATATGTTCACGTAAAAACTAAAGAGAAGCATTCTCAGAAACTTCTGAGTGATGATTGCATTCAAGTCACACAGTTGAACCCTCCTTTTGATGGAGCAGTTTTGAAACTGTCTTTTTGTAGAATCTGTAAGTGGATACGTGGACCTCTTTGAAGATTTCTTTGGAAACGGGAATATTTCCACAGAAAAACTAAACTGAAGCATTCTCAGAAACTGCTTTGTGATGTTTGTGTTCGAGCCGCAGAGTTTAACATTGCTTTTCATAGAGCAGTTTTGAAATATTCTTTTGGCAGAATCTGCAAGTGGACATTTGGAGCGCTTTCAGGCCTGTGGTGGAAATGGCCTGAAAGCCTTTTCCTTTATCTTCACAGAAAGACGAGAGAGAAGCATTGTCAGAAACTTCTTTGTGATGATTGCATTCAACTCACAGAGTTGAAGATTCCTTTTGAAACAGCAGTTTCGAAACACTCTTTCTGTGGGATCCGCAAGGGGATATTTGGACCTCTTTGAAGGTTTCGTTGGAAACGGGATAATCTTCACCTAAAAGCTAAACGGAAGCACTCTCAGAAACTTCTTTGGGATGTTTGCATTCACCTCACAGAGTTGAACTTTCCCTTTGATAGCGCAGCTTTGACACACTTTTTCTACAATGTGCAAGTGGCTATTTAGCGGGCTTGGAGGACTGTGTTGGAAAAGGAAATATCTTCTCCTAAAAACGACATAGAAGCATTCTCAGGAACTGCTCTGTGATGATTGCATTCAACTCCCAGAGTTGAACATTCCTTTTGATAGAGCAGTTTGCAAACACTCTTTTTGTAGAATCTGCAAGTGGAGATTTGGACCGCTTTGAGGCCTGTGGTAGTAAAGGAAAGAACTTCATATAAAAACTAGACGGTAGCACTCTCAGAAAATTCTTTGTGACGATGGAGTTTAACTCAGAGAGCTGAACATTCGTTATGATGGAGCAGTTTCCAAACACACGTTTTGCAGAATCTGCAAGGGGATATTTGGACCTCTCTGAGGATTTCGTTGGAAACGGGATCAACTTCCCATAAGTGAACGGAAGCAAACTCAGAACATTCTTTGTGATGTTTGTATTCAACTCACAGAGTTGAACCTTCCTTTGATAGTTCAGGTTTGCAACACCCTTGTAGTAGAATCTGCAAGTGTATATTTTGACCACTTTGTAGCCTTCGTTTGAAACGTCTATATCTTCACATCAAACCTAGACAGAAGCATTCTCAGAAAGTTTTCTGCGATGACTGCATTCTACTCACAGAGTTGAGCAATCCTTTTGATGGAGCAGTTTTGAAACCCACTTTCTTTGGAATCTGCAAGGGCATATGTGGACCTCTTTGAAGATTTCACTGGAAACGGGATCATCTTCACATAAGAACTAAACAGAAGCATTCTCGGAAACTACTTTGTGATGTTTGTATTCAACTGCCAGAGTTGAACTTTCCTTTTGAAAGAGCAGCTATGAAACACTCTTTTTCGAGAATCTGCAAGTGGACGTTTGGAGGGCTTTGAGGCCTGTGGTGGAAAAGGAAATATCTTCACACAAAAACCAGATAGAAGCATTCTCAGAAACTACTTTGTGAGGATGGCATTCAACTCATGGAGTTGAACAATCCTATTGATAGAGCAGATTGGAATCACTCTTTTTGTAGAATCTGCAAATGGAGATTTGGACTGCTTTGAGGCCTACGGTCGTATAGGAAGGAACTTCATATAAAAGGCAAACGGAAGCATTCTCAGAATATTCTTTGTGATGATGGAGTTTCACTGACAGAGCTGAACATGCCTTTTGATGGAGCAGTTTCCAAATACACTTTTGGTAGAATCTGCAGGTGGATATTTGGAGCTCTCTGAGGATTTCGTTGGAAACGGGAATAATTTCCCATAACTAAACACAAACACTCTGAGAAAGTTCTTCATGATGAATGCATTTAACTCGCAGAGATGAACCTGCCTTTGAGAGTTCAGGTTCGAAACACTCTTTCTGTATAATTTGCAAGTGGATATTTGGACCACTGGGTGGCCTTCGTTCGAAACGGGTATATGTTCACGTAAAAACTAAAGAGAAGCATTCTCAGAAACTTCTGAGTGATGATTGCATTCAAGTCACACAGTTGAACCCTCCTTTTGATGGAGCAGTTTTGAAACTGTCTTTTTGTAGAATCTGTAAGTGGATACGTGGACCTCTTTGAAGATTTCTTTGGAAACGGGAATATTTCCACAGAAAAACTAAACTGAAGCATTCTCAGAAACTGCTTTGTGATGTTTGTGTTCGAGCCGCAGAGTTTAACATTGCTTTTCATAGAGCAGTTTTGAAATATTCTTTTGGCAGAATCTGCAAGTGGACATTTGGAGCGCTTTCAGGCCTGTGGTGGAAAAGGCCTGAAAGCCTTTTCCTTTATCTTCACAGAAAGACGAGAGAGAAGCATTGTCAGAAACTTCTTTGTGATGATTGCATTCAACTCACAGAGTTGAAGATTCCTTTTGAAACAGCAGTTTCGAAACACTCTTTCTGTGGGATCCGCAAGGGGATATTTGGACCTCTTTGAAGGTTTCGTTGGAAACGGGATAATCTTCACCTAAAAGCTAAACGGAAGCATTCTCAGAAACTTCTTTGGGATGTTTGCATTCACCTCACAGAGTTGAACTTTCCCTTTGATAGCGCAGCTTTGACACACTTTTTCTACAATGTGCAAGTGGATATTTAGCGGGCTTGGAGGACTGTGTTGGAAAAGGAAATATCTTCTAAAAACGACATAGAAGCATTCTCAGAAACTGCTCTGTGATGATTGCATTCAACTCCCAGAGTTGAACATTCCTTTTGATAGAGCAGTTTGCAAACACTCTTTTTGTAGAATCTGCAAGTGGAGATTTGGACCGCTTTGAGGCCTGTGGTAGTGAAGGAAAGAACTTCATATAAAAACCAGACGGTAGCACTCTCAGAAAATTCTTTGTGACGATGGAGTTTAACTCAGGGAGCTGAACATTCGTTATGATGGAGCAGTTTCCAAACACACGTTTTGTAGAATCTGCAAGGGGATATTTGGACCTCTCTGAGGATTTCGTTGGAAACGGGATCAACTTCCCATAACTGAACGGAAGCAAACTCAGAACATTCTTTGTGATGTTTGTATTCAACTCACAGAGTTGAACCTTCCTTTGATAGTTCAGGTTTGCAACACCCTTGTAGTAGAATCTGCAAGTGTATATTTTGACCACTTTGTAGCCTTCGTTTGAAACGTCTATATCTTCACCTCAAACCTAGACAGAAGCATTCTAAGAAAGTTTTCTGCGATGACTGCATTCAACTCACAGAGTTGAACAATCCTTTTGATGGAGCAGTTTTGAAACCCTCTTTCTTTGGAATCTGCAAGGGGATATGTGGACCTCTTTGAAGATTTCACTGGAAACGGGATCATCTTCACATAAGAACTAAACAGAAGCATTCTCAGAAACTACTTTGTGATGTTTGTATTCAGCTCCCAGAGTTGAACTTTCCTTTTGAAAGAGCAGCTATGAAACACCCTTTTTCGAGAATCTGCAAGTGGACGTTTGGAGGGCTTTGAGGCCTGTGGGGGAAAAGGAAATATCTTCACATAAAAACTAGATAGAAGCATTCTCAGAAACGACTTTGTGAGGATGGCATTCAACTCATGGAGTTGAACAGTCCTATTGATAGAGCAGATTGGAATCACTTTTTTTGTAGAATCTGCAAATGGAGATTTGGACTGCTTTGAGGCCTACGGTAGTATAGGAAGGAACTTCATATAAAAGGCAAACGGAAGCATTCTCAGAATATTCTTTGTGATGATGGAGTTTCACTCACAGAGCTGAACATGCCTTTTGATGGAGCAGTTTCCAAATACACTTTTGGTAGAATCTGCAGGTGGATATTTGGAGCTCTCTGAGGATTTCGTTGGAAACGGGAATAATTTCCCATAACTAAACACAAACACTCTGAGAAAGTTCTTCATGATGAATGCATTCAACTCGCAGAGATGAACCTGCCTTTGAGAGTTCACGTTCGAAACACTCTTTCTGTAGAATCTGCAAGTGGATATTTGGACCACTGGCTGGCCTTCGTTCGAAACGGGTATATGTTCACGTAAAAACTAAAGAGAAGCATTCTCAGAAACTTCTGAGTGATGATTGCATTCAAGTCACACGGTTGAACCCTCCTTTTGATGGAGCAGTTTTGAAACTGTCTTTTTGTAGAATCTGTAAGTGGATACGTGGACCTCTTTGAAGATTTCTTTGGAAACGGGAATATTTCCACAGAAAAACTAAACTGAAGCATTCTCAGAAACCGCTTTGTGATGTTTGTGTTCGAGCCACAGAGTTTAACATTGCTTTTCATAGAGCAGTTTTGAAATATTCTTTTCGCAGAATCTGCAAGTGGACATTTGGAGCGCTTTCAGGCCTGTGGTGGAAAAGGCCTGAAAGCCTTTTCCTTTATCTTCACAGAAAGACGAGAGAGAAGCATTGTCAGAAACTTCTTTGTGATGATTGCATTCAGCTCACAGAGTTGAAGATTCCTTTTGAAACAGCAGTTTCGAAACACTCTTTCTGTGGGATCCGCAAGGGGATATTTGGACCTCTTTGCAGGTTTCGTTGGAAACGGGATAATCTTCACCTAAAAGCTAAACGGAAGCATTCTCAGAAACTTCTTTGGGATGTTTGCATTCACCTCACAGAGTTGAACTTTCCCTTTGATAGCGCAGCTTTGACACACTTTTTCTACAATGTGCAAGTGGCTATTTAGCGGGCTTGGAGGACTGTGTTGGAAAAGGAAATATCTTCTCCTAAAAACGACATAGAAGCATTCTCAGAAACTGCTCTGTGATGATTGCATTCAACTCCCAGAGTTGAACATTCCTTTTGATAGAGCAGTTTGCAAACACTCTTTTTGTAGAATCTGCAAGTGGAGATTTGGACCGCTTTCAGGCCTGTGGTAGTGAAGGAAAGAACTTCATATAAAAACCAGACGGTAGCACTCTCAGAAAATTCTTTGTGACGATGGAGTTTAACTCAGGGAGCTGAACATTCGTTATGATGGAGCAGTTTCCAAACACACGTTTTGTAGAATCTGCGAGGGGATATTTGGACCTCTCTGAGGATTTCGTTGGAAACGGGATCAACTTCCCATAACTGAACGGAAGCAAACTCAGAACATTCTTTGTGATGTTTGTATTCAACTCACAGAGTTGAACCTTCCTTTGATAGTTCAGGTTTGCAACACCCTTGTAGTAGAATCTGCAAGTGTATATTTTGACCACTTTGTAGCCTTCGTTTGAAACGTCTATATCTTCACATCAAACCTAGACAGAAGCATTCTCAGAAAGTTTTCTGCGATGACTGCATTCAACTCACAGAGTTGAACAATCCTTCTGATGGAGCAGTTTTGAAACCCTCTTTCTTTGGAATCTGCAAGGGGATATGTGGACCTCTTTGAAGATTTCACTGGAAACGGGATCATCTTCACATAAAAACTAAACAGAAGCATTCTCGGAAACTACTTTGTGATGTTTGTATTCAACTCCCAGAGTTGAACTTTCCTTTTGAAAGAGCAGCTATGAAACACTCTTTTTCGAGAATCTGCAAGTGGACGTTTGGAGGGCTTTGAGGCCTGTGGTGGAAAAGGAAATATCTTCACATAAAAACTAGATAGAAGCATTCTCAGAAACGACATTGTGAGGATGGCATTCAACTCATGGAGTTGAACAATCCTATTGATAGAGCAGATTGGAATCACTCTTTTTGTAGAATCTGCAAATGGAGATTTGGACTGCTTTGAGGCCTACGGTAGTATAGGAAGGAACTTCATATAAAAGGCAAACGGAAGCATTCTCAGAATATTCTTTGTGATGATGGAGTTTCACTCACAGAGCTGAACATGCCTTTTGATGGAGCAGTTTCCAAATACACTTTTGGTAGAATCTGCAGGTGGATATTTGGAGCTCTCTGAGGATTTCGTTGGAAACGGGAATAATTTCCCATAACTAAACACAAACACTCTGAGAAAGTTCTTCATGATGAATGCATTTAACTCGCAGAGATGAACCTGCCTTTGAGAGTTCAGGTTCGAAACACTCTTTCTGTAGAATCTGCAAGTGGATATTTGGACCACTGGGTGGCCTTCGTTCGAAACGGGTATATGTTCACGTAAAAACTAAAGAGAAGCATTCTCAGAAACTTCTGAGTGATGATTGCATTCAAGTCACACAGTTGAACCCTCCTTTTGATGGAGCAGTTTTGAAACTGTCTTTTTGTAGAATCTGTAAGTGGATACGTGGACCTCTTTGAAGATTTCTTTGGAAACGGGAATATTTCCACAGAAATCTAAACTGAAACATTCTCAGAAACCGCTTTGTGATGTTTGTGTTCCAGCCACAGAGTTTAACATTGCTTTTCATAGAGCAGTTTTGAAATATTCTTTTCGCAGAATCTGCAAGTGGACATTTGGAGCGCTTTCAGGCCTGTGGTGGAAAAGGCCTGAAAGCCTTTTCCTTTATCTTCACAGAAAGACGAGAGAGAAGCATTGTCAGAAACTTCTTTGTGATGATTGCATTCAACTCACAGAGTTGAAGATTCCTTTTGAAACAGCAGTTTCGAAACACTCTTTCTGTGGGATCCGCAAGGGGATATTTGGACCTCTTTGAAGGTTTCGTTGGAAACGGGATAATCTTCACCTAAAAGCTAAACGGAAGCATTCTCAGAAACTTCTTTGGGATGTTTGCATTCACCTCACAGAGTTGAACTTTCCCTTTGATAGCGCAGCTTTGACACACTTTTTCTACAATGTGCAAGTGGCTATTTAGCGGACTTGGAGGACTGTGTTGGAAAAGGAAATATCTTCTCCTAAAAACGACATAGAAGCATTCTCAGAAACTGCTCTGTGATGATTGCATTCAACTCCCAGGAGTTGAACATTCCTTTTGATAGAGCAGTTTGCAAACACTCTTTTTGTAGAATCTGCAAGTGGAGATTTGGACCGCTTTGAGGCCTGTGGTAGTGAAGGAAAGAACTTCATATAAAAACCAGACGGTAGCACTCTCAGAAAATTCTTTGTGACGATGGAGTTTAACTCCGGGAGCTGAACATTCGTTATGATGGAGCAGTTTCCAAACACACGTTTTGTAGAATCTGCGAGGGGATATTTGGACCTCTCTGAGGATTTCGTTGGAAACGGGATCAACTTCCCATAACTGAACGGAAGCAAACTCAGAACATTCTTTGTGATGTTTGTATTCAACTCACAGAGTTGAACCTTCCTTTGATAGTTCAGGTTTGCAACACCCTTGTAGTAGAATCTGCAAGTGTATATTTTGACCACTTTGTAGCCTTCGTTTGAAACGTCTATATCTTCACATCAAACCTAGAAAGAAGCATTCTCAGAAAGTTTTCTGCGATGACTGCATTCCACTCACAGAGTTGAACAATCCTTCTGATGGAGCAGTTTTGAAACCCTCTTTCTTTGGAATCTGCAAGGGGATATGTGGACCTCTTTGAAGATTTCACTGGAAACGGGATCATCTTCACATAAAAACTAAACAGAAGCATTCTCGGAAACTACTTTGTGATGTTTGTATTCAACTCCCAGAGTTGAACTTTCCTTTTGAAAGAGCAGCTATGAAACACTCTTTTTCGAGAATCTGCAAGTGGACGTTTGGAGGGATTTGAGGCCTGTGGTGGAAAAGGAAATATCTTCACATAAAAACTAGATAGAAGCATTCTCAGAAACTACTTTGTGAGGATGGCATTCAACTCATGGAGTTGAACAATCCTATTGATAGAGCAGATTGGAATCACTCTTTTTGTAGAATCTGCAAATGGAGATTTGGACTGCTTTGAGGCCTACGGTCGTATAGGAAGGAACTTCATATAAAAGGCAAACGGAAGCATTCTCAGAATATTCTTTGTGATGATGGAGTTTCACTCACAGAGCGGAACATGCCTTTTGATGGAGCAGTTTCCAAATACACTTTTGGTAGAATCTGCAGGTGGATATTTGGAGCTCTCTGAGGATTTCGTTGGAAACGGGAATAATTTCCCATAACTAAACACAAACACTCTGAGAAAGTTCTTCATGATGAATGCATTTAACTCGCAGAGATGAACCTGCCTTTGAGAGTTCAGGTTCGAAACACTCTTTCTGTAGAATCTGCAAGTGGATATTTGGACCACTGGCTGGCCTTCGTTCGAAACGGGTATATGTTCACGTAAAAACTAAAGAGAAGCGTTCTCATAAACTTCTGAGTGATGATTGCATTCAAGTCACACAGTTGAACCCTCCTTTTGATTGAGCAGTTTTGAAACTGTCTTTTTGTAGAATCTGTAAGTGGATGCGTGGACCTCTTTGAAGATTTCTTTGGAAACGGGAATATTTCCACAGAAAAACTAAACTGAAGCATTCTCAGAAACGGCTTTGTGATGTTTGTGTTCGAGCCACAGAGTTTAACATTGCTTTTCATAGAGCAGTTTTGAAATATTCTTTTGGCAGAATCTGCAAGTGGACATTTGGAGCACGTTCAGGCCTGTGGTGGAAAAGGCCTGAAAGCCTTTTCCTTTACCTTCACAGAAAGACGAGAGAGAAGCATTGTCAGAAACTTCTTTGTGATGATTGCATTCAACTCACAGAGTTGAAGATTCCTTTTGAAACAGCAGTTTCGAAACACTCTTTCTGTGGGATCCGCAGGGGGATATTTGGACCTCTTTGAAGATTTCGTTGGAAACGGGATAATCTTCACCTAAAAGCTAAACGGAAGCATTCTCAGAAACTTCTTTGGGATGTTTGCATTCACCTCACAGAGTTGAACTTTCCCTTTGATAGCGCAGCTTTGACACACTTTTTCTACAATGTGCAAGTGGCTATTTAGCGGGCTTGGAGGACTGTGTTGGAAAAGGAAATATCTTCTCCTAAAAACGACATAGAAGCATTCTCAGAAACTGCTCTGTGATGATTGCATTCAACTCCCAGAGTTGAACATTCCTTTTGATAGAGCAGTTTGCAAACACTCTTTTTGTAGAATCTGCAAGTGGAGATTTGGACCGCTTTGAGGCCTGTGGTAGTGAAGGAAAGAACTTCATATAAAAACCAGACGGTAGCACTCTCAGAAAATTCTTTGTGACGATGGAGTTTAACTCAGGGAGCTGAACATTCGTTATGATGGAGCAGTTTCCAAACACACGTTTTGTAGAATCTGCAAGGGGATATTTGGACCTCTCTGAGGATTTCGTTGGAAACGGGATCAACTTCCCATAACTGAACGGAAGCAAACTCAGAACATTCTTTGTGATGTTTGTATTCAACTCACAGAGTTGAACCTTCCTTTGATAGTTCAGGTTTGCAACACCCTTGTAGTAGAATCTGCAAGTGTATATTTTGACCACTTTGTAGCCTTCGTTTGAAACGTCTATATCTTCACATCAAACCTAGACAGAAGCATTCTCAGAAAGTTTTCTGCGATGACTGCATTCAACTCACAGAGTTGAACAATCCTTCTGATGGAGCAGTTTTGAAACCCTCTTTCTTTGGAATCTGCAAGGGGATATGTGGACCTCTTTGAAGATTTCACTGGAAACGGGATCATCTTCACATAAAAACTAAACAGAAGCATTCTCGGAAACTACTTTGTGATGTTTGTATTCAACTCCCAGAGTTGAACTTTCCTTTTGAAAGAGCAGCTATGAAACACTCTTTTTCGAGAATCTGCAAGTGGACGTTTGGAGGGCTTTGAGGCCTGTGGTGGAAAAGGAAATATCTTCACATAAAAACTAGATAGAAGCATTCTCAGAAACGACTTTGTGAGGATGGCATTCAACTCATGGAGTTGAACAATCCTATTGATAGAGCAGATTGGAATCACTCTTTTTGTAGAATCTGCAAATGGAGATTTGGACTGCTTTGAGGCCTACGGTAGTATAGGAAGGAACTTCATATAAAAGGCAAATGGAAGCATTCTCAGAATATTCTTTGTGATGATGGAGTTTCACTCACAGAGCTGAACATGCCTTTTCATGGAGCAGTTTCCAAATACACTTTTGGTAGAATCTGCAGGTGGATATTTGGACCTCTCTGAGGATTTCGTTGGAAACGGGAATAATTTCCCATACCTAAACACAAATACGCTGAGAAAGTTCTTCATGATGAATGCATTGAACTCGCAGAGATGAACCTGCCTTTGAGAGTTCAGGTTCGAAACACTCTTTCTGTAGAATCTGCAAGTGGATATTTGGACCACTGGCTGGCCTTCGTTCGAAACGGGTATATGTTCACGTAAAAACTAAAGAGAAGCGTTCTCAGAAACTTCTGAGTGATGATTGCATTCAAGTCACACAGTTGAACCCTCCTTTTGATTGAGCAGTTTTGAAACTGTCTTTTTGTAGAATCTGTAAGTGGATGCGTGGACCTCTTTGAAGATTTCTTTGGAAACGGGAATATTTCCACAGAAAAACTAAACTGAAGCATTCTCAGAAACTGCTTTGTGATGTTTGTGTTCGAGCCACAGAGTTTAACATTGCTTTTCATAGAGCAGTTTTGAAATATTCTTTTGGCAGAATCTGCAAGTGGACATTTGGAGCGCTTTCAGGCCTGTGGTGGAAAAGGCCTGAAAGCCTTTTCCTTTATCTTCACAGAAAGACGAGAGAGAAGCATTGTCAGAAACTTCTTTGTGATGATTGCATTCAACTCACAGAGTTGAAGATTCCTTTTGAAACAGCAGTTTCGAAACACTCTTTCTGTGGGATCCGCAAGGGGATATTTGGACCTCTTTGAAGATTTCGTTGGAAACGGGATAATCTTCACTTAAAGCTAAACGGAAGCATTCTCAGAAACTTCTTTGGGATGTTTGCATTCACCTCACAGAGTTGAACTTTCCCTTTGATAGCGCAGCTTTGACACACTTTTTCTACAATGTGCAAGTGGCTATTTAGCGGGCTTGGAGGACTGTGTTGGAAAAGGAAATATCTTCTCCTAAAAACGACATAGAAGCATTCTCAGAAACTGCTCTGTGATGATTGCATTCAACTCCCAGAGTTGAACATTCCTTTTGATAGAGCAGTTTGCAAACACTCTTTTTGTAGAATCTGCAAGTGGAGATTTGGACCGCTTTGAGGCCTGTGGTAGTGAAGGAAAGAACTTCATATAAAAACCAGACGGTAGCACTCTCAGAAAATTCTTTGTGACGATGGAGTTTAACTCAGGGAGCTGAACATTCGTTATGATGGAGCAGTTTCCCAACACACGTTTTGTAGAATCTGCAAGGGGATATTTGGACCTCTCTGAGGATTTTGTTGGAAACGGGATCAACTTCCCATAACTGAACGGAAGCAAACTCAGAACATTCTTTGTGATGTTTGTATTCAACTCACAGAGTTGAACCTTCCTTTGATAGTTCAGGTTTGCAACACCCTTGTAGTAGAATCTGCAAGTGTATATTTTGACCACTTTGTAGCCTTCGTTTGAAACGTCTATATCTTCACATCAAACCTAGACAGAAGCATTCTCAGAAAGTTTTCTGCGATGACTGCATTCAACTCACAGAGTTGAACAATCCTTTTGATGGAGCAGTTTTGAAACCCTCTTTCTTTGGAATCTGCAAGGGGATATGTGGACCTCTTTGAAGATTTCACTGGAAAGGGGATCATCTTCACATAAGAACTAAACAGAAGCATTCTCGGAAACTACTTTGTGATGTTTGTATTCAACTCCCAGAGTTGAACTTTCCTTTTGAAAGAGCAGCTATGAAACACTCTTTTTCGAGAATCTGCAAGTGGACGTTTGGAGGGCTTTGAGGCCTGTGGTGGAAAAGGAAATATCTTCACATAAAAACTAGATAGAAGCATTCTCAGAAACTACTTTGTGAGGATGGCATTCAACTCATGGAGTTGAACAATCCTATTGATAGAGCAGATTGGAATCACTCTTTTTGTAGAATCTGCAAATGGAGATTTGCACTGCTTTGAGGCCTACGGTCGTATAGGAAGGAACTTCATATAAAAGGCAAACGGAAGCATTCTCAGAATATTCTTTGTGATGATGGAGTTTCACTCACAGAGCTGAACATGCCTGTTGATGGAGCAGTTTCCAAATACACTTTTGGTAGAATCTGCAGGTGGACATTTGGACCTCTCTGAGGATTTCGTTGGGAACGGGAATAATTTCCCATAACTAAACACAAACACGCTGAGAAAGTTCTTCATGATGAATGCATTTAACTCGCAGAGATGAACCTGCCTTTGAGAGTTCAGGTTCGAAACACTCTTTCTGTAGAATCTGCAAGTGGATATTTGGACCACTGGCTGGCCTTCGTTCGAAACGGGTATATGTTCACGTAAAAACTAAAGAGAAGCGTTCTCATAAACTTCTGAGTGATGATTGCATTCAAGTCACACAGTTGAACCCTCCTTTTGATTGAGCAGTTTTGAAACTGTCTTTTTGTAGAATCTGTAAGTGGATGCGTGGACCTCTTTGAAGATTTCTTTGGAAACGGGAATATTTCCACAGAAAAACTAAACTGAAGCATTCTCAGAAACTGCTTTGGATGTTTGTGTTCGAGCCACCGAGTTTAACATTGCTTTTCATAGAGCAGTTTTGAAATATTCTTTTGGCAGAATCTGCAAGTGGACATTTGGAGCGCTTTCAGGCCTGTGGTGGAAAAGGCCTGAAAGCCTTTTCCTTTATCTTCACAGAAAGACGAGAGAGAAGCATTGTCAGAAACTTCTTTGTGATGATTGCATTCAACTCACAGAGTTGAAGATTCCTTTTGAAACAGCAGTTTCGAAACACTCTTTCTGTGGGATCCGCAAGGGGATATTTGGACCTCTTTGAAGGTTTCGTTGGAAACGGGATAATCTTCACCTAAAAGCTAAACGGAAGCATTCTCAGAAACTTCTTTGGGATGTTTGCATTCACCTCACAGAGTTGAACTTTCCCTTTGATAGCGCAGCTTTGACACACTTTTTCTACAATGTGCAAGTGGCTATTTAGCGGGCTTGGAGGACTGTGTTGGAAAAGGAAATATCTTCTCCTAAAAACGACATAGAAGCATTCTCAGAAACTGCTCTGTGATGATTGCATTCAACTCCCAGAGTTGAACATTCCTTTTGATAGAGCAGTTTGCAAACACTCTTTTTGTAGAATCTGCAAGTGGAGATTTGGACCGCTTTGAGGCCTGTGGTAGTAAAGGAAAGAACTTCATATAAAAACTAGACGGTAGCACTCTCAGAAAATTCTTTGTGACGATGGAGTTTAACTCAGAGAGCTGAACATTCGTTATGATGGAGCAGTTTCCAAACACACGTTTTGTAGAATCTGCAAGGGGATATTTGGACCTCTCTGAGGATTTCGTTGGAAATGGGATCAACTTCCCATAACTGAACGGTAGCAAACTCAGAACATTCTTTGTGATGTTTGTATTCAACTCACAGAGTTGAACCTTCCTTTGATAGTTCAGGTTTGCATCACCCTTGTAGTAGAATCTGCAAGTGTATATGTTGACCACTTTGTAGCCTTCGTTTGAAACGTCTATATCTTCACATCAAACCTAGACAGAAGCATTCTCAGAAAGTTTTCTGCGATGACTGCATTCAACTCACAGAGTTGAACAATCCTTTTGATGGAGCAGTTTTGAAACCCTCTTTCTTTGGAATCTGCAAGGTGATATGTGGACCTCTTTGAAGATTTCACTGGAAACGGGATCATCTTCACATAAGAACTAAACAGAAGCATTCTCGGAAACTACTTTGTGATGTTTGTATTCAACTCCCAGAGTTGAACTTTCCTTTTGAAAGAGCAGCTATGAAACACTCTTTTTCGAGAATCTGCAAGTGGACGTTTGGAGGGCTTTGAGGCCTGTGGTGGAAAAGGAAATATCTTCACATAAAAACTAGATAGAAGCATTCTCAGAAACTACTTTGTGAGGATGGCATTCAACTCATGGAGTTGAACAATCCTATTGATAGAGCAGATTGGAATCACTCTTTTTGTAGAATCTGCAAATGGAGATTTGGACTGCTTTGAGGCCTACGGTCGTATAGGAAGGAACTTCAGATAAAAGGCAAACGGAAGCATTCTCAGAATATTCTTTGTGATGATGGAGTTTCACTCACAGAGCTGAACATGCCTTTTGATGGAGCAGTTTCCAAATACACTTTTGGTAGAATCTGCAGGTGGATATTTGGAGCTCTTTGAGGATTTCGTTGGAAACGGGAATAATTTCCCATAACTAAACACAAACACTCTGAGAAAGTTCTTCATGATGAATGCATTTAACTCGCAGAGATGAACCTGCCTTTGAGAGTTCATGTTCGAAACACTCTTTCTGTAGAATCTGCAAGTGGATATTTGGACCACTGGGTGGCCTTCGTTCGAAACGGGTATATGTTCACGTAAAAACTAAAGAGAAGCATTCTCAGAAACTTCTGAGTGATGATTGCATTCAAGTCACACAGTTGAACCCTCCTTTTGATGGAGCAGTTTTGAAACTGTCTTTTTGTAGAATCTGTAAGTGGATACGTGGACCTCTTTGAAGATTTCTTTGGAAACGGGAATATTTCCACAGAAAAACTAAACTGAAGCATTCTCAGAAACTGCGTTGTGATGTTGGTGTTCGAGCCGCAGAGTTTAACATTGCTTTTCATAGAGCAGTTTTGAAATATTCTTTTGGCAGAATCTGCAAGTGGACATTTGGAGCGCTTTCAGGCCTGTGGTGGAAAAGGCCTGAAAGCCTTTTCCTTTATCTTCACAGAAAGACGAGAGAGAAGCATTGTCAGAAACTTCTTTGTGATGATTGCATTCAACTCACAGAGTTGAAGATTCCTTTTGAAACATCAGTTTCGAAACACTCTTTCTGTGGGATCCGCAAGGGGATATTTGGACCTCCTTTGAAGGTTTCGTTGGAAACGGGATAATCTTCACCTAAAAGCTAAACGGAAGCATTCTCAGAAACTTCTTTGGGATGTTTGCATTCAACTCACAGAGTTGAACTTTCCCTTTGATAGCGCAGCTTTGACACACTTTTTCTACAATGTGCAAGTGGCTATTTAGCGGGCTTGGAGGACTGTGTTGGAAAAGGAAATATCTTCTCCTAAAAACGACATAGAAGCATTCTCAGAAACTGCTCTGTGATGATTGCATTCAACTCCCAGAGTTGAACATTCCTTTTGATAGAGCAGTTTGCAAACACTCTTTTTGTAGAATCTGCAAGTGGAGATTTGGACCGCTTTGAGGCCTGTGGTAGTGAAGGAAAGAACTTCATATAAAAACCAGACGGTAGCACTCTCAGAAAATTCTTTGTGACGATGGAGTTTAACTCAGGGAGCTGAACATTCGTTATGATGGAGCAGTTTCCAAACACACGTTTTGTAGAATCTGCAAGGGGATATTTGGACCTCTCTGAGGATTTCGTTGGAAACGGGATCAACTTCCCATAACTGAACGGAAGCAAACTCAGAACATTCTTTGTGATGTTTGTATTCAATTCACAGAGTTGAACCTTCCTTTGATAGTTCAGGTTTGCAACACCCTTGTAGTAGAATCTGCAAGTGTATATTTTGACCACTTTGTAGCCTTCGTTTGAAACGTCTATATCTTCACATCAAACCTAGACAGAAGCATTCTCAGAAAGTTTTCTGCGATGACTGCATTCAACTCACAGAGTTGAACAATCCTTTTGATGGAGCAGTTTTGAAACCCTCTTTCTTTGGAATCTGCAAGGGGATATGTGGACCTCTTTGAAGATTTCACTGGAAAGGGGATCATCTTCACATAAGAACTAAACAGAAGCATTCTCGGAAACTACTTTGTGATGTTTGTATTCAACTCCCAGAGTTGAACTTTCCTTTTGAAAGAGCAGCTATGAAACACTCTTTTTCGAGAATCTGCAAGTGGACGTTTGGAGGGCTTTGAGGCCTGTGGTGGAAAAGGAAATATCTTCACATAAAAAGTAGATAGAAGCATTCTCAGAAACGACTTTGTGAGGATGGCATTCAACTCATGGAGTTGAACAATCCTATTGATAGAGCAGATTGGAATCACTCTTTTTGTAGAATCTGCAAATGGAGATTTGGACTGCTTTGAGGCCTACGGTCGTATAGGAAGGAACTTCAGATAAAAGGCAAACGGAAGCATTCTCAGAATATTCTTTGTGATGATGGAGTTTCACTCACAGAGCTGAACATGCCTTTTGATGGAGCAGTTTCCAAATACACTTTTGGTAGAATCTGCAGGTGGATATTTGGACCACTCTGAGGATTTCGTTGGAAACGGGAATAATTTCCCATAACTAAGCACAAACACTCTGAGAAAGTTCTTCATGATGAATGCATTTAACTCGCAGAGATGAACCTGCCTTTGAGAGTTCAGGTTCGAAACACTCTTTCTGTAGAATCTGCAAGTGGATATTTGGACCACTGGGTGGCCTTCGTTCGAAACGGGTATATGTTCACGTAAAAACTAAAGAGAAGCATTCTCAGAAACTTCTGAGTGATGATTGCATTCAAGTCACACAGTTGAACCCTCCTTTTGATGGAGCAGTTTTGAAACTGTCTTTTTGTAGAGTCTGTAAGTGGATACGTGGACCTCTTTGAAGATTTCTTTGGAAACGGGAATATTTCCACAGAAAAACTAAACTGAAGCATTCTCAGAAACTGCTTTGTGATGTTTGTGTTCGAGCCACAGAGTTTAACATTGCTTTTCATAGAGCAGTTTTGAAATATTCTTTTCGCAGAATCTGCAAGTGGACATTTGGAGCGCTTTCAGGCCTGTGGTGGCAAAGGCCTGAAAGCCTTTTCCTTTATCTTCACAGAAAGACGAGAGAGAAGCATTGTCAGAAACTTCTTTGTGATGATTGCATTCAACTCACAGAGTTGAAGATTCCTTTTGAAACAGCAGTTTCGAAACACTCTTTCTGTGGGATCCGCAAGGGGATATTTGGACCTCTTTGAAGGTTTCGTTGGAAACGGGATAATCTTCACCTAAAAGCTAAACGGAAGCATTCTCAGAAACTTCTTTGGGATGTTTGCATTCACCTCACAGAGTTGAACTTTCCCTTTGATAGCGCAGCTTTGACACACTTTTTCTACAATGTGCAAGTGGCTATTTAGCGGGCTTGGAGGACTGTGTTGGAAAAGGAAATATCTTCTCCTAAAAACGACATAGAAGCATTCTCAGAAACTGCTCTGTGATGATTGCATTCAACTCCCAGAGTTGAACATTCCTTTTGATAGAGCAGTTTGCAAACACTCTTTTTGTAGAATCTGCAAGTGGAGATTTGGACCGCTTTGAGGCCTGTGGTAGTGAAGGAAAGAACTTCATATAAAAACCAGACGGTAGCACTCTCAGAAAATTCTTTGTGACGATGGAGTTTAACTCAGAGAGCTGAACATTCGTTATGATGGAGCAGTTTCCAAACACACGTTTTGTAGAATCTGCAAGGGGATATTTGGACCTCTCTGAGGATTTCGTTGGAAACGGTATCAATTTCCCATAACTGAACGGAAGCAAACTCAGAACATTCTTTGTGATGTTTGTATTCAACTCACAGAGTTGAACCTTCCTTTGATAGTTCAGGTTTGCAACACCCTTGTAGTAGAATCTGCAAGTGTATATTTTGACCACTTTGTAGCCTTCGTTTGAAACGTCTATATCTTCACATCAAACCTAGACAGAAGCATTCTCAGAAAGTTTTCTGCGATGACTGCATTCAACTCACAGAGTTGAACAATCCTTCTGATGGAGCAGTTTTTAAACCCTCTTTCTTTGGAATCTGCAAGGGGATATGTGGACCTCTTTGAAGATTTCACTGGAAACGGGATCATCTTCACATAAAAACTAAACAGAAGCATTCTCGGAAACTACTTTGTGATGTTTGTATTCAACTCCCAGAGTTGAACTTTCCTTTTGAAAGAGCAGCTATGAAACACTCTTTTTCGAGAATCTGCAAGTGGACGTTTGGAGGGCTTGGAGGCCTGTGCTGGAAAAGGAAATACCTTCACATAAAAACTAGATAGAAGCATTCTCAGAAACTACTTTGTGAGGATGGCATTCAACTCATGGAGTTGAACAATCCTATTGATAGAGCAGATTGGAATCACTCTTTTTGTAGAATCTGCAAATGGAGATTTGGACTGCTTTGAGGCCTACGGTCGTATAGGAAGGAACTTCATATAAAAGGCAAACGGAAGCATTCTCAGAATATTCTTTGTGATGATGGAGTTTCACTCACAGAGCTGAACATGCCTTTTGATGGAGCAGTTTCCAAATACACTTTTGGTAGAATCTGCAGGTGGATATTTGGACCTCTCTGAGGATTTCGTTGGAAACGGGAATAATTTCCCATAACTAAACACAAACACTCTGAGAAAGTTCTTCATGATGAATGCATTTAACTCGCAGAGATGAACCTGCCTTTGAGAGTTCAGGTTCGAAACACTCTTTCTGTAGAATCTGCAAGTGGATATTTGGACCACTGGCTGGCCTTCGTTCGAAACGGGTATATGTTCACGTAAAAACTAAAGAGAAGCATTCTCAGAAACTTCTGAGTGATGATTGCATTCAAGTCACACAGTTGAACCCTCCTTTTGATGGAGCAGTTTTGAAACTGTCTTTTTGTAGAATCTGTAAGTGGACACGTGGACCTCTTTGAAGATTTCTTTGGAAACGGGAATATTTCCACAGAAAAACTAAACTGAAGCATTCTCAGAAACTGCTTTGTGATGTTTGTGTTCGAGCCGCAGAGTTTAACATTGCTTTTCATAGAGCAGTTTTGAAATATTCTTTTGGCAGAATCTGCAAGTGGACATTTGGAGCGCTTTCAGGCCTGTGGTGGAAATGGCCTGAAAGCCTTTTCCTTTATCTTCACAGAAAGACGAGAGAGAAGCATTGTCAGAAACTTCTTTGTGATGATTGCATTCAACTCACAGAGTTGAAGATTCCTTTTGAAACAGCAGTTTCGAAACACTCTTTCTGTGGGATCCGCAAGGGGATATTTGGACCTCTTTGAAGGTTTCGTTGGAAACGGGATAATCTTCACCTAAAAGCTAAACGGAAGCATTCTCAGAAACTTCTTTGGGATGTTTGCATTCACCTCACAGAGTTGAACTTTCCCTTTGATAGCGCAGCTTTGACACACTTTTTCTACAATGTGCAAGTGGCTATTTAGCGGGCTTGGAGGACTGTGTTGGAAAAGGAAATATCTTCTCCTAAAAACGACATAGAAGCATTCTCAGAAACTGCTCTGTGATGATTGCATTCAACTCCCAGAGTTGAACATTCCTTTTGATAGAGCAGTTTGCAAACACTCTTTTTGTAGAATCTGCAAGTGGAGATTTGGACCGCTTTGAGGCCTGTGGTAGTAAAGGAAAGAACTTCCTATAAAAACTAGACGGTAGCACTCTCAGAAAATTCTTTGTGACGATGGAGTTTAACTCAGAGAGCTGAACATTCGTTATGATGGAGCAGTTTCCAAACACACGTTTTGTAGAATCTGCAAGGGGATATTTGGACCTCTCTGAGGATTTCGTTGGAAACGGGATCAACTTCCCATAACTGAACGGAAGCAAACTCAGAACATTCTTTGTGATGTTTGTATTCAACTCACAGAGTTGAACCTTCCTTTGATAGTTCAGGTTTGCATCACCCTTGTAGTAGAATCTGCAAGTGTATATTTTGACCACTTTGTAGCCTTCGTTTGAAACGTCTATATCTTCACATCAAACCTAGACAGAAGCATTCTCAGAAAGTTTTCTGCGATGACTGCATTCAACTCACAGAGTTGAACAATCCTTCTGATGGAGCAGTTTTGATACCCTCTTTCTTTGGAATCTGCAAGGGGATATGTGGACCTCTTTGAAGATTTCACTGGAAACGGGATCATCTTCACATAAAAACTAAACAGAAGCATTCTCGGAAACTACTTTGTGATGTTTGTATTCAACTCCCAGAGTTGAACTTTCCTTTTGAAAGAGCAGCTATGAAACACTCTTTTTCGAGAATCTGCAAGTGGACGTTTGGAAGGCTTTGAGGCCTGTGGTGGAAAAGGAAATATCTTCACATAAAAACTAGATAGAAGCATTCTCAGAAACTACTTTGTGAGGATGGCATTCAACTCATGGAGTTGAACAATCCTATTGATAGAGCAGATTGGAATCACTCTTTTTATAGAATCTGCAAATGGAGATTTGGACTGCTTTGAGGCCTACGGTAGTACAGGAAGGAACTTCATATAAAAGGCAAACGGAAGCATTCTCAGAATATTCTTTGTGATGATGGAGTTTCACTCACAGAGCTGAACATGCCTTTTGATGGAGCAGTTTCCAAATACACTTTTGGTAGAATCTGCAGGTGGATATTTGGACCACTCTGAGGATTTCGTTGGAAACGGGAATAATTTCCCATAACTAAGCACAAACACTCTGAGAAAGTTCTTCATGATGAATGCATTGAACTCGCAGAGATGAACCTGTCTTTGAGTGTTCAGGTTCGAAACACCCTTTCTGTAGAATCTGCAAGTGGATATTTGGACCACTGGGTGGCCTTCGTTCGAAACGGGTATATGTTCACGTAAAAACTAAAGAGAAGCATTCTCAGAAACTTCTGAGTGATGATTGCATTCAAGTCACACAGTTGAACCCGCCTTTTGATTGAGCAGTTTTGAAACTGTCTTTTTGTAAAATCTGTAAGTGGATACGTGGACCTCTTTGAAGATTTCTTTGGAAACGGGAATATTTCCACAGAAAAACTAAACTGAAGCATTCTCAGAAACTGCTTTGTGATGTTTGTGTTCGAGCCACAGGAGTTTAACATTGCTTTTCATAGAGCAGTTTTGAAATATTCTTTTGGCAGAATCTGCAAGTGGACATTTGGAGCGCTTTCAGGCCTGTGGTGGAAAAGGCCTGAAAGCCTTTTCCTTTATCTTCACAGGAAGACGAGAGAGAAGCATTGTCAGAAACTTCTTTGTGATGATTGCATTCAACTCACAGAGTTGAAGATTCCTTTTGAAACAGCAGTTTCGAAACACTCTTTCTGTGGGATCCGCAAGGGGATATTTGGACCTCTTTGAAGGTTTCGTTGGAAACGGGATAATCTTCACCTAAAAGCTAAACGGAAGCACTCTCAGAAACTTCTTTGGGATGTTTGCATTCACCTCACAGAGTTGAACTTTCCCTTTGATAGCGCAGCTTTGACACACTTTTTCTACAATGTGCAAGTGGCTATTTAGCGGGCTTGGAGGACTGTGTTGGAAAAGGAAATATCTTCTCCTAAAAACGACATAGAAGCATTCTCAGAAACTGCTCTGTGATGATTGCATTCAACTCCCAGAGTTGAACATTCCTTTTGATAGAGCAGTTTGCAAACACTCTTTTTGTAGAATCTGCAAGTGGAGATTTGGACCGCTTTGAGGCCTGTGGTAGTGAAGGAAAGAACTTCATATAAAAACCAGACGGTAGCACTCTCAGAAAATTCTTTGTGACGATGGAGTTTAACTCAGGGAGCTGAACATTCGTTATGATGGAGCAGTTTCCAAACACACGTTTTGTAGAATCTGCAAGGGGATATTTGGACCTCTCTGAGGATTTCGTTGGAAACGGGATCAACTTCCCATAACTGAACGGAAGCAAACTCAGAACATTCTTTGTGATGTTTGTATTCAACTCACAGAGTTGAACCTTCCTTTGATAGTTCAGGTTTGCAACACCCTTGTAGTAGAATCTGCAAGTGTATATTTTGACCACTTTGTAGCCTTCGTTTGAAACGTCTATATCTTCACATCAAACCTAGACAGAAGCATTCTCAGAAAGTTTTCTGCGATGACTGCATTCAACTCACAGAGTTGAACAATCCTTCTGATGGAGCAGTTTTGAAACCCTCTTTCTTTGGAATCTGCAAGGGGATATGTGGACCTCTTTGAAGATTTCACTGGAAACGGGATCATCTTCACATAAAAACTAAACAGAAGCATTCTCGGAAACTACTTTGTGATGTTTGTATTCAACTCCCAGAGTTGAACTTTCCTTTTGAAAGAGCAGCTATGAAACACTCTTTTTCGAGAATCTGCAAGTGGACGTTTGGAGGGCTTTGAGGCCTGTGGTGGAAAAGGAAATATCTTCACATAAAAACTAGATAGAAGCATACTCAGAAACGACTTTGTGAGGATGGCCTTCAACTCATGGAGTTGAACAATCCTATTGATAGAGCAGATTGGAATCACTCTTTTTGTAGAATCTGCAAATGGAGATTTGGACTGCTTTGAGGCCTACGGTAGTATAGGAAGGAACTTCATATAAAAGGCAAACGGAAGCATTCTCAGAATATTCTTTGTGATGATGGAGTTTCACTCACAGAGCTGAACATGCCTTTTGATGGAGCAGTTTCCAAATACACTTTTGGTAGAATCTGCAGGTGGATATTTGGAGCTCTCTGAGGATTTCGTTGGAAACGGGAATAATTTCCCATAACTAAACACAAACACTCTGAGAAAGTTCTTCATGATGAATGCATTCAACTCGCAGAGATGAACCTGCCTTTGAGAGTTCAGGTTCGAAACACTCTTTCTGTAGAATCTGCAAGTGGATATTTGGACCACTGGGTGGCCTTCGTTCGAAACGGGTATATGTTCACGTAAAAACTAAAGAGAAGCATTCTCAGAAACTTCTGAGTGATGATTGCATTCAAGTCACACAGTTGAACCCTCCTTTTGATGGAGCAGTTTTGAAACTGTCTTTTTGTAGAATCTGTAAGTGGATACGTGGACCTCTTTGAAGATTTCTTTGGAAACGGGAATATTTCCACAGAAAAACTAAACTGAAGCATTCTCAGCAAACTGCTTTGTGATGTTTGTGTTCGAGCCACAGAGTTTAACATTGCTTTTCATAGAGCAGTTTTGAAATATTCTTTTGGCAGAATCTACAAGTGGACATTTGGAGCGCTTTCAGGCCTGTGGTGGAAAAGGCCTGAAAGCCTTTTCCTTTATCTTCACAGAAAGACGAGAGAGAAGCATTGTCAGAAACTTCTTTTTGATGATTGCATTCAACTCACAGAGTTGAAGATTCCTTTTGAAACAGCAGTTTCGAAACACTCTTTCTGTGGGATCCGCAAGGGGATATTTGGACCTCTTTGAAGGTTTCGTTGGAAACGGGATAATCTTCACCTAAAAGCTAAACGGAAGCATTCTCAGAAACTTCTTTGGGATGTTTGCATTCACCTCACAGAGTTGAACTTTCCCTTTGATAGCGCAGCTTTGACACACTTTTTCTACAACGTGCAAGTGGCTATTTAGCGGGCTTGGAGGACTGTGTTGGAAAAGGAAATATCTTCTCCTAAAAACGACATAGAAGCATTCTCAGAAACTGCTCTGTGATGATTGCATTCAACTCCCAGAGTTGAACATTCCTTTTGATAGAGCAGTTTGCAAACACTCTTTTTGTAGAATCTGCAAGTGGAGATTTGGACCGCTTTGAGGCCTGTGGTAGTGAAGGAAAGAACTTCATATAAAAACCAGACGGTAGCACTCTCAGAAAATTCTTTGTGACGATGGAGTTTAACTCAGGGAGCTGAACATTCGTTATGATGGAGCAGTTTCCAAACACACGTTTTGTAGAATCTGCAAGGGGATATTTGGACCTCTCTGAGGATTTCGTTGGAAACGGGATCAACTTCCCATAACTGAACGGAAGCAAACTCAGAACATTCTTTGTGATGTTTGTATTCAACTCACAGAGTTGAACCTTCCTTTGATAGTTCAGGTTTGCAACACCCTTGTAGTAGAATCTGCAAGTGTATATTTTGACCACTTTGTAGCCTTCATTTGAAACGTCTATATCTTCACATCAAACCTAGACAGAAGCATTCTCAGAAAGTTTTCTGCGATGACTGCATTCAACTCACAGAGTTGAACAATCCTTCTGATGGAGCAGTTTTGAAACCCTCTTTCTTTGGAATCTGCAAGGGGATATGTGGACCTCTTTGAAGATTTCACTGGAAACGGGATCATCTTCACATAAAAACTAAACAGAAGCAGTCTCGGAAACTATTTTGTGATGTTTGTATTCAACTCCCAGAGTTGAACTTTCCTTTTGAAAGAGCAGCTATGAAACACTCTTTTTCGAGAATCTGCAAGTGGACGTTTGGAGGGCTTTGAGGCCTGTGGTGGAAAAGGAAATATCTTCACACAAAAACCAGATAGAAGCATTCTCAGAAACTACTTTGTGAGGATGGCATTCAACTCATGGAGTTGAACAATCCTATTGATAGAGCAGATTGGAATCACTCTTTTTGTAGAATCTGCAAATGGAGATTTGGACTGCTTTGAGGCCTACGGTAGTACAGGAAGGAACTTCATATAAAAGGCAAACGGAAGCATTCTCAGAATATTCTTTGTGATGATGGAGTTTCACTCACAGAGCTGAACATGCCTTTTGATGGAGCAGTTTCCAAATACACTTTTGGTAGAATCTGCAGGTGGACATTTGGACCACTCTGAGGATTTCGTTGGAAACGGGAATAATTTCCCATAACTAAACACAAACACGCTGAGAAAGTTCTTCATGATGAATGCATTTAACTCGCAGAGATGAACCTGCCTTTGAGAGTTCAGGTTCGAAACACTCTTTCTGTGGAATCTGCAAGTGGATATTTGGACCACTGGCTGGCCTTCATTCGAAACGGGTATATGTTCACGTAAAAACTAAAGAGAAGCGTTCTCAGAAACTTCTGAGTGATGATTGCATTCAAGTCACACAGTTGAACCCTCCTTTTGATTGAGCAGTTTTGAAACTGTCTTTTTGTAGAATCTGTAAGTGGATGCGTGGACCTCTTTGAAGATTTCTTTGGAAACGGGAATATTTCCACAGAAAAACTAAACTGAAGCATTCTCAGAAACTGCTTTGTGATGTTTGTGTTCGAGCCACAGAGTTTAACCTTGCTTTTCATAGAGCAGTTTTGAAATATTCTTTTGGCAGAATCTGCAAGTGGACAATTGGAGCGCTTTCAGGCCTGTGGTGGAAAAGGCCTGAAAGCCTTTTCCTTTATCTTCACAGAAAGACGAGAGAGAAGCATTGTCAGAAACTTCTTTGTGATGATTGCATTCAACTCACAGAGTTGAAGATTCCTTTTGAAACAGCAGTTTCGAAACACTCTTTCTGTGGGATCCGCAAGGGGATATTTGGACCTCTTTGAAGGTTTCGTTGGAAACGGGATAATCTTCACCTAAAAGCTCAACGGAAGCATTCTCAGAAACTTCTTTGGGATGTTTGCATTCACCTCACAGAGTTGAACTTTCCCTTTGATAGCGCAGCTTTGACACACTTTTTCTACAATGTGCAAGTGGCTATTTAGCGGGCTTGGAGGACTGTGTTGGAAAAGGAAATATCTTCTCCTAAAAACGACATAGAAGCATTCTCAGAAACTGCTCTGTGATGATTGCATTCAACTCCCAGAGTTGAACATTCCTTTTGATAGAGCAGTTTGCAAACACTCTTTTTGTAGAATCTGCAAGTGGAGATTTGGACCGCTTTGAGGCCTGTGGTAGTGAAGGAAAGAACTTCATATAAAAACCAGACGGTAGCACCCTCAGAAAATTCTTTGTGACGATGGAGTTTAACTCAGAGAGCTGAACATTCGTTATGATGGAGCAGTTTCCAAACACACGTTTTGTAGAATCTGCAAGGGGATATTTGGACCTCTCTGAGGATTTCGTTGGAAACGGGATCAACTTCCCATAACTGAATGGAAGCAAACTCAGAACATTCTTTGTGATGTTTGCATTCATCTCACAGAGTTGAACCTTCCTTTGATAGTTGAGGTTTGCAACACCCTTGTAGTAGAATCTGCAAGTGTATATGTTGACCACTTTGTAGCCTTCGTTTGAAACGTCTATATCTTCACCTCAAACCTAGACAGAAGCATTCTCAGAAAGTTTTCTGCGATGACTGCATTCAACTCACAGAGTTGAACAATCCTTTTGATGGAGCAGTTTTGAAACCCTCTTTCTTTGGAATCTGCAAGGGGATATGTGGACCTCTTTGAAGATTTCACTGGAAACGGGATCATCTTCACATAAGAACTAACCAGAAGCAATCTCGGAAACTACTTTGTGATGTTTGTATTCAACTCCCAGAGTTGAACTTTCCTTTTGAAAGAGCAGCTATGAAACACTCTTTTTCGAGAATCTGCAAGTGGACGTTTGGAGGGCTTTGAGGCCTGTGGTGGAAAAGGAAATATCTTCACATAAAAACTACATAGAAGCATTCTCAGAAACGACTTTGTGAGGATGGCATTCAACTCATGGAGTTGAACAATCCTATTGATAGAGCAGATTGGAATCACTCTTTTTGTAGAATCTGCAAATGGAGATTTGGACTGCTTTGAGGCCTACGGTCGTATAGGAAGGAACTTCATATAAAAGGCAAACGGAAGCATTCTCAGAATATTCTTTGTGATGATGGAGTTTCACTCACAGAGCTGAACATGCCTTTTGATGGAGCAGTTTCCAAATACACTTTTGGTAGAATCTGCAGGTGGATATTTGGAGCTCTCTGAGGATTTCGTTGGAAACGGGAATAATTTCCCATAACTAAACACAAACACTCTGAGAAAGTTCTTCATGATGAATGCATTTAACTCGCAGAGATGAACCTGCCTTTGAGAGTTCAGGTTCGAAACACTCTTTCTGTATAATCTGCAAGTGGATATTTGGACCACTGGGTGGCCTTCGTTCGAAACGCGTATATGTTCACGTAAAAACTAAAGAGAAGCATTCTCAGAAACTTCTGAGTGATGATTGCATTCAAGTCACACAGTTGAACCCTCCTTTTGATGGAGCAGTTTTGAAACTGTCTTTTTGTAGAATCTGTAAGTGGATACGTGGACCTCTTTGAAGATTTCTTTGGAAACGGGAATATTTCCACAGAAAAACTAAACTGAAGCATTCTCAGAAACCGCTTTGTGATGTTTGTGTTCGAGCCACAGAGTTTAACATTGCTTTTCATAGAGCAGTTTTGAAATATTCTTTTCGCAGAATCTGCAAGTGGACATTTGGAGCGCTTTCAGGCCTGTGGTGGAAAAGGCCTGAAAGCCTTTTCCTTTATCTTCACAGAAAGACGAGAGAGAAGCATTGTCAGAAACTTCTTTGTGATGATTGCATTCAACTCACAGAGTTGAAGATTCCTTTTGAAACAGCAGTTTCGAAACACTCTTTCTGTGGGATCCGCAAGGGGATATTTGGACCTCTTTGAAGGTTTCGTTGGAAACGGGATAATCTTCACCTAAAAGCTAAACGGAAGCATTCTCAGAAACTTCTTTGGGATGTTTGCATTCACCTCACAGAGTTGAACTTTCCCTTTGATAGCGCAGCTTTGACACACGTTTTCTACAATGTGCAAGTGGCTATTTAGCGGGCTTGGAGGACTGTGTTGGAAAAGGAAATATCTTCTCCTAAAAACGACATAGAAGCATTCTCAGAAACTGCTCTGTGATGATTGCATTCAACTCCCAGAGTTGAACATTCCTTTTGATAGAGCAGTTTGCAAACACTCTTTTTGTAGAATCTGCAAGTGGAGATTTGGACCGCTTTGAGGCCTGTGGTAGTGAAGGAAAGAGCTTCATATAAAAACCAGACGGTAGCACTCTCAGAAAATTCTTTGTGACGATGGAGTTTAACTCAGGGAGCTGAACATTCGTTATGATGGAGCAGTTTCCAAACACACGTTTTGTAGAATCTGCAAGGGGATATTTGGACCTCTCTGAGGATTTCGTTGGAAACGGGATCAACTTCCCATAACTGAACGGAAGCAAACTCAGAACATTCTTTGTGATGTTTGTATTCAACTCACAGAGTTGAACCTTCCTTTGATAGTTCAGGTTTGCAACACCCTTGTAGTAGAATCTGCAAGTGTATATTTTGACCACTTTGTAGCCTTCGTTTGAAACGTCTATATCTTCACATCAAACCTAGACAGAAGCATTCTCAGAAAGTTTTCTGCGATGACTGCATTCAACTCACAGAGTTGAACAATCCTTCTGATGGAGCAGTTTTGAAACCCTCTTTCTTTGGAATCTGCAAGGGGATATGTGGACCTCTTTGAAGATTTCACTGGAAACGGGATCATCTTCACATAAAAACTAAACAGAAGCATTCTCGGAAACTACTTTGTGATGTTTGTATTCAACTCCCAGAGTTGAACTTTCCTTTTGAAAGAGCAGCTATGAAACACTCTTTTTCGAGAATCTGCAAGTGGACGTTTGGAGGGCTTTGAGGCCTGTGGTGGAAAAGGAAATATCTTCACATAAAAACTAGATAGAAGCATTCTCAGAAACTACTTTGTGAGGATGGCATTCAACTCATGGAGTTGAACAATCCTATTGATAGAGCAGATTGGAATCACTCTTTTTGTAGAATCTGCAAATGGAGATTTGGACTGCTTTGAGGCCTACGGTCGTATAGGAAGGAACTTCATATAAAAGGCAAACGGAAGCATTCTCAGAATATTCTTTGTGATGATGGAGTTTCACTGACAGAGCTGAACATGCCTTTTGATGGAGCAGTTTCCAAATACACTTTTGGTAGAATCTGCAGGTGGATATTTGGAGCTCTCTGAGGATTTCGTTGGAAACGGGAATAATTTCCCATAACTAAACACAAACACTCTGAGAAAGTTCTTCATGATGAATGCATTTAACTCGCAGAGATGAACCTGCCTTTGAGAGTTCAGGTTCGAAACACTCTTTCTGTATAATCTGCAAGTGGATATTTGGACCACTGGGTGGCCTTCGTTCGAAACGGGTATATGTTCACGTAAAAACTAAAGAGAAGCATTCTCAGAAACTTCTGAGTGATGATTGCATTCAAGTCACACGGTTGAACCCTCCTTTTGATGGAGCAGTTTTGAAACTGTCTTTTTGTAGAATCTGTAAGTGGATACGTGGACCTCTTTGAAGATTTCTTTGGAAACGGGAATATTTCCACAGAAAAACTAAACTGAAACATTCTCAGAAACCGCTTTGTGATGTTTGTGTTCCAGCCACAGAGTTTAACATTGCTTTTCATAGAGCAGTTTTGAAATATTCTTTTGGCAGAATCTGCAAGTGGACATTTGGAGCGCTTTCAGGCCTGTGGTGGAAAAGGCCTGAAAGCCTTTTCCTTTATCTTCACAGAAAGACGAGAGAGAAGCATTGTCAGAAACTTCTTTGTGATGATTGCATTCAACTCACAGAGTTGAAGATTCCTTTTGAAACATCAGTTTCGAAACACTCTTTCTGTGGGATCCGCAAGGGGATATTTGGACCTCCTTTGAAGGTTTCGTTGGAAACGGGATAATCTTCACCTAAAAGCTAAACGGAAGCATTCTCAGAAACTTCTTTGGGATGTTTGCATTCAACTCACAGAGTTGAACTTTCCCTTTGATAGCGCAGCTTTGACACACTTTTTCTACAATGTGCAAGTGGCTATTTAGCGGGCTTGGAGGACTGTGTTGGAAAAGGAAATATCTTCTCCTAAAAACGACATAGAAGCATTCTCAGGAACTGCTCTGTGATGATTGCATTCAACTCCCAGAGTTGAACATTCCTTTTGATAGAGCAGTTTGCAAACACTCTTTTTGTAGAATCTGCAAGTGGAGATTTGGACCGCTTTGAGGCCTGTGGTAGTAAAGGAAAGAACTTCATATAAAAACTAGACGGTAGCACTCTCAGAAAATTCTTTGTGACGATGGAGTTTAACTCAGAGAGCTGAACATTCGTTATGATGGAGCAGTTTCCAAACACACGTTTTGCAGAATCTGCAAGGGGATATTTGGACCTCTCTGAGGATTTCGTTGGAAACGGGATCAACTTCCCATAAGTGAACGGAAGCAAACTCAGAACATTCTTTGTGATGTTTGTATTCAACTCACAGAGTTGAACCTTCCTTTGATAGTTCAGGTTTGCAACACCCTTGTAGTAGAATCTGCAAGTGTATATTTTGACCACTTTGTAGCCTTCGTTTGAAACGTCTATATCTTCACATCAAACCTAGACAGAAGCATTCTCAGAAAGTTTTCTGCGATGACTGCATTCAACTCACAGAGTTGAACAATCCTTCTGATGGAGCAGTTTTGAAACCCTCTTTCTTTGGAATCTGCAAGGGGATATGTGGACCTCTTTGAAGATTTCACTGGAAACGGGATCATCTTCACATAAAAACTAAACAGAAGCATTCTCGGAAACTACTTTGTGATGTTTGTATTCAACTCCCAGAGTTGAACTTTCCTTTTGAAAGAGCAGCTATGAAACACTCCTTTTCGAGAATCTGCAAGTGGACGTTTGGAGGGCTTTGAGGCCTGTGGTGGAAAAGGAAATATCTTCACATAAAAACTAGATAGAAGCATTCTCAGAAACGACTTTGTGAGGATGGCATTCAACTCATGGAGTTGAACAATCCTATTGATAGAGCAGATTGGAATCACTCTTTTTGTAGAATCTGCAAATGGAGATTTGCACTGCTTTGAGGCCTACGGACGTATAGGAAGGAACTTCATATAAAAGGCAAACGGAAGCATTCTCAGAATATTCTTTGTGATGATGGAGTTTCACTCACAGAGCTGAACATGCCTGTTGATGGAGCAGTTTCCAAATACACTTTTGGTAGAATCTGCAGGTGGACATTTGGACCTCTCTGAGGATTTCGTTGGGAACGGGAATAATTTCCCATAACTAAACACAAACACGCTGAGAAAGTTCTTCATGATGAATGCATTTAACGCGCAGAGATGAACCTGCCTTTGAGAGTTCAGGTTCGAAACACTCTTTCTGTAGAATCTGCAAGTGGATATTTGGACCACTGGCTGGCCTTCGTTCGAAACGGGTATATGTTCACGTAAAAACTAAAGAGAAGCATTCTCAGAAACTTCTGAGTGATGATTGCATTCAAGTCACACAGTTGAACCCTCCTTTTGATGGAGCAGTTTTGAAACTGTCTTTTTGTAGAATCTGTAAGTGGATACGTGGACCTCTTTGAAGATTTCTTTGGAAACGGGAATATTTCCACAGAAAAACTAAACTGAAGCATTCTCAGAAACCGCTTTGTGATGTTTGTGTTCGAGCCACAGAGTTTAACATTGCTTTTCATAGAGCAGTTTTGAAATATTCTTTTCGCAGAATCTGCAAGTGGACATTTGGAGCGCTTTCAGGCCTGTGGTGGAAAAGGCCTGAAAGCCTTTTCCTTTATCTTCACAGAAAGACGAGAGAGAAGCATTGTCAGAAACTTCTTTTTGATGATTGCATTCAACTCACAGAGTTGAAGATTCCTTTTGAAACAGCAGTTTCGAAACACTCTTTCTGTGGGATCCGCAAGGGGATATTTGGACCTCTTTGAAGGTTTCGTTGGAAACGGGATAATCTTCACCTAAAAGCTAAACGGAAGCATTCTCAGAAACTTCTTTGGGATGTTTGCATTCACCTCACAGAGTTGAACTTTCCCTTTGATAGCGCAGCTTTGACACACTTTTTCTACAATGTGCAAGTGGCTATTTAGCGGGCTTGGAGGACTGTGTTGGAAAAGGAAATATCTTCTCCTAAAAACGACATAGAAGCATTCTCAGAAACTGCTCTGTGATGATTGCATTCAACTCCCAGAGTTGAACATTCCTTTTGATAGAGCAGTTTGCAAACACTCTTTTTGTAGAATCTGCAAGTGGAGATTTGGACCGCTTTGAGGCCTGTGGTAGTGAAGGAAAGAACTTCATATAAAAACCAGACGGTAGCACTCTCAGAAAATTCTTTGTGACGATGGAGTTTAACTCAGGGAGCTGAACATTCGTTATGATGGAGCAGTTTCCAAACACACGTTTTGTAGAATCTGTGAGGGGATATTTGGACCTCTCTGAGGATTTCGTTGGAAACGGGATCAACTTCCCATAACTGAACGGAAGCAAACTCAGAACATTCTTTGTGATGTTTGTATTCAACTCACAGAGTTGAACCTTCCTTTGATAGTTCAGGTTTGCAACACCCTTGTAGTAGAATCTGCAAGTGTATATTTTGACCACTTTGTAGCCTTCGTTTGAAACGTCTATATCTTCACATCAAACCTAGAAAGAAGCATTCTCAGAAAGTTTTCTGCGATGACTGCATTCAACTCACAGAGTTGAACAATCCTTTTGATGGAGCAGTTTTGAAACCCTCTTTCTTTGGAATCTGCAAGGGGATATGTGGACCTCTTTGAAGATTTCACTGGAAACGGGATCATCTTCACATAAGAACTAAACAGAAGCATTCTCGGAAACTACTTTGTGAGGTTTGTATTCAACTCCCAGAGTTGAACTTTCCTTTTGAAAGAGCAGCTATGAAACACTCTTTTTCGAGAATCTGCAAGTGGACGTTTGGAGGGCTTTGAGGCCTGTGGTGGAAAAGGAAATATCTTCACATAAAAACTAGATAGAAGCATTCTCAGAAACGACTTTGTGAGGATGGCATTCAACTCATGGAGTTGAACAATCCTATTGATAGAGCAGATTGGAATCACTCTTTTTGTAGAATCTGCAAATGGAGATTTGGACTGCTTTGAGGCCTACGGTCGTATAGGAAGGAACTTCATATAAAAGGCAAACGGAAGCATTCTCAGAATATTCTTTGTGATGATGGAGTTTCACTCACAGA
Source organism: Homo sapiens (assembly GCF_000001405.40). Taxonomy (NCBI): domain Eukaryota; kingdom Metazoa; phylum Chordata; class Mammalia; order Primates; family Hominidae; genus Homo; species Homo sapiens. The sequence continues at coordinate 62,395,434 of NC_000023.11, forward strand.
GCTGAACATGCCTTTTGATGGAGCAGTTTCCAAATACACTTTTGGTAGAATCTGCAGGTGGATATTTGGAGCTCTCTGAGGATTTCGTTGGAAACGGGAATAATTTCCCATAACTAAACACAAACACGCTGAGAAAGTTCTTCATGATGAATGCATTGAACTCGCAGAGATGAACCTGCCTTTGAGAGTTCAGGTTCGAAACACTCTTTCTGTAGAATCTGCAAGTGGATATTTGGACCACTGGCTGGCCTTCGTTCGAAACGGGTATATGTTCATGTAAAAACTAAAGAGAAGCGTTCTCATAAACTTCTGAGTGATGATTGCATTCAAGTCACACAGTTGAACCCTCCTTTTGATTGAGCAGTTTTGAAACTGTCTTTTTGTAGAATCTGTAAGTGGATGCGTGGACCTCTTTGAAGATTTCTTTGGAAACGGGAATATTTCCACAGAAAAACTAAACTGAAGCATTCTCAGAAACTGCTTTGTGATGTTTGTGTTCGAGCCACAGAGTTTAACATTGCTTTTCATAGAGCAGTTTTGAACTATTCTTTTGGCAGAATCTGCAAGTGGACATTTGGAGCGCTTTCAGGCCTGTGGTGGAAAAGGCCTGAAAGCCTTTTCCTTTATCTTCACAGAAAGACGAGAGAGAAGCATTGTCAGAAACTTCTTTGTGATGATTGCATTCAACTCACAGAGTTGAAGATTCCTTTTGAAACAGCAGTTTCGAAACACTCTTTCTGTGGGATCCGCAAGGGGATATTTGGACCTCTTTGAAGGTTTCGTTGGAAACGGGATAATCTTCACCTAAAAGCTAAACGGAAGCATTCTCAGAAACTTCTTTGGGATGTTTGCATTCACCTCACAGAGTTGAACTTTCCCTTTGATAGCGCAGCTTTGACACACTTTTTCTACAATGTGCAAGTGGCTATTTAGCGGGCTTGGAGGACTGTGTTGGAAAAGGAAATATCTTCTCCTAAAAACGACATAGAAGCATTCTCAGAAACTGCTCTGTGATGATTGCATTCAACTCCCAGAGTTGAACATTCCTTTTGATAGAGCAGTTTGCAAACACTCTTTTTGTAGAATCTGCAAGTGGAGATTTGGACCGCTTTGAGGCCTGTGGTAGTAAAGGAAAGAACTTCATATAAAAACTAGACGGTAGCAGTCTCAGAAAATTGTTTGTGACGATGGAGTTTAACTCAGAGAGCTGAACATTCGTTATGATGGAGCAGTTTCCAAACACACGTTTTGTAGAATCTGCAAGGGGATATTTGGACCTCTCTGAGGATTTCGTTGGAAACGGGATCAACTTCCCATAACTGAACGGAAGCAAACTCAGAACATTCTTTGTGATGTTTGCATTCATCTCACAGAGTTGAACCTTCCTTTGATAGTTGAGGTTTGCATCACCCTTGTAGTAGAATCTGCAAGTGTATATTTTGACCACTTTGTAGCCTTCGTTTGAAACGTCTATATCTTCACATCAAACCTAGACAGAAGCATTCTCAGAAAGTTTTCTGCGATGACTGCATTCAACTCACAGAGTTGAACAATCCTTCTGATGGAGCAGTTTTGAAACCCTCTTTCTTTGGAATCTGCAAGGGGATATGTGGACCTCTTTGAAGATTTCACTGGAAACGGGATCATCTTCACATAAAAACTAAACAGAAGCATTCTCGGAAACTACTTTGTGATGTTTGTATTCAACTCCCAGAGTTGAACTTTCCTTTTGAAAGAGCAGCTATGAAACACTCTTTTTCGAGAATCTGCAAGTGGACGTTTGGAGGGCTTTGAGGCCTGTGGTGGAAAAGGAAATATCTTCACACAAAAACCAGATAGAAGCATTCTCAGAAACGACTTTGTGAGGATGGCATTCAACTCATGGAGTTGAACAATCCTATTGATAGAGCAGATTGGAATCACTCTTTTTGTAGAATCTGCAAATGGAGATTTGGACTGCTTTGAGGCCTACGGTCGTATAGGAAGGAACTTCATATAAAAGGCAAACGGAAGCATTCTCAGAATATTCTTTGTGATGATGGAGTTTCACTCACAGAGCTGAACATGCCTTTTGATGGAGCAGTTTCCAAATACACTTTTGGTAGAATCTGCAGGTGGATATTTGGAGCTCTCTGAGGATTTCGTTGGAAACGGGAATAATTTCCCATAACTAAACACAAACACGCTGAGAAAGTTCTTCATGATGAATGCATTTAACTCGCAGAGATGAACCTGCCTTTGAGAGTTCAGGTTCGAAACACTCTTTCTGTGGAATCTGCAAGTGGATATTTGGACCACTGGCTGGCCTTCATTCGAAACGGGTATATGTTCACGTAAAAACTAAAGAGAAGCGTTCTCAGAAACTTCTGAGTGATGATTGCATTCAAGTCACACAGTTGAACCCTCCTTTTGATTGAGCAGTTTTGAAACTGTCTTTTTGTAGAATCTGTAAGTGGATGCGTGGACCTCTTTTGAAGATTTCTTTGGAAACGGGAATATTTCCACAGAAAAACTAAACTGAAGCATTCTCAGAAACCGCTTTGTGATGTTTGTGTTCGAGCCACAGAGTTTAACATTGCTTTTCATAGAGCAGTTTTGAAATATTCTTTTGGCAGAATCTGCAAGTGGACATTTGGAGCGCTTTCAGGCCTGTGGTGGAAAAGGCCTGAAAGCCTTTTCCTTTATCTTCACAGAAAGACGAGAGAGAAGCATTGTCAGAAACTTCTTTGTGATGATTGCATTCAACTCACAGAGTTGAAGATTCCTTTTGAAACAGCAGTTTCGAAACACTCTTTCTGTGGGATCCGCAAGGGGATATTTGGACCTCTTTGAAGGTTTCGTTGGAAACGGGATAATCTTCACCTAAAACCTAAACGGAAGCATTCTCAGAAACTTCTTTGGGATGTTTGCATTCACCTCACAGAGTTGAACTTTCCCTTTGATAGCGCAGCTTTGACACACTTTTTCTACAATGTGCAAGTGGCTATTTAGCGGGCTTGGAGGACTGTGTTGGAAAAGGAAATATCTTCTCCTAAAAACGACATAGAAGCATTCTCAGAAACTGCTCTGTGATGATTGCATTCAACTCCCAGAGTTGAACATTCCTTTTGATAGAGCAGTTTGCAAACACTCTTTTTGTAGAATCTGCAAGTGGAGATTTGGACCGCTTTGAGGTCTGTGGTAGTGAAGGAAAGAGCTTCATATAAAAACCAGACGGTTAGCACTCTCAGTAAAATTCTTTGTGACGATGGAGTTTAACTCAGGGAGCTGAACATTCGTTATGATGGAGCAGTTTCCAAACACACGTTTTGTAGAATCTGCAAGGGGATATTTGGACCTCTCTGAGGATTTCGTTGGAAACGGGATCAACTTCCCATAACTGAACGGAAGCAAACTCAGAACATTCTTTGTGATGTTTGTATTCAACTCACAGAGTTGAACCTTCCTTTGATAGTTCAGGTTTGCAACACCCTTGTAGTAGAATCTGCAAGTGTATATTTTGACCACTTTGTAGCCTTCGTTTGAAACGTCTATATCTTCACATCAAACCTAGACAGAAGCATTCTCAGAAAGTTTTCTGCGATGACTGCATTCAACTCACAGAGTTGAACAATCCTTCTGATGGAGCAGTTTTGAAACCCTCTTTCTTTGGAATCTGCAAGGGGATATGTGGACCTCTTTGAAGATTTCACTGGAAACGGGATCATCTTCACATAAAAACTAAACAGAAGCATTCTCGGAAACTACTTTGTGATGTTTGTATTCAACTCCCAGAGTTGAACTTTCCTTTTGAAAGAGCAGCTATGAAACACTCTTTTTCGAGAATCTGCAAGTGGACGTTTGGAGGGCTTGGAGGCCTGTGGTGGAAAAGGAAATACCTTCACATAAAAACTAGATAGAAGCATTCTCAGAAACTACTTTGTGAGGATGGCATTCAACTCATGGAGTTGAACAATCCTATTGATAGAGCAGATTGGAATCACTCTTTTTGTAGAATCTGCAAATGGAGATTTGGACTGCTTTGAGGCCTACAGTAGTACAGGAAGGAACTTCATATAAAAGGCAAACGGAAGCATTCTCAGAATATTCTTTGTGATGATGGAGTTTCACTCACAGAGCTGAACATGCCTTTTGATGGAGCAGTTTCCAAATACACTTTTGGTAGAATCTGCAGGTGGATATTTGGAGCTCTCTGAGGATTTCGTTGGAAACGGGAATAATTTCCCATAACTAAACACAAACACTCTGAGAAAGTTCTTCATGATGAATGCATTTAACTAACAGAGATGAACCTGCCTTTGAGAGTTCAGGTTCGAAACACTCTTTCTGTAGAATCTGCAAGTGGATATTTGGACCACTGGGTGGCCTTCGTTCGAAACGGGTATATGTTCACGTAAAAACTAAAGAGAAGCATTCTCAGAAACTTCTGAGTGATGATTGCATTCAAGTCACACAGTTGAACCCTCCTTTTGATGGAGCAGTTTTGAAACTGTCTTTTTGTAGAATCTGTAAGTGCATACGTGGACCTCTTTGAAGATTTCTTTGGAAACGGGAATATTTCCACAGAAAAACTAAACTGAAGCATTCTCAGAAACTGCTTTGTGATGTTTGTGTTCGAGCCACAGAGTTTAACATTGCTTTTCATAGAGCAGTTTTGAAATATTCTTTTGGCAGAATCTGCAAGTGGACATTTGGAGCGCTTTCAGGCCTGTGGTGGAAAAGGCCTGAAAGCCTTTTCCTTTATCTTCACAGAAAGACGAGAGAGAAGCATTGTCAGAAACTTCTTTGTGATGATTGCATTCAACTCACAGAGTTGAAGATTCCTTTTGAAACAGCAGTTTCGAAACACTCTTTCTGTGGGATCCGCAAGGGGATATTTGGACTTCTTTGAAGATTTCGTTGGAAACGGGATAATCTTCACCTAAAAGCTAAACGGAAGCATTCTCAGAAACTTCGTTGGGATGTTTGCATTCACCTCACAGAGTTGAACTTTCCCTTTGATAGCGCAGCTTCGACACTCTTTTTCTACAATGTGCAAGTGGCTATTTAGCGGGCTTGGAGGACTGTGTTGGAAAAGGAAATATCTTCTCCTAAAAACGACATAGAAGCATTCTCAGAAACTGCTCTGTGATGATTGCATTCAACTCCCAGAGTTGAACATTCCTTTTGATAGAGCAGTTTGCAAACACTCTTTTTGTAGAATCTGCAAGTGGAGATTTGGACCGCTTTGAGGCCTGTGGTAGTGAAGGAAAGAACTTCATATAAAAACCAGACGGTTAGCACTCTCAGAAAATTCTTTGTGACGATGGAGTTTAACTCAGGGAGCTGAACATTCGTTATGATGGAGCAGTTTCCAAACACACGTTTTGTAGAATCTGCAAGGGGATATTTGGACCTCTCTGAGGATTTCGTTGGAAACGGGATCAACTTCCCATAACTGAACGGAAGCAAACTCAGAACATTCTTTGTGATGTTTGTATTCAACTCACAGAGTTGAACCTTCCTTTGATAGTTCAGGTTTGCAACACCCTTGTAGTAGAATCTGCAAGTGTATATTTTGACCACTTTGTAGCCTTCGTTTGAAACGTCTATATCTTCACATCAAACCTAGACAGAAGCATTCTCAGAAAGTTTTCTGCGATGACTGCATTCAACTCACAGAGTTGAACAATCCTTCTGATGGAGCAGTTTTGAAACCCTCTTTCTTTGGAATCTGCAAGGGGATATGTGGACCTCTTTGAAGATTTCACTGGAAACGGGATCATCTTCACATAAAAACTAAACAGAAGCATTCTCGGAAACTATTTTGTGATGTTTGTATTCAACTCCCAGAGTTGAACTTTCCTTTTGAAAGAGCAGCTATGAAACACTCTTTTTCGAGAATCTGCAAGTGGACGTTTGGAGGGCTTTGAGGCCTGTGGTGGAAAAGGAAATATCTTCACACAAAAACCAGATAGAAGCATTCTCAGAAACTACTTTGTGAGGATGGCATTCAACTCATGGAGTTGAACAATCCTATTGATAGAGCAGATTGGAATCACTCTTTTTGTAGAATCTGCAAATGGAGATTTGGACTGCTTTGAGGCCTACGGTGGTACAGGAAGGAAGTTCATATAAAAGGCAAACGGAAGCATTCTCAGAATATTCTTTGTGATGATGGAGTTTCACTCACAGAGCTGAACATGCCTTTTGATGGAGCAGTTTCCAAATACACTTTTGGTAGAATCTACAGGTGGATATTTGGAGCTCTCTGAGGATTTCGTTGGAAACGGGAATAATTTCCCATAACTAAACACAAACAATCTGAGAAAGTTCTTCATGATGAATGCATTTAACTCGCAGAGATGGACCTGCCTTTGAGAGATCAGGTTCGAAACACTCTTTGTGTAGAATCTGCAAGTGGATATTTGGACCACTGGGTGGCCTTCGTTCGAAACGGGTATATGTTCACGTAAAAACTAAAGAGAAGCATTCTCAGAAACTTCTGAGTGATGATTGCATTCAAGTCACACGGTTGAACCCTCCTTTTGATGGAGCAGTTTTGAAACTGTCTTTTTGTAGAATCTGTAAGTGGATACGTGGACCTCTTTGAAGATTTCTTTGGAAACGGGAATATTTCCACAGAAAAACTAAACTGAAGCATTCTCAGAAACTGCTTTGTGATGTTTGTGTTCGAGCCACAGAGTTTAACATTGCTTTTCATAGAGCAGTTTTGAAATATTCTTTTGGCAGAATCTGCAAGTGGACATTTGGAGCGCTTTCAGGCCTGTGGTGGAAAAGGCCTGAAAGCCTTTTCCTTTATCTTCACAGGAAGACGAGAGAGAAGCATTGTCAGAAACTTCTTTTTGATGATTGCATTCAACTCACAGAGTTGAAGATTCCTTTTGAAACAGCAGTTTCGAAACACTCTTTCTGTGGGATCCGCAAGGGGATATTTGGACCTCTTTGAAGGTTTCGTTGGAAACGGGATAATCTTCACCTAAAAGCTAAACGGAAGCATTCTCTGAAACTTCTTTGGGATGTTTGCATTCACCTCACAGAGTTGAACTTTCCCTTTGATAGCGCAGCTTTGACACACTTTTTCTACAATGTGCAAGTGGCTATTTAGCGGGCTTGGAGGACTGTGTTGGAAAAGGAAATATCTTCTCCTAAAAACGACATAGAAGCATTCTCAGAAACTGCTCTGTGATGATTGCATTCAACTCCCAGAGTTGAACATTCCTTTTGATAGAGCAGTTTGCAAACACTCTTTTTGTAGAATCTGCAAGTGGAGATTTGGACCGCTTTGAGGCCTGTGGTAGTGAAGGAAAGAACTTCATATAAAAACCAGACGGTAGCACTCTCAGAAAATTCTTTGTGACGATGGAGTTTAACTCAGAGAGCTGAACATTCGTTATGATGGAGCAGTTTCCAAACACACGTTTTGTAGAATCTGCAAGGGGATATTTGGACCTCTCTGAGGATTTCGTTGGGAAGGGGATCAACTTCCCATAACTGAACGGAAGCAAACTCAGAACATTCTTTGTGATGTTTGTATTCAACTCACAGAGTTGAACCTTCCTTTGATAGTTCAGGTTTGCAACACCCTTGTAGTAGAATCTGCAAGTGTATATTTTGACCACTTTGTAGCCTTCGTTTGAAACATCTATATCTTCACATCAAACCTAGACAGAAGCATTCTCAGAAAGTTTTCTGCGATGACTGCATTCAACTCACAGAGTTGAACAATCCTTCTGATGGAGCAGTTTTGAAACCCTCTTTCTTTGGAATCTGCAAGGGGATATGTGGACCTCTTTGAAGATTTCACTGGAAACGGGATCATCTTCACATAAAAAGTAAACAGAAGCATTCTCGGAAACTACTTTGTGATGTTTGTATTCAACTCCCAGAGTTGAACTTTCCTTTTGAAAGAGCAGCTATAAAACACTCTTTTTCGAGAATCTGCAAGTGGACGTTTGGAGGGCTTTGAGGCCTGTGGTGGAAAAGGAAATATCTTCACATAAAAACTAGATAGAAGCATTCTCAGAAACTACTTTGTGAGGATGGCATTCAACTCATGGAGTTGAACAATCCTATTGATAGAGCAGATTGGAATCACTCTTTTTGTAGAATCTGCAAATGGAGATTTGGACTGCTTTGAGGCCTACAGTAGTACAGGAAGGAACTTCATATAAAAGGCAAACGGAAGCATTCTCAGAATATTCTTTGTGATGATGGAGTTTCACTCACAGAGCTGAACATGCCTTTTGATGGAGCAGTTTCCAAATACACTTTTGGTAGAATCTGCAGGTGGATATTTGGAGCTCTCTGAGGATTTCGTTGGAAACGGGAATAATTTCCCATAACTAAACACAAACACTCTGAGAAAGTTCTTCATGATGAATGCATTTAACTCGCAGAGATGAACCTGCCTTTGAGAGTTCAGGTTTCAAACACTCTTTCTGTATAATCTGCAAGTGGATATTTGGACCACTGGGTGGCCTTCGTTCGAAACGGGTATATGTTCACGTAAAAACTAAAGAGAAGCATTCTCAGAAACTTCTGAGTGATGATTGCATTCAAGTCACACGGTTGAACCCTCCTTTTGATGGAGCAGTTTTGAAACTGTCTTTTTGTAGAATCTGTAAGTGGATACGTGGACCTCTTTGAAGATTTCTTTGGAAACGGGAATATTTCCACAGAAAAACTAAACTGAAGCATTCTCAGAAACGGCTTTGTGATGTTTCTGTTCGAGCCACAGAGTTTAACATTGCTTTTCATAGAGCAGTTTTGAAATATTCTTTTGGCAGAATCTGCAAGTGGACATTTGGAGCGCTTTCAGGCCTGTGGTGGAAAAGGCCTGAAAGCCTTTTCCTTTATCTTCACAGAAAGACGAGAGAGAAGCATTGTCAGAAACTTCTTTGTGATGATTGCATTCAACTCACAGAGTTGAAGATTCCTTTTGAAACAGCAGTTTCGAAACACTCTTTCTGTGGGATCCGCGAGGGGATATTTGGACCTCTTTGAAGATTTCGTTGGAAACGGGATAATCTTCACCTAAAAGCTAAACGGAAGCATTCTCAGAAACTTCTTTGGGATGTTTGCATTCACCTCACAGAGTTGAACTTTCCCTTTGATAGCGCAGCTTCGACACACTTTTTCTACAATGTGCAAGTGGATATTTAGCGGGCTTGGAAGACTGTGTTGGAAAAGGAAATATCTTCTCCTAAAAACGACATAGAAGCATTCTCAGAAACTGCTCTGTGATGATTGCATTCAACTCCCAGAGTTGAACATTCCTTTTGATAGAGCAGTTTGCAAACACTCTTTTTGTAGAATCTGCAAGTGGAGATTTGGACCGCTTTGAGGCCTGTGGTAGTAAAGGAAAGAACTTCATATAAAAACCAGACGGTAGCACTCTCAGAAAATTCTTTGTGACGATGGAGTTTAACTCAGGGAGCTGAACATTCGTTATGATGGAGCAGTTTCCAAACACACGTTTTGTAGAATCTGCAAGGGGATATTTGGACCTCTCTGAGGATTTCGTTGGAAACGGGATCAACTTCCCATAACTGAACGGAAGCAAACTCAGAACATTCTTTGTGATGTTTGTATTCAACTCACAGAGTTGAACCTTCCTTTGATAGTTCAGGTTTGCAACACCCTTGTAGTAGAATCTGCAAGTGTATATTTTGACCACTTTGTAGCCTTCGTTTGAAACGTCTATATCTTCACATCAAACCTAGACAGAAGCATTCTCAGAAAGTTTTCTGCGATGACTGCATTCAACTCACAGAGTTGAACAATCCTTCTGATGGAGCAGTTTTGAAACCCTCTTTCTTTGGAATCTGCAAGGGGATATGTGGACCTCTTTGAAGATTTCACTGGAAACGGGATCATCTTCACATAAAAACTAAACAGAAAGCATTCTCGGAAACTACTTTGTGATGTTTGTATTCAACTCCCAGAGTTGAACTTTCCTTTTGAAAGAGCAGCTATGAAACACTCTTTTTCGAGAATCTGCAAGTGGACGTTTGGAGGGCTTTGAGGCCTGTGGTGGAAAAGGAAATATCTTCACATAAAAACTAGATAGAGCATTCTCAGAAACTACTTTGTGAGGACGGCATTCAACTCATGGAGTTGAACAGTCCTATTGATAGAGCAGATTGGAATCACTCTTTTTGTAGAATCTGCAAATGGAGATTTGGACTGCTTTGAGGCCTACGGTAGTATAGGAAGGAACTTCATATAAAAGGCAAACGGAAGAATTCTCAGAATATTCTTTGTGATGATGGAGTTTCACTCACAGAGCTGAACATGCCTTTTGATGGAGCAGTTTCCAAATACACTTTTGGTAGAATCTGCAGGTGGATATTTGGAGCTCTCTGAGGATTTCGTTGGAAACGGGAATAATTTCCCATAACTAAACACAAACACGCTGAGAAAGTTCTTCATGATGAATGCATTTAACTCGCAGAGATGAACCTGCCTTTGAGAGTTCAGGTTCGAAACACTCTTTCTGTAGAATCTGCAAGTGGATATTTGGACCACTGGCTGGCCTTCGTTCGAAACGGGTATATGTTCACGTAAAAACTAAAGAGAAAGCATTCTCAGAAACTTCTGAGTGATGATTGCATTCAAGTCACACGGTTGAACCCTCCTTTTGATGGAGCAGTTTTGAAACTGTCTTTTTGTAGAATCTGTAAGTGGATACGTGGACCTCTTTGAAGATTTCTTTGGAAACGGGAATATTTCCACAGAAAAACTAAACTGAAGCATTCTCAGAAACCGCTTTGTGATGTTTGTGTTCGAGCCACAGAGTTTAACATTGCTTTTCATAGAGCAGTTTTGAAATATTCTTTTCGCAGAATCTGCAAGTGGACATTTGGAGCGCTTTCAGGCCTGTGGTGGAAAAGGCCTGAAAGCCTTTTCCTTTATCTTCACAGAAAGACGAGAGAGAAGCATTGTCAGAAACTTCTTTGTGATGATTGCATTCAACTCACAGAGTTGAAGATTCCTTTTGAAACAGCAGTTTCGAAACACTCTTTCTGTGGGATCCGCAAGGGGATATTTGGACCTCTTTGAAGGTTTCGTTGGAAACGGGATAATCTTCACCTAAAAGCTAAACGGAAGCATTCTCAGAAACTTCTTTGGGATGTTTGCATTCACCTCACAGAGTTGAACTTTCCCTTTGATAGCGCAGCTTTGACACACTTTTTCTACAATGTGCAAGTGGCTATTTAGCGGACTTGGAGGACTGTGTTGGAAAAGGAAATATCTTCTCCTAAAAACGACATAGAAGCATTCTCAGAAACTGCTCTGTGATGATTGCATTCAACTCCCAGAGTTGAACATTCCTTTTGATAGAGCAGTTTGCAAACACTCTTTTTGTAGAATCTGCAAGTGGAGATTTGGACCGCTTTGAGGCCTGTGGTAGTGAAGGAAAGAACTTCATATAAAAACCAGACGGTAGCACTCTCAGAAAATTCTTTGTGACGATGGAGTTTAACTCAGGGAGCTGAACATTCGTTATGATGGAGCAGTTTCCAAACACACGTTTTGTAGAATCTGCAAGGGGATATTTGGACCTCTCTGAGGATTTCGTTGGAAACGGGATCAACTTCCCATAACTGAACGGAAGCAAACTCAGAACATTCTTTGTGATGTTTGTATTCAACTCACAGAGTTGAACCTTCCTTTGATAGTTCAGGTTTGCAACACCCTTGTAGTAGAATCTGCAAGTGTATATTTTGACCACTTTGTAGCCTTCGTTTGAAACGTCTATATCTTCACATCAAACCTAGACAGAAGCATTCTCAGAAAGTTTTCTGCGATGACTGCATTCAACTCACAGAGTTGAACAATCCTTCTGATGGAGCAGTTTTGAAACCCTCTTTCTTTGGAATCTGCAAGGGGATATGTGGACCTCTTTGAAGATTTCACTGGAAACGGGATCATCTTCACATAAAAACTAAACAGAAGCATTCTCGGAAACTACTTTGTGATGTTTGTATTCAACTCCCAGAGTTGAACTTTCCTTTTGAAAGAGCAGCTATGAAACACTCTTTTTCGAAAATCTGCAAGTGGACGTTTGGAGGGCTTTGAGGCCTGTGGTGGAAAAGGAAATATCTTCACATAAAAACTAGATAGAAGCATTCTCAGAAACTACTTTGTGAGGATGGCATTCAACTCATGGAGTTGAACAATCCTATTGATAGAGCAGATTGGAATCACTCTTTTTGTAGAATCTGCAAATGGAGATTTGGACTGCTTTGAGGCCTACAGTAGTACAGGAAGGAACTTCATATAAAAGGCAAACGGAAGCATTCTCAGAATATTCTTTGTGATGATGGAGTTTCACTCACAGAGCTGAACATGCCTTTTGATGGAGCAGTTTCCAAATACACTTTTGGTAGAATCTGCAGGTGGATATTTGGACCTCTCAGAGGATTTCGTTGGAAACGGGAGTAATTTCCCATAACTAAACACAAACACTCTGAGAAAGTTCTTCATGACGAATGCATTTAACTCGCAGAGATGAACCTGCCTTTGAGAGTTCAGGTTCGAAACACTCTTTCTGTAGAATCTGCAAGTGGATATTTGGACCACTGGGTGGCCTTCGTTCGAAACGGGTATATGTTCACGTAAAAACTAAAGAGAAGCATTCTCAGAAACTTCTGAGTGATGATTGCATTCAAGTCACACAGTTGAACCCTCCTTTTGATGGAGCAGTTTTGAAACTGTCTTTTTGTAGAATCTGTAAGTGGATACGTGGACCTCTTTGAAGATTTCTTTGGAAACGGGAATATTTCCACAGAAAAACTAAACTGAAGCATTCTCAGAAACCGCTTTGTGATGTTTGTGTTCGAGCCACAGAGTTTAACATTGCTTTTCATAGAGCAGTTTTGAAATATTCTTTTCGCAGAATCTGCAAGTGGACATTTGGAGCGCTTTCAGGCCTGTGGTGGAAAAGGCCTGAAAGCCTTTTCCTTTATCTTCACAGAAAGACGAGAGAGAAGCATTGTCAGAAACTTCTTTGTGATTTTTGCATTCAACTCACAGAGTTGAAGATTCCTTTTGAAACAGCAGTTTCGAAACACTCTTTCTGTGGGATCCGCAAGGGGATATTTGGACTTCTTTGAAGATTTCGTTGGAAACGGGATAATCTTCACCTAAAAGCTAAACGGAAGCATTCTCAGAAACTTCTTTGGGATGTTTGCATTCACCTCACAGAGTTGAACTTTCCCTCTGATAGCGCAGCTTTGATACATTTTTTCTACAATGTGCAAGTCGTATTTAGCGGGCTTGGAGGACTGTGTTGGAAAAGGAAATATCTTCTCCTAAAAACGACATAGAAGCATTCTCAGAAACTGCTCTGTGATGATTGCATTCAACTCCCAGAGTTGAACATTCCTTTTGATAGAGCAGTTTGCAAACACTCTTTTTGTAGAATCTGCAAGTGGAGATTTGGACCGCTTTGAGGCCTGTGGTAGTAAAGGAAAGAACTTCGTATGAAAACTAGATGGTAGCACTCTCAGAAAATTCTTTGGGACGATGGAGTTTAACTCAGAGAGCTGAACATTCGTTATGATGGAGCAGTTTCCAAACACACGTTTTGTAGAATCTGCAAGGGGATATTTGGACCTCTCCGAGGATTTCGTTGGAAACGGGATCAACTTCCCGTAACTGAACGGAAGCAAACTCAGAACATTCTTTGTGATGTTTGTATTCAACTCACAGAGTTGAACCTTCCTTTGATAGTTCAGGTTTGCAACACCCTTGTAGTAGAATCTGCAAGTGTATATTTTGACCACTTTGTAGCCTTCGTTTGAAACGTCTATATCTTCACATCAAACCTAGACAGAAGCATTCTCAGAAAGTTTGCTGTGATGACTGCATTCAACTCACAGAGTTGAACAATCCTTTTGATGGAGCAGTTTTGAAACCATCTTTCTTTGGAATCTGCAAGGGGATATGTGGACCTCTTTGAAGAATTCACTGGAAACGGGATCATCTTCACATAAAAACTAAACAGAAGCATTCTCGGAAACTACTTTGTGATGTTTGTATTCAACTCCCAGAGTTGAACTTTCCTTTTGAAAGAGCAGCTATGAAACACTCTTTTTCGAGAATCTGCAAGTGGACGTTTGGAGGGCTTTGAGGCCTGTGGTGGAAAAGGAAATATCTTCACATAAAAACTAGATAGAAGCATTCTCAGAAACTACTTTGTGAGGATGGCATTCAACTCATGGAGTTGAACAATCCTATTGATAGAGCAGATTGGAATCACTCTTTTTGTAGAATCTGCAAATGGAGATTTGGACTGCTTTGAGGCCTACGGTAGTATAGGAAGGAACTTCATATAAAAGGCAAACGGAAGCATTCTCAGAATATTCTTTGTGATGATGGAGTTTCACTCACAGAGCTGAACATGCCTTTTGATGGAGCAGTTTCCAAATACACTTTTGGTAGAATCTGCAGGTGGATATTTGGACCTCTCTGAGGATTTCGTTGGAAACGGGAATAATTTCCCATAACTAAACACAAACACTCTGAGAAAGTTCTTCATGATGAATGCATTTAACTCGCAGAGATGAACCTGCCTTTGAGAGTTCAGGTTCGAAACACTCTTTCTGTAGAATCTGCAAGTGGATATTTGGACCACTGGGTGGCCTTCGTTCGAAACGGGTATATGTTCACGTAAAAACTAAAGAGAAGCATTCTCAGAAACTTCTGAGTGATGATTGCATTCAAGTCACACAGTTGAACCCTCCTATTGATGGAGCAGTTTTGAAACTGTCTTTTTGTAGAATCTGTAAGTGGATACGTGGACCTCTTTGAAGATTTCTTTGGAAACGGGAATATTTCCACAGAAAAACTAAACTGAAGCATTCTCAGAAACCGCTTTGTGATGTTTGTGTTCGAGCCGCAGAGTTTAACATTGCTTTTCATAGAGCAGTTTTGAAATATTCTTTTCGCAGAATCTGCAAGTGGACATTTGGAGCGCTTTCAGGCCTGTGGTGGAAAAGGCCTGAAAGCCTTTTCCTTTATCTTCACAGAAAGACGAGAGAGAAGCATTGTCAGAAACTTCTTTGTGATGATTGCATTCAACTCACAGAGTTGAAGATTCCTTTTGAAACAGCAGTTTCGAAACACTCTTTCTGTGGGATCCGCAAGGGGATATTTGGACCTCTTTGAAGGTTTCGTTGGAAACGGGATAATCTTCACCTAAAAGCTAAACGGAAGCATTCTCAGAAACTTCTTTGGGATGTTTGCATTCACCTCACAGAGTTGAACTTTCCCTTTGATAGCGCAGCTTTGACACACTTTTTCTACAATGTGCAAGTGGCTATTTAGCGGGCTTGGAGGACTGTGTTGGAAAAGGAAATATCTTCTCCTAAAAACGACATAGAAGCATTCTCAGAAACTGCTCTGTGATGATTGCATTCAACTCCCAGAGTTGAACATTCCTTTTGATAGAGCAGTTTGCAAACACTCTTTTTGTAGAATCTGCAAGTGGAGATTTGGACCGCTTTGAGGCCTGTGGTAGTGAAGGAAAGAACTTCATATAAAAACCAGACGGTAGCACTCTCAGAAAATTCTTTGTGACGATGGAGTTTAACTCAGAGAGCTGAACATTCGTTATGATGGAGCAGTTTCCAAACACACGTTTTGTAGAATCTGCAAGGGGATATTTGGACCTCTCTGAGGATTTCGTTGGAAACGGTATCAATTTCCCATAACTAAACGGAAGCAAACTCAGAACATTCTTTGTGATGTTTGTATTCAACTCACAGAGTTGAACCTTCCTTTGATAGTTCAGGTTTGCAACACCCTTGTAGTAGAATCTGCAAGTGTATATTTTGACCACTTTGTAGCCTTCGTTTGAAACGTCTATATCTTCACATCAAACCTAGACAGAAGCATTCTCAGAAAGTTTTCTGCGATGACTGCATTCAACTCACAGAGTTGAACAATCCTTCTGATGGAGCAGTTTTGAAACCCTCTTTCTTTGGAATCTGCAAGGGGATATGTGGACCTCTTTGAAGATTTCACTGGAAACGGGATCATCTTCACATAAAAACTAAACAGAAGCATTCTCGGAAACTACTTTGTGATGTTTGTATTCAACTGCCAGAGTTGAACTTTCCTTTTGAAAGAGCAGCTATGAAACACTCTTTTTCGAGAATCTGCAAGTGGACGTTTGGAGGGCTTTGAGGCCTGTGGTGGAAAAGGAAATATCTTCACACAAAAACCAGATAGAAGCATTCTCAGAAACGACTTTGTGAGGATGGCATTCAACTCATGGAGTTGAACAATCCTATTGATAGAGCAGATTGGAATCACTCTTTTTGTAGAATCTGCAAATGGAGATTTGGACTGCTTTGAGGCCTACGGTCGTATAGGAAGGAACTTCATATAAAAGGCAAACGGAAGCATTCTCAGAATATTCTTTGTGATGATGGAGTTTCACTCACAGAGCTTAACATGCCTTTTGTTGGAGCAGTTTCCAAATACACTTTTGGTAGAATCTGCAGGTGGATATTTGGAGCTCTCTGAGGATTTCGTTGGAAACGGGAATAATTTCCCATAACTAAACACAAACACTCTGAGAAAGTTCTTCATGATGAATGCATTTAACTCGCAGAGATGAACCTGCCTTTGAGAGTTCAGGTTCGAAACACTCTTTCTGTAGAATCTGCAAGTGGATATTTGGACCACTGGGTGGCCTTCGTTCGAAACGGGTATATGTTCACGTAAAAACTAAAGAGAAGCATTCTCAGAAACTTCTGAGTGATGATTGCATTCAAGTCACACAGTTGAACCCTCCTTTTGATGGAGCAGTTTTGAAACTGTCTTTTTGTAGAATCTGTAAGTGGATACGTGGACCTCTTTGAAGATTTCTTTGGAAACGGGAATATTTCCACAGAAAAACTAAACTGAAGCATTCTCAGAAACTGCTTTGTGATGTTTGTGTTCGAGCCACAGAGTTTAACATTGCTTTTCATAGAGCAGTTTTGAAGTATTCTTTTGGCAGAATCTGCAAGTGGACATTTCGAGCGCTTTCAGGCCTGTGGTGGAAAAGGCCTGAAAGCCTTTTCCTTTATCTTCACAGAAAGACGAGAGAGA